>NC_000010.11:128482226-128793707 GCF_000001405.40 Homo sapiens | reverse complement strand
AGAATCTTCTCTTTTCTCTTTTGTGCTTAAACTGATGCAATTCCCCCAATGAATGTGTTGTATTAAATATTAGGCTTCTTAATCTACTATTTTATTAATATATCTTAATATTTAATGCTAACATTTTATGTGGAGTTCTCAGTTGTATTAATCTAGTAAATTTTGCTAATAAAATTAATTATTTTTCTATTTTACCTTTTGAATAGTAAAGATTATGGGGGAGTAAAAATAATTAGATTTCACTGGGGTGAGTGATGGGGGAGAACACTTTATTTTCCTGAAAATGGTTCCTGTTCACCTTCCTCTTACTATTACCTAAGTGTCCTATAGTTATCTCATGTGACCAAAAATGGACTGTGAAATGAAAACGGATGGGTACCTGTGAAGGGCTTCTTGGACAAGTTTTAGGATTTTTAGGGTTGGAAAAGCCTTATAGAAAATGGATGATCTTTGGGTTTATAAATAAGAAAAGGAGGGCCTCCATGCTTTCTCAAGCAAGAGCCACCTTTGCTAAGAGGCCTTCCTTCCTCTCCACCCCATCCCTCCATGCCCAAGTTGGCAGGCTCAGATCTTCCCGTGATCTCATCTCCAGATGACAGATTCAGTCCTGCAGCCAGCTGGGATATGTGCGCTGCTTCCAGTGGATGGCTTCGCCTTCTCTGCTCACTGAGTGTTTGATGAGCCTTCCTTTCTTCCTCTTCCACCTTCAAGAGTGACTCTCTATCAGGCGAGTTGTGGCCAGCAGCACTTGGACAGGAGGGGAAGATCCCCTGCTCCAGCCAGTGGTCCCTGGCCATGGTGGGAGGTCTGCGTGTTGTCATGAGGATCTCCCTTCCCCGAACCTGGGCCCTCCTGCTCTCCTCCTACGTGGCTCAGAGCCCCTTCCCCATCCTGAATCCCACCCAGGTCAGCTTGGACAATCCTACATGAACTGGACTTTTTCCTCTCTTGCTGGCTTCAAGAGGAACACCTTAAATCTCTAGTGATGGAAAGAACACACATGGGCTGGGGGAGTAGAGTGTTTCCCTGTTTCAACCTTTCCATGGTGGAACGTGGTGCTCCATGGACCTGGCCTGCCTCTCCCCAACAGCCCTTGACTCTGCCTCTCGCTTTACCTATGTGTTACATTCCTGCCACTGGAACAAACTCAAGTCTCCCTGCCTTTACTCAGTCTCTCTTTGCTGCCTAGAATTTTCTATTTCCCTCTCCCTCTCCACTTTGTTTCCTTACTTAAAATGTGTTTTTCTTTAAATTAATGAATCATACACAAAGAAGAAAAGTACTGACCATTATTTCAATCAACAAGTTCATATGTTGTCCCTTTAGTTCAGTCCCTTTTCTATTACAAATATTTTTGGTATAATTTAAAGCATGCTTCATAATTTAATAATATTCAGAGATAGATTTCTAAGAAGCACATGAAGCTTAAACTTCAGGGACCCTAGCTGTGGCTCCATCCTGTACTGGGGAATTTTATTCTCTCTCTTAAAGGCCACACAAGTTGTGTAGTGCTCAGGCCCCCAAAACCTGGATCTGCCCCCGCCCCATCTTCATTCTATGCATGAGTTTCCCCACGGTGTCACAAGCTGTTTAGGAACGGGATTCCGGTGGTGCAGCATGGAGCCTCAGGGGATGGGTCGGAACTTGCTCCGTAGTGCTGGACCTTAGGCTATAGCCAATATATTGCTATTACAAATAACACAGCAAGCCATGAGTTTATGCATTAATCTTTGTCCATATTTCTTATTATTTCCCTGGAATAGGCTTCCAGGAGGAGAAGTACTGGGTAAAAAGGAAAAAATGGACTGATGGTTCTTGATACCCATTGACCAGTCGCTTTTCCCTGATGGACAGGCCGTCAGCAGGATGAGAATTCTACCCAACTGAGTCCTTGCCAGTACTTAAAAATCCCTGACAATTTGATAGGTGACAAATGGGATCATCTTGTTCTAACCTTTAACTATTTCAGTACTTGTAAGATGGAACTTTTCATCACCAATATCCATTTGTGTAATATTTACTTTTTTGTAAAATACTCTGGCTCTCTCCTTGAGTCTTGGCATCTTCTAAAAAATCAACATATATACATGCTTGTTCATTAAGGGTATTAATCCCTGTGTGTCATAAAGGTTTAAAATATAATTTCCCAGTTTGATACATGCTTTTTAATTTTTAAATTGGAAGTTTTAGACATCAGAAGTTTTAAAATCATAAATGGTAATTTTGATTTATTGACGCTCTCACTAAGGTTTTGTTTTGTTTTTACTTGGAATTCCCTCCTTTACCCATACACCCAAAGGTAAAATAATTTTGCTGATTACTTGATTTTTATAATGAACTTATTATTTCATCTAGTGTTTGTTGTTGTCCTACATGATATGAGAGAAGTATTTAGGTTCAATAGTTTTTTCTATTTAGCTAGCACTATTTATCCTGACACAATTAATTAAATAATCCACCTATCTATTGCTCATGGATTTAAAAAGATGCCTCTATCACACGTTAAGTGCTTTGCATGTCTCAGGCACAGCTGTAGAGTGACTCGCTCTGTGCACTGGCTCCTGGACACTGTTTCCACGATTACAGTTTGGTTATGCGTGTTCACATATAGAACTTGCTTATTACACTCATTTTGACAAATATATTCTTCTCTAAAAATTCTCATTTTCTTAGAACATTTTATTATGAAATATAATGTGTGTATTAAAATGCATAAAATATAAATGTAGAACTTAACAAATTATTTAAGAGTGAACACCCTTGTAATTACCACCCCGGTCAAGAAACGGAACACTGAAGGCCCCAAGTTGCCTAGCTTGACCCCAGCCTCAACTCACTGCTTCCAGACAGGAGCTACCACACCGACTCTCAGCATAATTACAGCCAAGTGCAAATGCTGAAACACTGTCATGGAATTTTGTACACTTTTGAATTTCATATAAATGGACTTTATATGAAAGAACTTAACATTCTTGGTCAGGTGCAGTGGCTCACGCCTCTAATCCCAGCACTTTGGGAGGCCGAGGTGGCCTGATCACGAGGTCAGCAGTTCGAGACCAGCCTGGCCAACATGATGAAACTCTATCTCTACTAAAAATACAAAAATTTGCCAGGCATGGTGGCGGGTGCCTGTAATCCCAGCTACTCAGGAAGCTGAGGCAAGAGAATCGCTTGAACCCAGGAGGCGGAGGTTGCAGTGAGCCGAGACCACGCCATTGCTCTCCAGTCTGGGCAACAGAGCGAGACTCTGTCTCAAAAAAAAAAAAAAAAAAAAAGAGAAAGAAAGAAAAAAAACAACATCCTTTTGTATTTGGCCTCTTTCATTCAATATTTTGTTTTGAAAACTCATCTACATTGTTACGTATAACTTAATTTAAATCACTTTCATTGCTATATTCTCTGACATTAATATCCTACAATATATGTATCTGTTATGCTGTTGCTGCAAACTTGGATTGCTTCCTGTTTAGGACTCTTCTGAATAATGCTTCTGTGGATTCCTGTATATGTCTTCCAGGGCACGTGAGTCTCTATGCACCATGCTTCAGAGTGTATGGTGCCAGCTTCAACTGTATGCGCATGTTTAATATTGACGGTAATGCCACATGTTTGCAGTATATCAGGCACATTTACACTCCCACCAGCAGGGTATAAATATTTCCATTGAACTCCATTTTCACCACTGCTTGATATTGATTATCTTTTTCATTTTAGCCTTTCAAGTGAGTATGATAGCATTTCTTGAGGCTTGAATTTACATTTCTCTGATGACTTGAGCACTTTTTATACACCTATTGGCCATTTGGATTCACATTTGTGAAGTGTTTGTTCATGTCTTTTGCCCATTTTAAACTGAGTTGTCTACCCTTTTCATGTTGTTTTCTAGAGATTCTTTACATACTCCGGGTTTGTGCTTTTTGTTGGTATGTGAATTGAAAACGTCTTCCTTCTTCTGTTTTGTGGCTTGTTCGTTCATATACCTGATGGTGTCTATGGATAAAAAGATGCTCTTATTTTTAAGGTATTCAAATGTGTCAGCCAATTCCTTTATGGCTAATTTGTGTGTCCTTTTTAAGAAATATTTTTCTACCTTTAAGTCATGAAGATGTTTGTCTACAATGTCTTCTAAACAGGGTATTCTTTTGCCTTTTACACTTAAGTATATAATCTCTTGGACTAGAGTTTTGCATATAAGGTAACCCAATATCTTTTTCCATATGGGTATCCAATTTTCCCAGCATTATTTTTGAAAGTCTATCCTTTTCCCCATTGTTTTACAATTCCACCTTTGTCCTAAATCAATTGCCATATATGTATATGTTGTTTTCACACCATTAAATTCAGTACTGTTGGTCTCTTTGAACATCCCTTTGGTAATACACACTGTCTTAATTAATATAACCTTATAATAAGCTTTAATTTCTTATAAAGCAATTCTTCCTACTTGTTCTTTTCTTTTAAGGTGACCAGAGCTGTTCTTGGCACTTTGGATTTTTATTTGAATGTTTAAATCAGTTTTGTAATTAGATCCTCTTTAGATCTGCTGTATTCCCACTCAAAAGGCACTGATCAGCTTAGGGGAGTTAACATTTTTATGCTATTGTATCATCCAATTCACATGCATGGTTTATGTCTTCATTACTTACATCATCTTTAACTTAATTGGTTTTACAGTTTCCTATGTAGATGTCTTGCCCATAGTATGTGCAATATTTATTTCTATGTATCTGATATTTTTAATAATATTGAAAATGATACCTTTACATATTCATTTTTTGTTGTATATGACTATATAAAGGAGGATTTAGGTTTATTAACTTCTGTCCCTAGAGAAGTTTTAAAGTTACTTCTTAATTCATTAATTAATCTGAAAATCCATTTGGGCTATTGATATACACAATTGTTTATTTGTGATTTTGTTTATTTTATCTTTTTAAAAAATGACAGTGTTCTTTCTTCCTTTCTAATTAATCTTTCAGCTTTTCTTTGGCTGTTCCTCCGACTGCATGGGCAAGAACCTCCAAGACAATCTTGAAATGAAATTGAAAGAGTGAATATCCTGGCATTGTTCTGTATAATTTTGTCTTCCAGATAATTTTTAGAATGACTGTTTTCAAGTTTAATGAAATTCTATTGGGATTTTCATTGGGATTGAAATTTGACACCTGTATCATATCGGATCTTCACACCCAGAAGTAAAGGATTTGCTTTTATTTTAGTGGATATTTGATTAAAGGTAAAATCTTTATTTGCTGCCTACAAATGTGTGTGTCATGTACAAGCACAAACATGCTTATATGTGCTCATACATGTACACACACATAATAGTTATAATAGTGCACATACATGCTTATATATGCTCATACACGTACACACACATACTAGTTATAACGCACTAACTCTAGCTCTATATGTGCCCATGTATAGGTGTTTGTATGTGATTGAACTTATTAATTTTGTTAATTATATCCTCTACAGGCTCACATTTTTTGTCTATTTGATTTTCCAATGCTGGAGAAAGTAAATTAAATCTTCCCTCTATGACCATGGTTTCATTAATTCATATTTTACTCATAATTATTTTCCTTGATACAATTTGATTTACATTGCTCACTGTATATGCGACAATGACTGCTATTCCTTCTCAGGCTATTTTAATTATCATCAACATAAAATATATGCTTCTTTGTCCTGTTTAAATATTCCTGCCTTGAATCCTACTTTCTCAACTTTTGATAGTGCCACATTAGCTTTTCTTTTGGTTAGTATTTGACTGTCTGACTCTTTAAAAATGTTTCTATGATTTGGTTTAATGTATGTGTATAAAATAAGCAAGGCCCAACTTTGTATAAGTTATGTGTACTGATATGCAAATCTTTTAATAGAAAAGTTGGAGTCAGTCACAGTTGTTATCATCACTAATATGCTTTGGCTTTATTTCTGTCCTCCTTCCTCTGTTTCGTTTTCTATTTGGTAATAAAACTGAATTTTAATTCTTCTAGTTAAATGCTTTGATAAAGCGTCTTCCAAGGGACCTGGGCTGGCCCCACCAAATTGCAGCCCTCTGGCCATGCTGGAGAGTGATGTCAATGCCAACAGCCTCCTGCTGTGCTGGGGACCCTGGAGTGTGAGTCTGCTGCACCCTCTTTCCAACAGTTCGATTACGGTGCCAGCACAAGGCGAGATCTCTACAGAGCTTGCAACAAACACCTGCACCTGCGAAACGGGCTCTTTTCCTCTCCCAGGTTTGCTGTTTTACCACTGGGAAATTCCAGTCCATTCTTAATGACAGCAACAAAAACCATGTTGATAAAATAAACATTATCTGAGAACTCAACCCACTTTGCTGAAAGACATTGTCAGCAACCCAAGCTCAGCAATGGTGAAATCAGAAAGAGTAAAGGTAGAATACAGCTTCTGTCCTGAATCCATCTGATCTTTGTGGTTAATCACTGTGTGTTTTTTACTATATCACTTCCCACCAACCAGCACTGGGACGTTTGGTGTAGGGCAGTTAGTATAATTTAACCGAGAAAAACAGTTCACCACATGCAATCAACTTGACTTCCTTTGGGTCCTAGAGGCAGCAGAATTGCTATGGGGAGGACAGCACCCATAATTATCATTTAAAAATCAATATGTTTGAATAAAATGTTTGTCTAAAGGTTTTATTTCCTCACTTAAATTTGTTGCATTTATTAATAACTGATTACTATAAAAGTAGAATAAGGCCGGGCACAGTGGCTCACACCTGTAATCCCAGCATTTTGGGGGGCCTAGGTGGGGAGATCACAAGGTCACAAGTTCGAGACCAGCCTGGCCAACATGGTGAAACCCTGTATCTACTAAAAATACAAAATTTAGCTGGGCGTAGTGGCAGGTGCTTGTAATCCCAGCTTCTCAGGAGGCTGAGGCAGGAGTATTACTTGAACCAGGGAACCGGGGAGGTAGAGGTTGCAGTGAGCTGAGATCATACCATTGCACTCCAGCCTGGGTGACAAGAGCAAGAATCCATCGCCAAAAAAAAAGAGAGAGAAAAAAGTAGAATAAGTGTAAGTTTGTAAGAAAAAAGGATATTTTCATTTAAAGTTGGGATATAGGGAGAAAGATGACAAGTGTGCAAAATGTTTGCCTTATTTTTGGGGAAAGGGTAAATTATAGTTGCAAATATTTAGCATTTACATAAAACATATTTAAAAGTAAGACTAGAGAAGAGAAATAGTACATATAAATTACAAAACCCTAAAGCAAATAAGTAAGAAAAAAATTTAAGCCAACTAGGTAAAGTATGAAAGATAAAAAACAGTAAGAAAATGAAACATATCAATTAGCCCAGTACATGTGCATGCATTTATTTTGTACATTAGAAGAGGAGACTAGATAAAAAGAAAAAAATAGCTATGTGCTATGTATAAGAAATACACACCAAGTAACATGATACAAAAAAATTGAAAGATTAAAAGGCTGAAAAATAGATTGTAAAAAATTTGGCAAGAAGCATCAAAAATAAAGGAAAAGATATGAGAAGAAAAGAAAAAAAATGAAAGGAAATTAAAGCAGTAGTATTTTCAAGGGGGGTTGGGGGAAACACAAATACTCATAGACATGTGAACATAGTCTCAACCCAATACTAGGGAGTGTGTTCAAAATACAGTAATGAAGAGAGGCTATATTTTGCTAGTACAGATTAATGTAATCATGAGTGACAACAATGGCAGGAAACAGGAGGCACGTTCATACACATTCACTGTGGTTTGCTGGATGTGTTTTGCTGGAACATTTTTGAAGAGCTTATAGCGGCAACTATCAACATTTACAGCGTGCACATCCTTAACAGCAAGCTGCTTCTAGAAACTATCCTATAGAAATACTAACACAGTTACATACCACTGAAAGTACTCAGTATGGCAGCATTGTTTGCAATAGCTAAAAACTGGAACCAGCTTGAATTCTCATCTATTGTAAAGTAATTAAATATAGTATGGTACAACCATCCTATAAAATACTATATGGGGGAGCAAAAATACTAATGCTAGGAACCTGAGAAAATATTTGCAAACCCACGTATCTGAGAAAAGTCTAATATCCAAAATTTCTAACGAACCCAAACATCTCAAAAACCAAGTAATAACTCTGTTAAAAAATGGGGAAAAGGGCTTGAATAGACATTTCTTAAAGAGAGACACATACACGGCAAACAGGTACCGTTTATGAAAAAGTGCTCAACTTGATTTATCATCAGGAAAATGCAAATTAAAACCACAATGCAATATCATCTCATATCTGTTAGAATGGCCATTACCAAAAAGACAAAAAATAAGCATTGGTGAAGATATGAAGAAAAGGGAACCCCTGAACACTGTTGGTGGAAATGTGAATTAGTACAGCCATTATGGAAAACAGGGTGGAGGTTCCACAAAACATTAAAAATAGAACTACCCTATGATCTAGAAGTCCTGTTTCTGCATATATATCCAAAGGAAATGAAAACAATCTGTCAAGGAGATATCTCCACTGTCACATTCATTGCAGCATGTTTCACAATAGTCAAGATGTGGAATCAACCTAGGTGTCCAATGATGGATAAATGGATAAGTGGATACGTACACAGTGGGATATGAATCACAATGGGATATGATACTATACATAAGAAGGAAGTCTTGTGATTTGTGACAACATGGGTTAACCTGGAGTACATTATGCTAAGGGAAATAAGCCAGTCACAGAAAGACAAACACTACATAATCTTAATTGTAGGTGGAATTTAAAATTTCCAAACTCACGGAAACAGAGTAGAATGGTGGTTGCCAAGGACTGGAGAGGTGGAGGGTGGAGAGATGTCAGTTAAAAGGTACAAAGTTTCAGTTAGAATGAAAAAATTTTGGAGATCTGTTGTACAGCATGATGACAATAGTTAATAATATATTTGAGACTTGAAAATTGCTAAGAGATTAGATCTTAAATATTCTCACCACGAAAAAGAAAATAAACAGGAGAGGTAATAGATGAGTGAATGAGCTCCATGTAATCATTTTACAATGTATGCATGCATCAAAACATGACGTCATATACTGTAAATATATACAATTATTTATTTGTCAATTCTACCTTATTAAAACTGTGAAAAAATAATATTAAAAGTAAATAGCATTGAAAAAGGTGAAAGAGATATTGATGAAGGGTGAAAAGTATTCTGCATGACAATAAGAAGACTAATGAGAACAAATTTGCAGAGAAATGTGCAAGTTTTTTATTAGTCTTCTTATTGTCACACTGAATACTTTTTCCCCACTCATCAATATCTCTTTCACCTTTCAAAACCACAATGAGATACCATCTCACGCCAGTTAGAATGGTGATCATTAAAAAGTCAGGAGACAACAGATGCTGGAGAGGATGTGGAGAAATAGGAACGCTTTTGCTTTTACACTGTTGGTGGGAGTGTAAATTAGTTCAACCATTGTGGAAGACGGTGTGGCGATTCCTCAAGGATCTCAAACCAGAAATACCATTTGACCCAGCAATCCTATTACTGGGTATATAGCCAAAGTATTATAAATCATTCTACTATAAAGACACATGCACACGTATGTTTACTGCAGCACTGTTCACAATAGCAAAGACTTGAAACCAACCCAAATGCCCATCAATGATAGACTGGATAAAGAAAATGTGGCACATATACACCATAAAATACTATGCAGACATAAAAAAGGATGAGTTCATGTCTTTTGCAGGGACATGGATGAAGCTGGAAACCATTGTTCTCAGCAAACTAACACAAGAACAGAAAACCAAACACCACATGTTCTCACTCATAAGTGGAATTTGAACAATGACTACAAATGGACTCAGGGAGGGGATCATCACACACCAGGGCCTTTCGGGGGATCAGGGGGGTAGGGGAGGAATAGCATTAGGAGAAATACCTAATGTAGATAATGGGTTGATGGGTGCAGCAAACCACCATGGCACGTGCATACCTATGTAACAAGCCTGCACATTCTGCACATGTATCCCAGAACTTAAAGTATAATGAAAAAATTTAAAAAAAAAGAACAAACTTGCATGTGTAAAATATTCACTCACATATTTTGACATAAAAGGATATAAATGATACCCACCAAATAATGTTTTCAGCAATTATCTTTGAAAAGGCAAGTGGATTTGGGAGACACAGTAAAAGGAAACTGACTTTTGACTCCCTCTGATTCTGTATAATCTGACTTTAATGACTTCATTAAAAAACCTGACTATTAAAAAATAAGGGCCGGGTATGGTGGCTCACGCCTGTAATCCCAGCACTTTGGGAGGCAGAGGCAGTCAGATCACGAGTTTGGTAGTTTAAGACAAGCCTGACCAACATGGTGATACCCCGTCTCTACTGAAAATACAAAAATTAGCCAGGTATGGTGGCACGCACCTGTAGTCCCAGCTACTCAGGAGGCTGAGGCAGGAGAATTGCTTGAACCCAGGAGGCAGAGGTTGCAGGGAGCCAAGATTGCGCCATGGCACTCCAGCCTGGAGACAGCGTGAGACTCCATCTCAAAAAAAAAAAAAAAAAAAAAGAAAAGAAAAGAAGGAAGGAAAAGTATGTGAGAAATAAGAAATAGCCTAGAGATTTTTGTTCAAGGAGTTGCAGATAAAATCAGGGGATGTATCATTAAAGGTATAAAGCACCAGGGGTTTGTCTTCAAACTTCTTAGGTGGAGAGGTCAATGTCAAGTCAAAAGGAATGCTCACAAAAATAAGAGCAACATACTTAGAACAGCTTGTATGGTTTTCATGGTTATTTGAATAAAACAAAGTTCTTTATGAGACTTTAGTTTCCAAATAAAATGGAATCTGATTAGCTTGGGTGGATGCAGATATAATTTCAGCACCTAGAAGGAACGTGTTTATTGTTTCATGCCTTATTTCATATTAGTTACCGTTATTTACTAAGGTGATTTTTACTAAGGTGCTAGGTTTTTGCCCACTTTTTAGAAAACTAATAGTCATATATTTATCAACTAATATTGTGATAGAAGCTCTACTGTGTCCACTTCACGTATATCTGAAGCCACTGGAAAAGAGTTAATATTACAGATACCTCAGCCTTCTGAGTAGCTGGGACCACAGATGCATGCCATCGTGCCCAGCTAATTCTTAAAAATTTTTTTGTAGAGGCCGTGTGCGGTGCCTCACGCCTGTAATCCCAGCACTTTGGGAGGCCGTGGCAGGTGGATCCCTTGAGCTCAGGAGTTCGGGAAACATGACAAAACTCCATCTCTACTAAAAATACAAAAATTAGCCAGGCATGGTGGTGCATACCTGTAGTCCCAGTTACTCGAGAGGCTCAGGTGGGAGGACTGCTTGAGCCTGGGAGGCAGAGGTTGCAATGAGCCGAGATCATGCCACCGCACCCCAGCCTGGGTGACAGAGCCAGATCCTGTCTCAAAATATATATATATTACGGATATCAGGAATTATCCTTCACCTTAGCAGCAAATGGGCATGAGATAAAAGCCCTGGGATAGAATAAAAATGTTAATTCCCTATGGGCTTGCCTAAAACTCCAAACAAAAAGTTTTAGCATATTAGCCCATTCAGGATAGACTAATTTACACTACAAACTAAAAATATGAAGATCTTGAATTACCAGTGGTTTACAGTGACAATCATCTTTTGTGTTCATCACAGATGTGCTGTGGCATTCTCCAGATTCTCTTTGCTACAGGCCCCCAACTGACAGAGCAGCCCGCGTCTGGGAGGCTCCCGGTCTCCTGGCAGAAGGAAAAAAAAGAAATCATGGCAGTCTCCTGGGTGTGATAGCTACTGCTTGGGATTGGCCAGTGTAGCTTCTGCTCACACTCATTGGCCAAAAGAGGTCACATGACCAGGCCTGCTGTGAATGGGTGGCCATGACAAGGAAGGGCTCCTGGAAGGGCTAGAATGTGTCACACCCTGTATTCAACAGTTTTAACAATATCTAAGAGATGGGCCCTGCCATCTGGACTGTTAGAGTCACAAACAATGCATGCACAGATTGATATCAAACACTGCCATAGTCTATTGAAAAGTTGTAAGAAGAAAACTGCATAAGAGTCTTGTGTTGGTCAGCCCAGAACTAAATATGGATAAAAATGGAAAATTTGAGCAAAATGAAATACCGAGCTAGGGAGACATTACAAGAGTGACTTAACACCATAATAAACTCTTGCCTAGGTGGGGCACTAGCAAGATTGCAGCCCTGGGACTGTGGAGAAGACTGTGCTGAACCATGTGATTCCTCCCCATCTTAAATATATAAACACTTGTACGTGCATATGGATATATGCTCCAAATTAACATCAGGTAGAATCTCCCTTTTATTGAGGAAATTTTCATGCAACGTTCACAAGACACCCTGATAAACTGCACACCATTTCCCCAAGGAACGCCTTCACTAATATCGCATTTCATAGAGTTTCCTCAACGTGCTTTTCTGCATATTACGCCTTATTTCTGGTATATCATAAATCCTTAATAAATATTCATTTAAGAGTAATAAATGAAGAAAAACTGAGATGAGGAGATAAAGCTACATGACAATAGGAAACATTGAGAGGGTGCACAGGCCCTAACCAGATCGGGCTGCAGATTCTGCAGGAAACATCTGCCCTGTGAAGTCACTCCCAGGGGGACTAAGAAGACAGGCATCGTCTGACTTTTTATTTCTTATTTTCTGTTGTTTTTGGAGCCCTAAGCTGTCAAGATGGAGATGTGGAGATGTGAGTTGCCACTGACCCTGAGGAGAGAGCACTGGGAGAGAGGTGGGGGCATGAGGGTGGGAGCTAAGGTCTGCAGGGACCCTGACACATTTGCCTGAGCCTGGAGTGCATGGTATGGTACTGTGGTGCCAACCCTCCGAATGAGAGGATTATGTCTATTCTTCGGGTCATGTTATTATACTTCTTTTTAATATTAATCAGAGAAACTGGAAAGCTTTATTGCAAAGATGATGTGTGTGCCTCTTTCTCAGAGACCTGCACAGGGTGTGTTGGCTCCTGCTCATAGATTTGATGAGGGGAGTGCAAGCTCCCCTCTACTGAGCAGAATGAAGCATCCCCATAATTGGCCATAAAAAGGTGCGCAGCACAGACTCGCTGTGATTCCAGGCTGCAAGCGAGGACCTGCTCTGGCACGGTGGCTTCAGTTTGTCCCCGGGCTGATTTCCACTGGCTGCGAAGTTCATAACGTATCCAGGTTATTTCAATCATGTCTGTACTGCTGGACTTCAATTTTTTTTAAAGCCCTTGTTTAAATCCAACTCTATTTCTACACTGGCCAAATCGAAAACATCACTCCGCCTTCCAGAGCTAACCTATTTTATCATGATTTATACTTGGGAACATGAGCCTTGCCAAGAAGCACATGACCTCTGCCCAATATTAATAATTGCAGTATGGAGATAAAGTCTATTACATGGGATAATTCTCTACATGGCTGAACAGATTTAAAGGAAAAAGATGAGATTCCTGCTTTCCACACACTGGAGTGAATGGCTGTTCACTGGCAGGAGAGTTCATGGGGAATATGAATGAAGAAATGCATTCTGAGCACTTCCCCAATTGGACTTATTACGAGCTATTGTAGAGCTGAGAGCAGAGGGCATGGAACTGTGCTAGGAAGTGTTTAACAACCAGTTCTCCAAGGCGGAAAGCCCTGACTGATAGTGGTTGCCAGTTTCTGAGGTGTAAATATTCCTACTAGGTGGCCCTCCAATATACGGTATTTTTACCATATAGATAACACTGGCATAAGTAACCTCAAGAGGACAGTTTGCTGGAAAAGGTCATGAAATAATTAGAAAGTTATTCATTTGGGGCACCTATTACCTTTCATAAAATATAATTTACTTAATGTTAAATGTATATAATTTAGTATTTAACAATGGCTGTGTTTAACAAAGATTCAAAAAATTCCTGAAAATTTAACAACTGGCTCCCATGAGCCGATACATGTCAGCTCCAGCACGCCACGGGGCCGTGGGCAGATGCTCGCTGTGTGGGTGTGTGTTTAAGAAGAATAATCTCGCAGACAGAGGAGTGAATCTGAGTACCGCGCAATACATTTCAATCTATTTTACCTTTCCTGGGGTCTGGTTGCAGTTTGGCCGGTGCTCAAATTGGCAGCCTTGTGGAGGCAGCCATCCTTCTGAGCGTGAGCCGGCTCATGGGGCCGTGTCCTCAGGCGGAATCCTCGGAGGCTTCCAAGTCTATTGTGCACGTTCCTGAAAGTATCTATCATGCATATTTTTTTTTCTCAGTATCTAAATCCTTTAAGATGTTCTTGCTTTGGGTAAGATGAAGTGATCCAGAGTGTTATATTTCCTTGTATCATCTCTAAAACAGAAACCAGAGAAGGTAAGAGACTTGGACACTTTTCTACAATAGTTATTAATACACGAGCCAGGCCTCATGGGGTTGGAGGAGTACCATGAGTAACTGGAACCAGAGGACAAGAGGCACTGGCTGTGGGGCAACGTGGAAGGGACCGGCTGTTAGGAATGTGCTCAGGGGTTTCCCATGCATGCTGGAACCGCCGGGGGT
The DNA here is from genome assembly GCF_000001405.40 of Homo sapiens. Lineage (NCBI taxonomy): Eukaryota > Metazoa > Chordata > Mammalia > Primates > Hominidae > Homo > Homo sapiens. Next base: position 128,779,134 of record NC_000010.11, on the reverse strand, counting down.
GGGTGGGAAAGGCAGTGTGCTGTGGGCTTTGCATTCTGACTCTGATCTCCTTACTTCCCAGAATCTAAATAAGGTAAAGTGGTGGTTGCCAGTGCTTCGCTTGAGCAAGGGCACCAGACGTCTGCTCTTGGTTTACACCGGGAATGGAATGGGCTCCATGATGAGCCATTTATTCATGTTGGAAGAACAGAGCAGAGGCCCGTCCAGTGATATCAGACACCTACCGACTGCAATATAGATCCTTCTTAAAGTTAAGGCTCCCAAACCTGCCTTCAAGGTAGAAACTCAGTAAAGCAGCAAAAATCTCACAGCTTGAGGGTCTTGCTACTCATGTAGAGTGGGTATGAGGGTGGCTGGGACCCAAGCGCCTAATGAGCTCAGATTCAGGCCAGTGTAAGAGGCCCGGGGAGTTGAGCAAATCTAATTCCTTCCGGGCCAAATCTCTCACGGGGACATGGCTTCTGACCTGGAGCAGCCTAGAAGGAGAGGAGGAGGAAACTCTGTCTTTTTTATTGTTTTTATTTTTTTGAGATGGTGTTTCACTCTTGTTGCCCAGGCTGGAGTGCAGTGGCAAGATCTGGCCTCAGTACAACCTTCCCCTCCTGGGTTCAAGTGAGTCTTCTGCCTCAGCCTCCTGAGTAGCTGGGATTACAGGCACCCGCCACCACACCCGGCTAATTTTTGTGTTTTTAGTAGAGATGGAGTTCCAACACGTTGGCCAAGCTGGTCTAGAACTCCTGACCTCAGGTGATCTGCCCACCTCGGCCTCCCAAAGTGCTGCGATTACAGGCATAAGCCACTGCGCCCGGCCGAGAGTCTGTCTTATGGAAGGTTTTTAGGGCCTTTGAGTCAAAGGCTCACTGCTGGAAGGCCAAGCCTGTTTTGAGCATGTATTTGCTGCACTGTTAGATGGTAGGTTTTCCAGAAATCCAGCAGCACCTTTTAGTAGTCTTCAGCTGTCCTCAATGCCTGGACCCCCCAATCCTTCTTGTTAATGTTAATAATTGTGGAAGTAGTCAGAGATTTGATAGGAATTGAAAGGAAGCTTTTTGTCTCTGGGTAATATGGAAATCTCAGTTAAGGTAAGAGGATGTCCTAATTTGGAGGCTCTAAAAAGGTCAAAAATTCTAAGGTTATCTTTTTTTAAATTCACTCTATTTAATGTATACAATACGATGTTTTCATATACATAGACAAAGTGAAGTAGTTTTTGTAGTCAAGCAAATTAACATATCCGTCTCTTCACAGAGTTACGTGTGTGTGTGTGTTTGTGTGGTAAAATTTACTCTCAGCAAATTTATAGTATACAATATGTATTTATTATAGCTAAATTTTACACTCAGCAAGTTTATAGTATACAATACATATTGTTGGCTACAGTCCTCATGCTCTCCATTACATCTCTAAACTTTTTTCTCTTCTATAACTGTGAGTTTGTACCCTCTGACCTACTTCTATTTCCCTTATCTGTCTACTGTAACCACTATTCCACTCTCTGTTTCTATGTATTTGACTATTTTTTTTTTACATTCCACATATAAAATGAGATCATGCAGTATTTATCTTCCTGTGTCTGGCTTATGTCACTTAGCATAATGTCCTCCAGGTTCATTAATATTGTCACAAATGGCAGGATCTCCTTTCACAGGTTGAATAATATTTCATCATGTGTGTGTATGTGTGTATATATACATTCACATTTTCTTTTTCCATTCATCTGTCAACGGACACTTACGTTGTTTCTACATCTTGACTATTGTGAATAATGCTGACATGAACATGAAAACCTAAATATCTCTACAAGGAATGTATTTTGTTTCTACTGGATTAGATACCCAGAAGAGGGATTACTGGGTCATATATTCATTGTATTTTTAATTTTTTGAGGAGTATCTCTCTTTATCTTAAGCCACGTGTTTAAGAGGCATTTTCCTGGAAGATTTTTAGGTGGGTTAGATTACCATGTGAGGGGCTTGGCTCAGGATGACAATTTGTAAGTGACTAGCTTCTGGTAGAAGCTTCTGGCAAGAGAGCAGTGTCTGGGAACATTGTCCCTGCTCTGCTGTGTGCTGATCACGCTAGACATTGTGGTAGGGCATGAGATCAATAAAGGGAACAGCTAAAAGCCTGAGTACAATTGACCTGCTCAGTGACAAGGAAAAGTGCTCACACGGAAAAAGAATGGTGAAAAGTCAATTCCATTTTTGAAAAATCTGTCAGATTAATTAAAATACGGTGTAGTACAGAAGAGCTAATTAATATCCCCTCAGCCTCCCTCTCCTTATCTGCACCTTTGTTCTCTTCAGCCCCTCCTTCACACAACGTCGGGAACTGCAGGCTCGGAAGTGCTGGCTTTGCCTGACGCAAGAGTTGAGCACCGGGTAGCAGTAAGGTAAACTGACACAAAAAATTAGTGTCTGTTTCTAGAACAAATAGAAACCAACTAGCTATTAATGTTGTCATTTTTAATCCTCTTAAATTATTTGATTAAAATCAAAGCACAAAAACCATTAGATGAGACCACTTTTTATGGCATAATTGATTTTTAAAATTGTCCTATTTTATTTTACATTTTATAAAAAAAAATGCAAGTAACTCCCAAAGCCTTGCATGAAGACATTCCTAGAAATTATTAAAGCTATGACACCAAATTACCTGAGTGATTACACCAAGATATTTGACCGGTTTGCCTGTCAACCTGTAGGCAGCTTCTACTATGGTTGTTAACCATCCTTGATTGGCTGAGACAGCCTGCTTCCCAAGAGGAAACTTTTAGGATGAAAAAATATAATCAGAGGGGACCCTCCAGAAGACAGAAGGCAAAAGCATTCCAAAGTGGACCACCGTGGGCTTGATTGTTTGGAAAGTCTGTACAGAGCCTGTCAAATCATCTGTCGGTAGCAATTATTTTGATAAATTTGCCACACAGTTGCATCTTCTCACTTGCATTATTTCACGAGACATCACCGGGAAGCACAAGTCTCTATTTGGGCTCCCTCTTGATGCAAATAAGAAAAAGGAACCAGTGACTTTTCAACACGGGCTTTATTTGAAAAATCCCTTGGAATACTTGCCAGAGTTCGTCTCCTTCCACGAATCCTAGGACTTCATCTACTTGCCTAAAGGGAAGTTTATCTTTTGTTGTTGAGCATCTTCCTGGCATTGGCCTCTCTGTACTGAGAGCACACAGAATGCCAGCCTCAGTGACCTTCACCAACGTGACGCATTTCCAACAAGCATACTGGACGCTGCATTGCATCACACACCTATGTTAGCTGGCACATCAGCGCACAAATTGAACAGCCTTTGCTATTTCCGTCGCTGAAGAGCATTTGCATCCCAAAAAGCCCGGTTCAGATATTAGGTGAAGAGATTAATGAGTTCCCTGAACTGTAATAAGGTGGGAGGGGGGGCGGTTAAAAAAAACAAGTAAACATAAAATCAAAACGGCAGTGGGGGTTGGGGATCTGACTCGGCTTGGAGAGCTCCAGGCTGTGCCCTGAATCAGGGTGTAGCGTTGACAGGAGAGTCCTGGGAGCACCGACCCTGTGATATGGAGGGTTTCCTAGTCTGTACTCCTTCATAAAAAGGGAGTTTATATCCAAATATAACCAAGCCTTGCTTAATATCATAAACCCCAAAGAATCAAGCAATCAAACACTGCTTAAAATACAAGGATCTGCAATTTGCATGACATTAGAACTTAAAGACAGCACAGAAGCGACTGTTGAGTGGGGAAGAAAGAAGGCCTTGGCTATGATATATTCCTTCCCCCATGACATATGCCTTCCTGGACTGGGGCCAGGAGGTGGAGAATGCAGAAGACAACAGAGAAGTAGAGAACCTGGTAGATTCAGCTGCAAGCAGACCCCAGCAGGCCATGGGAAGGATGGACATGAGAAAGGCCATGGAAAGGACCCTGCCTGCTTCTAATCTCAAGTCTATTAACTTGCCCAAGGTGGTTGCGTAACTTTGGACAAGTTACTCAAACCTCTCTGTCTCAGTTTTCTTACCTGTAACATGGAGGTAATCATAGAAACTTTCTGGAAGTGTTGTTAGGAGAATCCAGTGATTTAATATTTATGAATGACTCAGAGCTGCACATAGACAGTTCATGAAGGAGTTGTTAACTGGTCACAGCTCCAAGAAAAGGAAACATAGAGTGTTATTACTAGTTGTCCAGTTATAGATTCTTGTCTTGGAGAAAAAAGGATAGTTGGTTACCCTAGTTGTGGAAGCAGAATATAGATTTTTTTCAGTTGAAGTTATCAGGAGGGAAGGCTTCACCATAAAGATGGCAATTGGAAACTGGAAAAATAATTGTGGATTTGCCAAGTGGACAAGTTGGTGCACTGGTATTGCAGTGGAGGGAACAGCAGATACTCAGGCGTGGGGGTGCGGAGATTCTTAGGGTGGCTCAGCCCTGTTATTTTTCAGGTGCATCTCTCAGAGAACCTAAAGATCTCTTTATTTATCAAATATCGATTGTGATATTCGCCTGATTTTAAGAGATCATTCTTTTCAAACAGCTTTCAATGGGTAGGAAAAACATATAATCTCACATGAAACGTACACATTCATTTCAAGTGCCATCCTTATTTGAGAAATGTTAAAATATGGGGTGCTCTTAGGGGCATTTAACATCAATGAAATGCTGTATGTAACAGAGCCTATTTTGATACACCTAGAGGGTGTTTGGAATTGAAGACACTGTCCAGCAGTGTGTGGTCACCATGTTGCTATGCCCTGCACACCTCTGGTGTCTTTGACCTTGGGATGGGATTGGCCAGTGTTTACTAGCACTTACTGTATAAGCCCAGAACCAACTTGGGTGTTGTTGGGAGATTCTGGAGAAGATAACATTTTACATGTTCTCAACATTTATATGGGGAGGCAAACAGCATCTATAAAACAGGTGAGAAAAAAAATATGGTCCCGTGATCACGTTCGTGCAGTCAGTATATACTGGAAGGTGTGGTTCGGCTGAGTGTGTCTGTCATGATGGGATGGAGAAGGTGAGCAGCACCTGGTCCTGGAGGAATCCTAGGCCAACGAGGATTCAGTAATGCTGGCCTTGTTCAGCCTACCCTGACTGTTTTCACATTGTAGTGTTCCATTTGTTACTATTTGGTTCAATCTTTTCCCATGTATTTTAATCTTTACTTTAAGGTTTCAATCTTTCATTACTGATGGGTATTTCTTTATTCTTTATGATGATGAAATTTTATTTTGCCAAACTTTCAACTTCAAAGCACTTTCCCTTAAGTATTTGTATTAGTTTGTTTTCACACTGCTGATAAAGACATACCCAAGACTGGGCAACTTACAAAAGAAAGAGGTTTAAGAGACTTACAGTTCCACATGGCTGGGGAAGCCTCACAATCATGGTGGAAGGCAAGGAGGAAGAAGTCATGTCTTACATGGATGGCAGCAGGCAAACAGAGAGGTTGTGCAGGGAAATTCCCATTTTAAAAACCGTCAGCTCTCATGAGACCCATTCACTATCACAAGAATGGCATGGGAAAGACTCGCCCCCATAATTCAATCATCCTCCACTGGATCCCTCCCACAACACGTGAGAACTATGGGAGCTACAAGATAAGATTTGTATGGGAACACAGAGCCAAACCATATCATTCCATGCTTGGCCCCTCCCGAATCTCATATCTTTACATTTTGAAACCAATCATACCTTCCCAACAGTCCCAAAAGTCTCAACTCATTTCGGCATTAACTCAAAAGTCCACAGTCCAGAGTCTCATCTAAGACAAGGCAAATCCATTCTGCCTATGAGCCTGTAAAATCAAAAGCAAGTTAGCTGCAGTAAACTTCTGCCTGGACATAGAGGCATTTCCATACATCCTCTGATATCTAGGTGGAGGTTTCCAAACTCCAATTCTTGACTTTTGTGCACTGGCAGGGTCAACAGTACGCGGAAGCTGCCGAGGCTTGAGGCTTGCTTGCACCCTCTGAAGCCATGACCCAAGCTCTATGTTGGCTCCATTCAGCCATGGCTAGAGCAGCTGGGACACAGGGCAACATGTTCCTAGGCTGCACACGGCACAGGGACCCTGGGCCTGGCCCACAAAACCACTTTTTCCTCCTAGGCCTCCAGGCCCGTGATGAGAGGGGCTGCTGTGAAGACCTCTGACATGCCCTGGAGACATTTTCCCCATTGTCTTGGGGATTAACATTCAGCTCCTCATTACTTATGCAAATTTCTGCAGCTGGCTTGAATTTCTCCTCAGAAAATGGGATTTTCTTTTCTAGCACATTGTCAGGCTCCAAATTTTCTGTACTTTCATGCTCTGTTTCCCTTTTAAAACTGAATGCATTTAACAGCACCCAAGTCACCTCTTGAATGCTTTGCTGCTTAGAAATTTCTTTCGTCAGACACCCTAAATCATCTCTCTCAAGTTCAAAGTTCTACAAATCTCTAGGGCAGGGGCAAAATGCCACCAATCTCTTTGCTAAAACATGACAAAAGTCACCTTTGCTCCAGTTCCCAACAAGTTCCTCATCTCCATCTGAGACCACCTTAGCCTGGATTTCATTGTCCATATCATTATCAGCATTTTGGTCACAGCCATTTGACAAGTCTCTAGGAAGTTCTAAACTTTCCCACATTTTCTTGTCTTCTTCTGAGCCCTTCAAACTGTTCCAACCTCTTCCTGTTACCCAGTTGCAAAGTCGATTCCACATTTTCAGATATCTTTTCGGCAGCACCCCACTCTCAGTATCAATTTATTATATTAGTCCATTTTCATGCTGCTGATAAAGACATACCCAAGACTGGGCAATTTACCAAAAACAAAAGAAGAAGTTTAATGAACTTATAGTACCACATGGCTGAGGAAGCCTCAAATCATGGTGGAAGTCAAAGAGGAGGAAGTCATGTCTTACATGGATGGCAGCAGGCAAACAGAGAGCTTGTGTAGGCCAACTCCCACTTTTAAAACCATCAGATCTCATGAGACCCATTCACTATCACAAGGACAGCACAGGAAAGACCTGCCCCCATAATTCAATCATCTCCCACTGAATCCCTCCCAAAATATGTGGAAATTATGGGAGCTACAAGATGAGATTTGAGTGGGGACACAGAGCCAAACCATATCAGTACTCTAGTACTCTCCTGCACCAGGCTGGATGTGAGCAGCCAATTTTATGGAGGAGGGAGCTGAATCACTAGAGGTTGACCCCTGGCCCAAGTTATTCTATTGCTTCCAATGTTGTTACCTCCCACTATGTGGAAAGCATTACAGTTCAAGTCAGGGATCTCAGAAATCCACATACAGCCATAGAATAATCTGAAACCTAGAAGGTTCACTCAGCGAGCCTTTCTTGGTTTACCTGATATTTGCATCTGCATATGCACACACACACACACACACACACACACACACACACACACACACACACCAAGCAGCCTTATCTAACTTATCATGTTAGACACCTCCTCATAGCCAGCTCCATGCCCCCTTCCCACCACTCCTCCAGAACAGGCTTCCAGATATTTTGATCGATTCCATTCTCCTTTCAACCTTCCTGAGTTCCTGGCCAAATCAGTAACTTTTGTATTTCAGACCTTTCAGATAATCCGACTATTGTAAGTATGGCTGCATCATTTTGGTAAGTACTAATGAACTTTCCTTTCACTCCATCACAGATAACAGAAAAAAATATTTGTAATGCATTTAATTTTATGGTAATTGTTTATAATTTGCTAAGAAATAGATAAAATACAATGCATTTTGGAATATATAGACCCTTTAAGGCCATGTAATTTAGTCACTTCCTTCTATACTGTTTCTCTATCTACTTCTGACTTCTCTGTTACCTACTTGTATTATTCTTTCATTCACTTGCTCATTCATTACTTTGTTCATGAAGATGTCTTGAATGCCTGCCCTGCATGAGTTCTGGTCAGGCACTGGTGGTATAGCAGGGAACACAGCTCAGACGCACCAATCATTCAACTGGGTTATAGTGATCTATCTCCATAACAGCTTGCCCAGCTAGGAGAGAGCTCAGAAGTGGAGTCTTATCCAGCTCGGTATTGTCAGGGCCCAGCATGGTACCTGTTACAGAACAAAACTCAACAATGCCATGTACATGTGACCCCAGGGTTAAAATGCAACATTAACCGTGTCCCAGGCCCTGTTGGCATAGCCATTTTCTGGAACCAATCCTGGCTGTGACCTCTGACCTTGTCATGGCCCCCATCACACCTCTTTCTGGACCTCACCAGTTCTTAGTCGTCACTTTCTAGTTTTCCTTTGTCTGGTTCTTTGCTTTTGACTGAGTCATTCATCCACAATCTTCTTCTAGCCTGAGCCTCTGCTGAGCCACTGAGCTGAGCCAAGGATGACTGCTGTGCCCCCAATTTGTTTTTCCTACTGCTTTTTGCAGTCATCAAGCCTGCATCCAAGCTGTGCAAACCTAGAGGCTCAGCTGCTGCCCAAGAGTCAGGGGGGCCATGTCCTGGCTTACTCTGGCCTGACTTTGTAGGTGACCCATTTACCGAGAAAGGCCAGCTCTCCACTGTCTCTGCTGTGTAATGGGCAGGCCCAGGATGGGGTTGTTTGAGTGGCTGTTTATAGGTGGGTATGGGGTTCTTATCATTGGGTGAAAGTATCTCCTAGGCAGCTGATCTCAATTTCCAAGGGCAGAGAAACATCTCAGCATTCATCTCTACTAAGAGTTCTATTAAAGCTCACTGTGTCCCAGTGGGTCCATAGGAGAGAAAACAGAGGAAGTTGTGAGTGAATTTGGAGATTTATGAGGCCAGAGTACATTTATTATACTTGACTTTTGGGGAGGTGGTGGGGCAGGGTGTCCCAAATCAACAGACTTGAGGGGGACTCAGCTGCAGAGCCCAGAGGCCCTGGCCTTTCCGCAGCAGCCCCAGCTTGCTGTGAGACCCTGCACTATGGGCCGTGCTCCCCACGGGCTGTCAGACCCACACTCTTCAGCAGCACAAATTCACTTTTCAAAGTGTAACTCTGCCTCACTGGGCTATGAATGTTTATTTTCTACTTCACATATGTGGTGGGAGAGTAGGATTTTGCATTATATCGACTTTTAATATTCTACGGGAAATATAAGATATGAGAAACTGTTTAAATTATGTACGGAAAAGAGCAGAAAGCATGTAGGATATGGACATAGAGTGTCTGTGTGGGTTTGGGTGTGTTTCGTGGAAGGATATACAACATTTCTCACCATTGTTGATGTCTTTGGACTTTCTGGCTTTCACTCTGTTGATTAAATTGATTACATGCATATCTGTCAACCTGCAGTGTAAAATACTGGATGGAGTCTGGTGGTCTGATTTCTTTCTTTTTTTGTTTTGTTTTGTTTTGTTTTTGGTTCATTTCTTCATTCATTCAATTGAACTTTGCTTATTCCCACAGGCAAAGCCCATCCACATGGGCCATTTATACCATATTTAAATAGATCAAAATCACCTTGTGCTCTTCAAGGGCAGAGGTAGTGACTTTGTCATCCCTCCCCTTCCCACTGACATTTAGAACAGAGCTGGAACAGCGCAGATGATCAACACGTGTTTGCGGAACACAGGTAAGTGGCTTGCCACCTGTGGCCTTGGAGCATGGAGGAAGAGCTCCTCAGGCAGAGGGGAGCAGCTGGGCTTCCCGGGCAGCGAATGGGAAGTCAGTTGTCTGTCAAAGAGATGGTGTGTTTGGGGAGGAGAGAAAAGTCATGTGCTGCTGCACCGTGTCAGCTGGACTGTGTTTGGCGAGCGATCCCCACACCATCCCCAAGCCGTCCCCTATCAGGGCTGCACCAGGAAATGGCCCCATTTTCCTATTCTTGGCTACAGGGAATTTTTGTTTCTTAATTTTTTTTTCTCTGAAGACAACCAGCAGACAGATAGTAGCCACAATACATGCTGAAAGCCCACAAAACCTGAGGGTGGTAACTTGCCTCTTTCTCTGAGGAATAAGGACTTTGCTGTCTGGTGTCTCTTGCAGTCGCACGGTGAGTTCTCACTCTGGACAGATGTGTGAAGAGGTGTGGCCATAATGCATGAGAGAGAAACAGTCTAACCCTGTGCTAGACAGAGGTGTTGACATAACACTGGTGTTCCCAGCGATTAAAGCAGTATATTTGGGTTGGGAATTTTAATTGAAGAAATATAAAATGTTCATTGGTATAATGTGCATATTAATTCAATATAATGTGAATAAGAAGTCACTTGAGATGGAAGCTGGAAACAGCCCCAGTAGGGCTATTGCCATGACAGGCAACACGGGCAAAGTCTCATTAACCCGTTAGAAGGAAGTTCCCTCTTGCCAGTAGAACATTTAGTGATGGCTGGGTGGTCAGCAGAATGTGCCCAGCCCTCCCTGGAGCCTCCTGTATCTCAGTAAAGGACAGCACCGAATAACAAAACCCAAGGCATAGCTAAGAAACCTCAAGGGACTGAGCTAGACAACAGTAGTCCACTCCCATCCTAACACTTTTAAAGGGAAAAAGGACGTTCTACTCAACTAAAGCTTCTGATTCAATTAGAATTATTCTGCACCTTAGAAAGACCATATTTTCAATAATAATAATAATCAAACAAAAATACGCAGCCCACCAAGTATGAAGGGACTTAAGAGATCAACAGGGATGATGCTGAAATCAAAGCTGCCCTGAGGAATCTAGAATGAGTTGTTTACCCACCGGTAGTACTATGCATTATCACTTTCTAGAAATGCAAAACAAAATTACATGTACTCAATATAAAATAGTACTAACCATAACTTGTTGTGGAAACATCCAAAAGGCTCTGTAGACTCCCAGAGTCCTCTGGGGTACTTCTGCTCCTGGTTCTGGAAACAGGAAGTGGGCACCAAGTCTGATTGTGTCTCACCAAGAAGCCCAGTTCAGAGACGCCCTTGGCAGAGGGTGGCTGATGCCAGCTTCCCTCCCCTCAAAGAAGCAGCAGAACTGAGAGCTCTTCTTCCACCTTTCTGCTTTGTACTCTATAGATAGATGTTCACTTTAACTGACTATTTCACCAAAAAGTGAGGTAATTCGGGATAATGTGGATTTTTCTCTTGAGCTCGTTTTCTGTGACTTAACTGAAACAGCACTGGCTTTTTCTAGAAAGATTTCTCTTATTCTCATTTGCACACTAAAAGTTGCCAAATAAAGTACATTCAGGTCAGTTTCCAAACATTTCCACCCTTGCATAAATCATACACTTTTGCCAGTAGGATGAATAAGATGCTCGGTATTTTAATATTATAATTTGCACTAAATGTCTCAAAAAGCTCACACTAAAATACCTTTTCTGGATGTGCTTTGCATTCGATTCTATGTCGATCATTACACAGCTCATGATGGCCATTGCTAAAAAGTTCTCCTACTCTTTCAGGTTAATTAACACCTATCGATAGCTGACATTGAAGATGAGATGCTCCTGCCTCCCTGGTCTCATTTGGAAGCTTGTCTCTTTAAACTGTGTTGTTGAGGGCTTATTCTGAGTTTTTTAAAATTACTCTTGGTTTTACTTTTTCTTTTGTTTAGGGTTTTTTGCACCTGAATAGATATTATACTTTTTTAAATTGATTTTCTCTCACAATTATATATCTTAAGAGTATGAAAAATACTTTTAGTGGTTAATGAAGACCAGGGGACCCAAAGGTTCATTAATAGAAAGGAATTTGGTTAGAATATGTCCACATAAACAGGCAGTGATCTCTTGAAGAAAGGTTTAGGCTGTAGGATTCAGCTGAGAAATGAACCACATTAAACAGAGCACTCCCCTGTTGCTTGGCCTGCCGCTATGCAGGGTGAAGGGCTTAATGACCAGACAGATGGGTATGAAGCTTGACCCTCGTTTTTGACTGATGGGCAAGGCTGGCTTCACAGGCATGTGGCATGTGAAGTTTCACTGGGTCCCATGCTAAGAAAAGCTGCACATTTCATTTATGCTTTGCTGTCACTGGCTTGAAGTTCTTAATAATTTTTAAGAAGGGGTCACATTCTCATTTTGTACTGGACTTTGCAAATGACTCAGCTGGTCCTGCTGATGGGGGTGTACATAGATCTATGACCCTTTAGCAATCACTGTAGACCTGTCTTCCCCACTCTTTTCACACATTTTCATGCCCTTATGTAGGATAATTTACTTTCAATGCAAGACTTAGCATTGCGTTAGCACAAGACACAGAACCTTCCCAGAAACTCAAGGGTCACTTCCAATGCAGAGCTTTTCCTGACCCAGGAAGGCCCCCTCATTGACTTCCCTATGGCAAGCTTGACTGTGGATATCTCCTACAAAACTGCTTTCTCCAAAGAGGGTGTGCCTTTTTTGAATGCAGTGACTAGTCTGATATTCACAGTGTCACCCGAATGGGTATCCCTTGGATGGGTGTCATTAATACAAAGAAGAACCTATTTTCTGAAAGAAGGAAAATGCATCCAAGGTAGGCAGTAGAGGGAAAACATGTTATAATTGTGAATTCAGAGGGATGCAGACAAAATGTTCTGCTTGATTGCCCAGGAGGTTTGGGCCTGCTCAGGTGAGCAGCCAGAGTGGAGGAAGGGGCCAGCGGTGTCCTGCTCCATGCACAGCCCATGGCAGACCCTCAGGACATAGGACTTAGAAGAGACAATACGAAATTTACTGCCGAAGACAGAATGCTCTCAGAGAGAAGGCCAGGCTTGATTTTTTTTTCTTGCTTGTCTCCCGATTGCATTTCATGCAGTTACTTTTTACTTGAGTTTTTTTGTTTGTTTTCTCTTCCATCAAGCAATGAATTCGTTGGTGACCTACTTTATACTCAACACCACAGAAGGAGACTTTGAGAAGATGCAAGACTCAAGATCATTACTCACAAGAAGCTTGCAGCCCACTGCCTGGAGAGACACAATTAGTATTCATTCTTGTGCTCAACAAATATTGATCCAGTGCAGAGCATGATCCAGCACACTGCTGGGTCCTTGTTCTAGAGAGTGACTAATATGTAATCAGGGATTAGCATTGAGGGTGCAAAGTATTAGGATGGTAGCCCCATAGACGATGGGGTCCCTGGTTCCATTTTATATGGATCAGGAATGACTTCTTGGAACAAATGACATCTAAGCTGAGCAAGGTCAAGCCAAGAGAGTGGAAGCAGGTGTTGGGAGCAATGTGTGGCAGCCCAGAGTCCAGGGAGAGCACAGTGCATCCGAGAACCTCTAAGCAGTGACTAAATGACTTCATCGTAGCTTTAGGAGGTGAGAAAGGCCACAGTGAGGCAGGATCTGAGAAGGGGTCCTGCACATCTTGGGAAGGAGCTGACTTGCTTTTGTGCTGAGAGCTCATAGAGCAACTCCCATTTCCTGAGGGTTCTCCTGGTCAGGTTTCATCACGGTCACTCTATGGACATTGTCTAATTTAATCCTTAAGACACAATCATCCTACAAATACTAACCAAGCATCTCCTCTGTCCTGCCCTTATTTGAAATGTTTTGTCTTGAAATTCTTTTCGAGCATACCACATACCCTTCATCCAATTTCTTCTAATGTTCATGTCTTATATAACCATGGGGAATTCACATTGGAACAATAAGATTAACTAAATACAAACTTTATTCAGGTTTCACCTAAGTTTCTAATAATGTCCTTTTCCTGCTCCAGGGTATGACCCAGGACAGTGCTTTGGATTTGGTGTCCGTTCCTTATTATGAATCCTAATTTATTCATGAGGTGACTGGGGGTTTTAGAGGTGGCATGGTTTGCTCCAAGGCCCCCCTTGGAAGAGGAGGGGCCAGCCCAGAAGCCTCATGTGACTTCTGCTTCTTGGTTTGTGGCCACCAGGGATGCTTCTCCTTCAAGAGCAAGTGGACACCCTGGGTACCTGATCCCACTCCTCCAGAAGCCCCAGAAGCCACAGGGAATTGTCCTTTTTCTGTTACAGGATGTGTTCAAGAGCATTTGTGTACACTCACCTTTTCTCTCTGCTTCTGCAGAAATTTACCCTAGGAAATGAGTCATGGTGAAATTAATTAATGAACTGTATGGAGAAAGAAAAGCAGTATTTTTTTTCCACCGCCTGTCGACTCCCTGATCTTCACATTACTGCTCCCTCCTGCCCTGGTGGGCCTGAAGAGTCCATCTGCCCCCTCCCCAGCCCTTACCCCCAGCACCAGGCATGTGACTCCAGTCTGGTCACACAGAACTGTTTCTTGGTGCTCGACATTCTGAAGACAAGAGGGTTGTGACGTGAGAGATGTGACCCCAGAACACTGCAAGGAAGGGTCTGGGCAGGACTGACATGAGGTGAGGGGAGCAGGGACCCAAGGGTCTGGGGATGATCCAGTTGCTGCAATGACTCTTGGGTCTGTGCAGCACCTGGGAATATAGAGAAAATGCCCAAAAGGTGGTCGGATTCTGCCACTGGCACCCAAAGTGTCCCAAGTCTTCCAAAGATGTGCTCTGTGGGCTGTGGCACTGCCACTTCCGCTACCCAGTGTCTTCTTTTTATCTTAGAGTTGTTACTAGGACATCGGGCCAGATTTGACTCCTTCCTTTTGACTGTCTCCAATGAGAAAATGCTGACAAAGTCTCTGCCTCCAATTCTGAACCCCTCCCAGCATCTCCCCACTGCCTCTCCTCTTCCCCCATTGTTACCACATGAAGATGGACCTGCGTAGAGGAGGGGGCTCACAGTGGCCAGGTGAGTTCCACGGTGAGAACGCAGCTAATCCAGCGGTTCTCAACCCGGCCCCATGCCACGGTGTCCCGGGGAGCATTGCAAACACTCACGGACCTCCTGAGTCAGACTCTCCAAGGGGGGCTCAGCCACCTGCGTTTAACCTGCCCCTCCTCTGAGGATTCTACTCTGGTTGGCACTGGGATCTTCTGAATTTCACACTTTCACGTAAGAGTAAGGGATAAATTCTATAAAATTAGAATATAAATGAAGCCATCCATCCAAAGCGTGTCAGCTTCTTTGGTTCAAACAAAGAATTGTCACACCAAACCGTAGTCATTGAATAGTGTACTATTTAAGCTACCAAATTCCAGGGGTCAGGGACAGACCCTTAGAGCTGGGGTCACCCAATAAAAAAGATTATTGAGAATTGATTAAATATGTATATATGCGTAAATACATTCAAAATTATCTATATACATATATTTAAATTGTGTGTGTTTGTGTGCACACACGTGCACGTGCTCCCTCAGGGTCTTCCACTCCTCCCCTAGTTCTGCAAACACCAGGTGCACCTAAAATTTTGTTGGAAAAGGTGATTTCTGCAAGAGAAAGGAAGCCTTTCAACAGTCCTATTCCAGGCTCCAACTGTGCTAGTTAAGGCCCTGCATTCCTGCCAGCATCTCTCTGTTTCCTGGAGAGCTCAGAAAAGGCTCCTTCAGTCCTGCCTTTTGGGAAGACAGCTTTGTGGGCAGAGGTTTTCCTGCCTCTGTCGGGCCTCCACATTCAGGATGAGACAAACCTTCCAATGTCAAGAAGCCTCAGAAGCAGCGAAGGACTCCTGAAATGAAGGAAACTTGTGCTCATTCAGATAGCAGATGCAAGACCTTCTCTGCTGGGACATTGCTGAGAATGCAATAGAAGTAGATTCTAGACAAAGGTGGAAGGATAAATGAGCTGAGGCAGAATCTGAAAACTACTGGTTGCCAACCTTCTAAGTATTTCTGAATACCTTTCTAAAATCCGAATACCTTTTCTAAAATCCAAATACCCCTAAAATCTGAATACCTTTTCTAAAACATGACCTTTTCAGCCTGTAATGAGATTAATTTTCCCATTATTTGTAGAATTTTAAAAAAATTGGTAACACTTTGAGAGGCCAGTCATTATACATTCATTTGGTATGCATGGAAATAGCAGTGATCATAATGAATTCATTTGATATTCACGTGATTGTCATATGCACTTTCATAAAGATACAATTGTAATGCAGCCTTCTTTTGGCTAGATGCCTTTTTATTTAACATTACATATATACATATATTTAAAGTGTGTATGTATGTGTGTGCCAACTATTTTATCTGACATGGTCTTGTAGCTTCCAGGAGGTGGGTTCTCCCATGTTTCTGGTGCTTTGTCTCTAGCTCAGTTAGGGTGCTTCAAGAAACATCCTGGTACAATAGGCACCTTGCACCTTGCGGATTCACACCTACACCTTGGAAGGCCCTTTGAAGTTCATGATCCCTCTGGTCTCTCTCCAACACACCCCAATGGCTGATTGTACACTGTGCACTCCCTAAATATTGACTGAATTCTTGAGCAGATCAATAGATAACGGGGATCCCCTCACCTGAGCATACCCAGGCCATCTCACCTTCAGGACAAGAAAATCAAATTAAGTGTCCCTGGTCCTTTGCTTCTGTGTGGCTTCCACAGCTTGCCTTCAACAAGAATCTTCCACTCAGTAGTCCAGTTTCCAATTCATTTCAACAGAACACAGAGATTAATCCTTGTTAACTTAATGATGAATATGATCAGTGGTTACTTTATCCTAGAAACGTTCAATGAAACCAGCCAGGATATTTGCTGTCAATGAGATGAATGGAGCAGCCTTGTATCTTTTTGTGCATGGCTTTACAAGGTGCTTCTCCGCCCTGCACTCAACCACCCTGAGGGAGGGGGATTATCTTCTCCACCACATGGCTGGGAAATGGGAGGCTCTGGGAAACTAAGTGTCTTGCCCTGGTAGCAGAAGAGCTAGAATTTGAAGTTCTCTGCTGACCCAGGCCACCTGCACCTGCTAAATCTCCTTGCCTTGTCCCCTCAGGAAGAGGAGAAACATTTTGCTCAATGGGGAGGGCGTCAAATGCTGAGGCCATCATGGAGTGGCGTCCTACCCCTGAAGTCAGGAGGGGAGACATTCTCCCACATTGTCTGTGGTCCTGACCTGCCTGCTTCTGGGGGCCAGGCAAATCAGGGTTCCCAGGAGCTCCCAAAGCCACCCCAGAGCAGGTCAAAAGGTGGCTTTCCTTCAGCATGTCTCCCTGGGAATTGCAACTGGGGAAGTTAGCAAGATCTCTGTGAAATATTTCATGAACTGAACTTCTGTGTCCAGCAGCACAGAAAACTCCGATTTTGGAGCAAGAAGACCAAGGACCTTCAGGGAAGCAGCAGCCCAGGGGAAGGGAGCACGCGAGGCAAAGGACTCACTGGCGTCCTTTCATTTTGATTTTCTCTTACGTTTTTCCATCCCTAATCAAATGCATTATCACATATTTAGTTTAATTACCATATCAGGTGGAAATTCATTTTTACTGATACAATTAAAAGACTGGCAAATAGTGTATTATAAGTGGCTTGGAGTCATGTTAAAAATGTGATAGTAATTGATATGATATCCACATGATCTGATGGAAAAATTGATTATTTTAATTGCGTCAAGGGGAATTCTCTGCCTGCCTTTTCTGGCTCCCCCATGTCAGCCAAGTGTTAGGTAACAAAGGGGCCAACATATTTGTACCTAGGTTTCAGGATGCACCAAATAAGTGAATGGGAGGCACACAGATTCTGGGATGAGGACTTGGCAGTTAATTCTCCCATGCTCAACACTGGTCCTTGCCTGACCCACATGCAGACATGTTTGCTGTCACAAAATAATTCACTTAAATTAGTTAAATCTGCAACAACAACAAATCTGTTTAAGATCAGTACAGACATTTTAGTACCTAGACCTTAATAAATTTAGTATATTGACCTTTTGGTAAAGCTACTGAGTGATTTCTATACGTTTACATATTCATAAGTTTAAGTCTTTGTAATATCAGTACATTAAAACTAAAGAGTATTTAAATATGCATTGAATATCTGCATACGACACAAAAATGGGCCATCTCTCCATAAGGCAAGCACATTATTAATTTCTTTGCAAAATATCTGGACAAGATTTTTCAATTAATTTTTTTCCTGTTGTGTTTGCCTCCACCTGACACCACAGATGTGATGTTGTCTTTTTCACAGCTGGAGACCAACTAAAATGGCCTCTGGGATAATATGAATGTGTCAAGCAACAAAGAATATGGCATTTAAAGCAATAGAATTCCTATATTCATGATGAAACTTTGCCCTCTCCTCATGTCCCTTTCCTAGCTTGTTCAGACAGTGTCTGCAATTTCCTGACCTACCAATTAGTTCTTGAATGAGCAGGTTGGAAAACCACCCCGTGTCACATCCATGGCTAATATCCTCACTTATGGGACCTTGACCTGTGCCAGCCAGCCTTCTCATGGAGTGCAGTGTGATGAGTAGTTCCATGCCGGCCTAATTGCAGTTTGTGGGTCAATCCCCACTAGAGCATCCTCTGTTGACTTTGGTGCTATCTCGAACACTGAGTGTTTGCTGCCTGCACCATAGATCTTTGTGTGCATGCATGTTCACACATGCGCTTTCATGTGCACATGTGCTCAGCATTCCCAGTTAAGAACCACCCTGAACTTCACGGGCAGCCATGTATCCAGTTGCGTCCTCGTCTCTACATCTGTAACATGGGCTTCATTTCCATGATTCTGTCTACACCCTTGACTATGTCTACATAACTTCTTTGTAAGTGATAAGGAAAAGAAATTGACAGGGACCAATGACTTGGCAGCAGCAGTCATTTGTAAAGGCAGGGAAAGCCCACTGTTTGTGTCTAATTTACTTACAAAATTAAATTTGGTCTAATTGGTTATTTGTATAAAGAATTGATGGTGACTCCAGCCTGGTCATGAATGTCAGCACTGATTGTTCTTCCTTAAGCTGGCCCCAGCACCACAGTCCCCACCTCTCAGCTCATTTTGGGCAGCCTCATCATCAGGCATTTGTACAGATAGCCTTTGGTGGAAGAAATTTGATTGTGTGGGTAAAAAATGTGAAAAATATATGAAGTTTTATTAACTATTCTCTCTCTGCTTTAGACTTCTGCCTTACCTAAGAAGATTACTTATTCATATTTTAATTATTTATTTAGCTTAGTTTATTGAGCATCTAATTTGAACAAGAAGCCTTAATGCTTATCTAGTCATTCATTCATTCATAGAATAACCACAAGACCTCTGCCTAGAGAGCTTCATAAATCCCTTAAGACCAAAAAAAAAAAAAAAAATGTCCTTTCCAACCTGTGAAGAGTGTTACTGACTCTAAGATGACAGACAATAAAAATGTATCTGGGGTACCGGTGTGGCACATTCTCCAGCTAAGTGACAATCCATTTACCAGTCTCACAGTGAGAAGGATGACAATTTTAACCTCCAAAAATGACAAGTATCTGTTGGCCTTTGTGTGTGACTCGCTAATAGTTGAAAGCACGGACTGAAGACCACAAATGCCCACATCTTTAGCAGGAACACTGCTTGGTGTCTTCTGAGCTACAAGATTCTATTCGTCAGTCATTTATTTCCCAGCCACATTTAATTGAGGGCCTCCTGCTTATCAGGCACTGTCATAGGCACTGCAGATGAGTGGCGATCCCAGGAAGTCCAGCTCTCATTCCATCTAGCTTGGAGAGGCAGAGAACACAGCAAGGCAAAATCTTATGAAAGAAATTAAGCTTTGGAGCCTATTTTAGTTGGGAGGATCAGAGAAGGTCTCTCTGTATGCGAGTTTCAAGCTAAAAACAAAAACAAACAAAAAAACAAACAAAAAAGGCCTTGTAGAAACCCAAGGAAGGGCATTCAGTGAATAAAGAATAGACCACGAACAAGAAGAAGGCCCAGAAAGTCAGAGCAGAACAAGCAGACACTGAAGCCTGGCAGGAGGTGGGCGTGTAAATGCCTACGCTGTGGCGGTGAGCAGGGATTGAACCGGCAGACGCGGGGGAACATTTCCATATAATTGTTTATTGTGATGGAAAGTCAGAGGAGGACTTTAAGTGGGAGGAAAACTGGATTTGAGGTTTTAAAATTTCCCCTAGACTACAGAACAGATATTGGTGTGGTGGGTGGGGGTAGGGGGTGGGAAAGCAAGAATGGAAGCAGGAAAACCATCTGGGAGATCCAGCTAGCTGGCAACCTAAATTTCCACTGACTTTCTATGTAGTTACGATATTTTCTGCCTACTTACAAGATGTCGCCACTGACCCTCAGCCCAGAACCTACTGTGACAGCAGATGTAGGAGCCAGGGTGTAGTCAGCCAGCCCGAAATGCTTCTCCAACAATGGAGGGGCGCGTGGCGCTCTAGGTTATCAAGGCCGTAGGTGCCCAACCACTGCAGAGCATGGGCCAGCTGAGCTTCTGGGCAGTGGGAGCTATTTTTCCCAACAGCAAACTAGGGATACGCCCTGTGGACCCATCTCACAGTGACAAGGAAAGCACCATCCAGGAAGACCTGGCATTCACATACGAGACCCCTAAAAGATTTCAAATAACAGCAAAAATACTGTGGGAACTTTTCCTTTACCAGTGAAGCAAAGCAAAAGTTCCCATCCCAAGAATATGTGGGTTAGGACCCACAGTAATATACGGTGACAACTGATACATTTATGATCCTAACCCGCTTTAAAAATGTGGACGAACCTCCAGAGTCCATAGAGGCAGATACACTGCTTGGGAACTTGCAACAACATTCAGCCCACTGTCTCACTCGGGGGGTGTCTCCACTTTAATCATGATCCTCTCTTGGGACCACCAGCCCCAAGATTCCACCCTCTGAGTAAAGCTATTGGTATAAACAGTGGACATGTGACCCAGAGGGGACCAATTACGGCCTCTGTGGCAGCTGATCCCTGGGTGCCTTTTCAGAGAACAAGTCCCATGTGTTGAGCTCTGAGGCTGTGAATTCAAGGCTGTTCTTGGCTACATTTTCTGCTGTGTGGAGTCTGTCTGTCTACAGAACAAAGCCAAATAGAGGCAAAAAAAAAAAAAGATGAAAATAGATGTGAGGAGAGATAGAGAGAGGGAGACGGGGAGAGAGAGAGGTTGGGGGGAACCCTGGTGGCCCTGGGTGCTCTAATCTGTCATTGAGTCCCTGTTTCATACAGTTTGCCCAATCTGTAACTAACCTCAGCTTCCTTCTCTGCCATGTAAACTAATACATTCATGTTTTGCATAAGGCATTTGACTTGGGTGTCAGTCACCTGAAACGAGAAGAGCTCTTATTAATGGTGATTATTATCCATGTTTTGTGAAAGCCGGAATTTCTCTGTGTTTCAGGGGTACCAAGCACTGGGCTAGGCCCTGCCTCCCTGTCCTCAGTCCATCTGGGGAAGGGAAATCTGCACACGAGTGTCCTCCCATCTCTAGAAAACTGCCTTCTCATGCAATTTTTGACTACTCTGAAGCCATTTTGCTCATCAGACCTGTACTAAATGCAACCAGCATCCGTATGGGTGATTCAAGTGGATCAGAATACGCCGTCCTTGGAGGGTGCCACCTTCTGCCTGTCTCCCCGCACAATTCCACCCAATTCCTCAGGCAGCCTTTGCTGTCACAAGCCATCCTGACTGGTTTATTTCTCCAGATGTTTTGTGATCTCATCTCTTATTAATGTCTCTAGGACTTTGCCCACCATCACCATGGGGTCAGACACTGTCTCCTCCTCGCTGGTTATTACCCTGGCCCCTTGCTTAAAGCCTCAAGTTTGCCATCCTTCAATCTGTCAGGGACTTTTATTTTTAAAGCAAGCCTTTAAAAACACCAATTATTGATAGACTAATCACTTCATTCACTTTAGGAATTACTACAGACCGAGCATAATTAACCAAGAATTCTGTTCCCTAATATTTCTTAACTTTAACAATTGGTCCTAGGACACCCTGAGTTTTTTCCCCAGTAGTATCTTATGCCCAATACTATTGCCCTTTCTGTTACACTACTCAAAGCCACCTTTTGTTTAATTTCTCCCTAGAAAAGTTCTCAATCCGGCAGTTCAGCAGCCGACTGCTGAAGTCCAGGATGAATCAGCCGCATGGCCTGGAACACCCTCGGAGCAGTCTCTTTCCTCACAGAGCTGTTTTTCACCTGGTGACCTGTTGAACTCAGGCAGAACACCAAGGACATGGAGGCACGCACGCACACAGGTGAATGTGCAGTTGGGCCGCTGGCTGATGGCTGGAATTGCAACCTGAGGTCCTTTTTTCCCCTTGGACATGACTGCGTTTCATCAACTAGGAATCCTTCCCTTTGGTACGCAACTAGCAGCATACTCTTCTTTGTCTAAATTGCTCTGCCGGGAAAGCCCAGTCAGGAGAGTGACCACAGTGGGTTGGCTCCTGTGTGTGAAGATGTAGACTGGATACCGTCTGCCTCAGTCTCCCCACCTAACTTGAACACGCGTGCCTGGAACTTTACAACTGGGTTTCTGCTTCCCACCAAAATGTGTACATTTTATTTATTTATTTATTTATTTATTTATTTATTTATTTGAGATAGAGTTTCACTCTTGTCGCCCAGGCTGGAGTGCGATGGCACGATCTTGGCTGACCACAACCTCCATCTCCCGGGTTCAAGCAATTCTCCTGCCTCAGCCTCCCGAGTAGCTGGGATTACAAGCATGCTCCACCACACCTGGCTAATTTTGCACTTTTAATTGAGACAGGGTTTCTCCATGTTGGTCAGGCTGGTCTCGAGCTCCAGACCTCAGGTGATCCGCCTGCCTAGGCCTCCCAAAGTGCTGAAATAACAGGTGTGAGCCACTGCGCCCGACCAAATGTGTGCATTTTAAATGAACATCTTACCTTAAAGGATTCATGTTCTGAGAGAACGTGCAAAGGGGAAGTGGAATTTGAATAAGGAGGCAATTTCCTCATTCAAATAGGAATATTGCAGCTCTCTCAGGAGCTGGGCGCGTCCTTTCAGATGGCACAGATCATCTCCTCGACATTGGACTTAACTTTTTGAGCCAAGGATCTATTTCTGCACCAAGAAAAGTGTTTCTCATTTTCATTCAAGATGTAGTAAATCTGGAAAAAATGCAGGAAAGGTTTGAACTCAATGTGGTTGTGAGAATGCAAATCTCCAGGCCCTTGCCATAGATGGGTCCTTCCCCTCATTCTCAGAGTTTTCCATCCTAAAAACATAATCATTGGGCCCATGTGATCCTTCCTTCCTCTGGTGCTGGAGAGAATTGCGGGTCTCCATACAAACTTGACACCTTGATCACATTCCCCAATTAATAATCCCACTGATTCCACTAGCTCCTTGAAAATGGCAATATTGGTTCTAGTTACAGCATTCAGAACGTGCAAGGAACGATGGACATTGCAACTTCCAAACCTTCCAATCAGAAACTGAATTTAGGTTATGATCTTCAAAACCTGGCAAAAGAAAGCACTAGTTATTTCCACCTGTTGAATTATTTTTCCCTCCAAAAACCCACTGTTGTCACAAGATGCCGATGCCTGCTCCCAGGCTATTTCTACTGACAATACTGAGTTCCAGTTCGGAGACTACAGGATGTTCATAGCAACAGTGTAAATAATAGGCCATTCTTCAGAGGGCAAAGTAACTTGTCTCTAATTTTCAAAGGATATGCTTTACTTAACTTAGGCTAATTAGTTGTGGTCTTCCTATAAGCAATAAAAACATGACATTTGTTCTCAAACTTTAACTAGCTATTCAACAGGGATTGGTCTTCTAAAACTTTAGTGGTGTTATCAGTATCTTAAAAATCCACAGCAGCTACGCCCCCTCTTCCTCTAAAGTGATTAAAGTTGGAGACAGTTCTTTTCACTCGGTTTGTGGAAGCAGAAAGATTTTGCTTTCAGACTGGTTGGTGTGAGTTTATCATCCCTCAGCTTGCTTTTTGCTTCTTCACCGTGTGACACATCAGGTTACTTTGTGCTACGGAAATTGCCAAGCATTTCCATACCTGTGTTTTCTAGACCAAGTCATTTTAAAGCTTTTTATCATGCTTCTACCACATGGACAGATTGTCAGCTTAATTACTCTGCCTTAGAGTCACTAATATGCCTTGAATATCAGATCTAAGGTGGAAGAAAAGCCAAAACACAGCATCTTCTATTGCTGAGGACATGATCACCGGAAACACACAGCTCAAACATGTGAACACTAGCTGTGATTTGGTTCTATTTATTGTCTGAGTTTTATTTATCTGATACCTTCCTGCTGGAGGTATCCTTTGGTTTTGTTTTTTGTTTTGTTTTGTTTTCTAGCCCTCACAAAACGTGTTTTGGAATGAAGTGTTGTTTTTTTCTTGAGAATTGATAGCATACCTTCTCTAAAATGGGAAAATAAATGACCTCCTGTTTTGCAAGGCTGTGATGTCATTCATTGCTTCGCAGCTCCAGCAAGCTGGAGGATCCTGCAACTCCGGCTACCAGCCCCATTCGCCATCAAATCCACTTCGTATTTTCTGTTCTTTTGAGAGGTGCTCTCTTTCCTCGGTGATTGTTGCTGTAATTACACAAATGATCTGCTCCACTGTCACTTCTAGTCAAAGGTGTCATCTAAAATTAAAAATTCATGTAAAATCTAGAGATGCAACTTTTAAGCAGACAGTAGAGACCTGATCTGATTTTACAATGTTTTTCTTAACCCCTTACGTGCCTCATGGCTATGATGTGAGGTGGTGGGACAGCTCACGGGAGCTGGGAGATTTTGCAGAACCCACCGGCTGAGAAGTGTCTGGATCACTCTGCTGGGGCTGCCGTTACACAGCGCCACAGATGGGGGTATGGGGTAGCTTCAGCAGCAGAAATGTTTTGCCCCACAATTCTGTAGCCTGGAAGCCTGAGGTCAAGATGCCGGTAGAATCGGTTTCTTTGGAGACCTCTCTCCTCAGTTGGTGGATGGTTGCCTTCTCCGTGGGTCTTCACATGGGCTCTCCTCTACGTGTGTCTGTCCAAATTACTCTGTTCCTAAGGACCCCAGTCATATTGAATTAGGGCCCACTCTAGTGACCTCATTTTACCTTAATTACCTCTTTAAAGACTCTATCTCCTAGTGGGGTGTGGTGGCCGGCGCCTGTAGTCCCAGCTACTGGGGAAGCTGAGGCAGGAGAAGGCGTGAACCCGGGAGGCAGAACTTGCAGTGAGCCAAGGTCATGCCACTGCACTCCAACCTGGGGGACGGAGTGAGACTCCGTCAAAAAAAAAAAAAAAAAGACTCTATCTCCAAATACAGTCACCATCTGAGATCCTAGGGACCTCAACACAGGAATTTAGAGGGGCACCATCCAGCCCCTAACAACGTCACACTACCCTCCAAGGTGAACCAGAGTCCCAGCGGGAAGGTGTGACAGGGGAAATCCAGGTTTCTGAGGGAGACTCTGTTTCCAGTGGATCCAGCTACGCAAGGCAACCCCTGGCTTGAAACCTGGAGAAACTGTGTTTCTAACTATGAAGACGGGGCTTAGATCACGAATAACTTCGTGGACACCTTAAATACTGGAAGTTGAAAGGTCAATGTAGGTCCAAGGTGTTTAATTTTATAACAACGCTTTGCATTTACTTGGGCCTTAAAATATTTGTAGAGTAAATCTATGAATAAAATAGGTGAATCATGTTATTATTATGTATCTTGTTTTTAATTTAAAAAGCAGTGAAATTAATATAGAGCAAAATTAGGTCTTTTTGAATTTTTGGTGTATACTCTGTGAGTTTTAACGTATACATAGATTTACGTAACCACTACCACAATCAGGATATACAGACAGCCTCTCCATCACCCTCTAAAATCCCCTCATGCTGCCCACTAGTCATTAAATGCTCCACACATATCCCTGACCTGTGGGAACCACTGGTATTTTCCCTGACCTTATAGATTAGTCTTTTGTGAGAACGTCATAGACAATGTGTATGTGTGGAGGGTGAACCCGCATAACGCCTTTGAAAATTTGAGTTATTTTGTATTGCTGAAGAGTCTTCCATTGTATCAATGTTCATCTATGCACCCACCAGAAGATATTTGTACTGATTACAGTTTGGGACCAGAAAGGAAAAAACTGCTATAAACATTGTGTCTAGGATTTGTGAATATACTTTGCTTTTCTCACGTCACAGACAATGTGTATGTGTGGAGCATGCCCCCGCATAACGCCTTTGAAATCCATCCACATTGGGTGTATTGTTTGTTATTTTCTATTGCTGAAGAGTCTTCCATTGTATCAATGTTTATCTATGCACCCACCAGAAGATATTTGTACTGGTTACAGTTTGGGGCCAGTAAGGATAAAACTGCTATAAACATTGTGTCTAGGTTTTTTGTGAATATATGTTTGCTTTTCTCCTGAGTAAACATCTAGGAGTGGGATCAATGATTCATATGGTAATTTTATGTGTAACTTTAGAAGAAATTGTCAAGCATTTCCAGAGTCAACCTACCATTTTGCATTGACATTTATATATGTGATATATTTTGAGTTAGCTTTTGTGTAAAGTCTGAGATATAGGTTGAAGTTGACATTTTCTCATATGAATGCCTAACTGTTGAAAAGACTATCCTTTGTCCTTTGAACTGCCTTAGCATCGTGGTCAAAAATGAATTGATTGTATTTTTTTGGGCCTATTTCTGAACTCTATTTTGTTCCATTGGTCAATGTGTTTATCATTTCAGCAACATCATACCATTTTGATTAAATTAACATGGAGTAAACTTAGCTGTTATAAGAAAATTAAATTTGTAGCTTTATAATTTGTAGTCTTAAAATTGGGTAGTGTGAGCTCTTCAATTTAGTCCTTCTTTTTCAAAATTGTTTTGGCTGTTCTAGTTCCATTGCCTTTCCTTATACATTTCATAGACAGCTTGTCAACAGCTACAGAAAGGCCTGCTGGAGTTTTATTGGAAGTGTGTTAAGTCTACAGATCAGTTTTGGGAAAAATGACACTAACTATATTGAGCCCTCCAGTCATGAACATGATGTGCCTTTCCATTTATTTAGATTATCTTTGATTTCTATCATCAACATTTTGTAGTTCTCATCATCAGATCTTTACATGTTTTCTTATATTTACACCTACTTTTTTTGAGCTATTGTAATTTTTTATATTATTGGTTTTCAATTATTGACTGCTAGTATATAAAAATATGATTTATTTTTGTGTGTTCCCTTGAATACTCTCACCTTGCTATTATTAGTTCTAGAAGCTTTTTTCCTGTAGATTTTGTGGGGGTTTGTACATAGACAATCACACTGACTGCAAATAAGGACAGTGTAATTTCTTTTTTCCCAATGTGGTACGCCTGTTAATTCTTTTTCTTGCCTCGTCGCACTGTCTAGCTCTTCATTTTTATATGTTTTAGTTTTCTATTTTCTAATACATTAGACAATTTTATTTAGAGTGTCCAAGAACTTACCCAGGATCACATGATTAGAGGTTGCCATAATGGAAGCTAGAATTCAAGCAGCTGGTTTTAGTTCCAATTTACTTTCAATTCTGCACCCCAGCCCCCACCTTTTTCAGGAGAATACAGACATACAAAAGAAAAACAAATAGGACCCTCCTGCAGTTTCCTCTTTGACTTTGTAGTAACATCTTATTGAAGATGATCGCTGGAAATGTGGCTCTTTTCTCCTCAGTTTTGGAGTTAACAAGCATCAAGGGTGGCTTGGGTCCTCAGCCCTGATGAGAGAGTCCTTTCCAGCCATGAAAACCCTGTGCAGTCAGTGTGAGGTCACTAGGCTGGCAGAAAAACCCCGAGTGCTCTTAGGGTGATGAGTCAGTGAAAAAGCTGAAGCGAGGGCTGGATTCTGCCCATTCCTCCCTCCACTGACAGCCTCGCCCTCCGCTTCCTGAGATGCTGGCGGGAGTTGGCAGCAGTGCAGAACCCTCCACTTCTGCATAGCTCACCCCTTGCGGCTGTTGCTGGGAAGCTGGAAATGCAAGCTCTGCTGAGTGGAGTGAATGGCAGCACACTGGCCTCACCAACTTATGTCGCTGGACCAGCAAACTGTGTCCCCAGCCCAGGCCTGACTGGGACAGGGGATCATCTCACTAGCTGTCAGCCTTGGCCTCCTATGTTGTTTCTCTGCTTCAGGAAGGCTCCTTTTCTTGGAAAGAGCCCCACCATCTATAAGAGGGTCTTCTCACTCAGGAAGACCCCAGGATGGGGCCATAGGAGACCTTCCTGCAGGGAGGCTCAAGCCTCCTTCCCCAAGACCTCAGACTGCCTGTGTAGCAGCCCTGAAATACATTGTATCAAACCATAGTAAAGTCT
Source organism: Homo sapiens (assembly GCF_000001405.40). Classification (NCBI taxonomy): domain Eukaryota; kingdom Metazoa; phylum Chordata; class Mammalia; order Primates; family Hominidae; genus Homo; species Homo sapiens. The sequence continues at coordinate 128,751,052 of NC_000010.11, read as the reverse complement.
AAAAACTTAGTTTTGAAAAATAGTTTGAAGGTTGGTGGCGCCTTTTGTTTCAAAGCAAAAGAAGACGAGAGGAAGAGTTTTACTCCCTGAACTTCCCCTACTACAGTATGTCCTGGGGAGGGAGGAAATGGGAAATCAGAAGCCTTAGAAACTGTCAGCAAACATTTTCATTCTCTTTTTTTTATCTGGAAGTGTTTGGGCTCAACGGACTTTGTTTTGAATGTGTTTGAGTACAGAATACAGTGAATATTATAGCATGAACGTGGCCCCACATACTCTGCAACTTACATCAAACAACTCATGATGCATTGAAATGGGACTTCTATTTTGTGCATCATTTACAACTTATTGCTGTAATTCCACAGAGCCCACCATCCCTGTAAAGTAGGAGGCAGAGTTTGATTGGGTTATTGTATTTCTGCAAGAGAATCTGATGGGAGTATTCTGCATTTCCTTGCCCCAGATACAAACTGCATGGACCACTCATTTAGATATCTGTCATTAATGCAGGGAATGAGATTTTTTTTTTAAAAAAAGGTGAACTTGTGTGGTTTTCTAACTTCCAGATTTTGTAATTTCAAATGTACATTAATTTAATTTTATTGACCCGACAAATGATTGTATAAGGGATGTTATCTTTCTCCACTGTTGAGTAAGCTGTCAAATCTAAAAGGAATTTTCACAAAGATATTCAAAGCCTTCAAGAAACTTGTTAATTCATTAATGCTTCCTAAATCCTTTGGAAATAAACGTGTGACATGCTGTTCTTCTACCATTGTTTGCCATAACAGTGACAGAGAACTGTGTTTCTCTGTTGTTGAGCTTTTAGCCCCAAATGACAAGTGCCAGAATTAGTCTTATATGCTCAACTGCATCGTGAGGAAAAGCAAGAAAGGGCTCTGCTGCTGGAAACCCCAAAGTGGGAACTGGAAAAGCTGCAGGGAAGAGAAAAGAACTGAACCTGAGCATCTAGTTTGAGGTGGAGGGAGCTTGGGCTCCCTGTTATTGAGGCTGCAGCTCAGCTTTCTGCTTTCCAAGTCCTAGCTATGTCTCTCTCTCCTTCAAGTTCTCCGAGCTCCTTAACACCAGGTGTTAGTTTGTCTGAGCAGGTGTCTTCCCACTGGACTAAGCAGGGATACTCAAAGGCAAAGGCTCACTGGTGACAGCCTTGCTGGAATTAGACTATCCCATCTGGTTTGGCTCCTGCAGGAGCAGAGCAGCTGTGGGTGTGGCTTTGTCTATTGCAGAATATTCCTGCCTGGAGAGCAGAGGTGGTATGCAGAGAGGTGCCTGGTGTCCTTCCAGAGGGAATCTTTTCCAGGCATGAGCTCTAATTCACACCTTGTTTGGTACAGGTGAAGGCAGCAAAGCATAAGGAAGTAGGGCAAAATTCAGAAGCACTGGATACCTATGAGCTGCCACAAGGAGAGGTCTGGGCTGGAACCAATGGCAGGCATATCTTATCACACAGTCACATGTTGACGGGAATTAATGGCCACTTTGTATTGTGTGATTGGAAGATTCTATTCTATAGAACTGGCTTACCCTGAATTTGGCTCAATAGGTGGCTCAAGAGTCAGCCAGAGAGCCCAGGACCCTGGAGACCAATAAGGCAGCATGTCACCTCCATACACATGATGCCATCAATGGAGGTCACCTAATGCTGGGTCCCCAGCTTCCACATGGGGATCAGTGTGGGCACTGGGTGGATTGTGAATGATCAGCAGGAATAAGAAGTCAGCACTTGTATTTCAGAAACCTGAATCTAGATAAGTTGAATTTTATAATTTGGAAAGAACCCTCATCAAAGAAATGAATTCTAAAACCCAAATGGCTTGCAGGACTCTGAACTTCTAAGATTAAACATATTTGTGCAGGAGCTGGAGCCAGGTAGTGTGATTGAGGGAGAGAACACAATGGGATCTCTGTGTTATGACTGCATTCCCTGCTGTGTGACCTAGGACAAGTCACCTAACCCCTCTGAGTCCACAGCTTGAAGAATATTAGTCCCGTAGATCTTGTGACATGATTAGATGAGATATTTGTGATGCACGCTGTAAACTGCAACACTTAAAGCTTTAATCAAATTTTACTCAATTGTTTAATAGAGAACCCTACTGTCATTCATTCAGTGAGCATTTGTGGAGACCTGTGGTCTTGCTGTAAGCACTGCCAGGGTCTCAGAGGAGGACAGGCCAGGGCACAGACCCATGACAGGCTCCTATCTAGGCTGGGAGGCCTGCGCACCTTGCTTTTACTATAAAACTATTATTTTTTCTGTGGAAAAACACAAAACCAAGGTTCACTGTTGTCTTGTTTACGGAAATGTCATTCAGCTGACAGAACAAAGAAATACTGAAATCCTAGCTAGATGGCCAATCTAAAAACTGATTTTGGCCAGGTGTGGTGGCTTACGCCTGTAATCCCAGCACTCTGGGAGGCCGAGGAGGGAGGATCACTTGAGCCTCGGAGTTCCAGACTAGCCCGGGCAACATAGTGAGAACCTCGTCTCTACAAAAAATAAAAATGAAACAATCAACAGGGCGTGGTGGCGAGTGCCTGTAGTCCCAGCTACTTGGGAGGCAGAGGTGGGAGGATTCCTTAAGCTTGGGAGGTGGAAGGTTTTAGTGAACCAAAATCATGCCACTGCAGTCCAGAGTGAGAGACAGAGTGAGACCCTGTCTCAAAAATAAACGGTTTTTGTATTAATTTTGTATTAAAACACACTCGCCTTCCAGGTTTTAGGAATACAGTAAGCTATTCCTGCCAGGCGTATCATGAAGCTGATTTATTTGACCCGCATTCCTGAACTAAGACATTTAATTTAAGGGGAATTGGATAGATAGCTGTGACTCACCTTGCTGTATAGATTGGACGGATCTCAGAGAGGAAGGGCTTGGGTTTACTGGCGGATGAGGTCATAAACTCCCCAGTAACAGGAAAAAGGAGTTGCATTTGGACTATTAATTGAGTTTCCTCACATGCGCCTGAGCGAGCTGTATTCCTACCTGAAAACCGCCTGGGCCTTTATTGATGTGTTAACATGGATACGGTACCGGTTGTCATTGAGAATCGGAGCTCTCTGAGTCCACACGGGCTTCTCCCTCCGTGTCAGTGAGAAGGCAGCGTGCAGACTCACTAACCAGCTAGCCCATCATCTCGGTGTCATAAATGACTCGATGTTGCCCTTCTGTCAAAATGGATTTTCAGGCGAGAGATACAATCACGTCTCATGCATCACTGTGTGTGACACTATTGATTTGATATTGACTCTGAGCGTCCTTCCCGGGATGCATTCCAACAGGTGGCCAGGCAGACACCATTTTCCCAAGAGGGTCTGTGAAAGAAAATGTGCAAGTTGCCTTTTAAAAAACCTCTCTCTTAAAACAAACTTCCGAAGGGGATTTCTGAAGGCAGAGTGGCTTTCAAGGCCATGCTTCTTGGTACAGAGAGAAAGGGGAGAGGCGGTCAGTGCTGGGTGGCTGTGGCGGGCATGCTCTGTGCTGGAATTCAGTCTTTATTTCTTCCATGACTTGAATCATGCTCCTGTTTTCCCAAAGCACCATCTGTCTGCTTCTGCGGTTCTGTCCCCCTGAGTCTGCCCCATGGTTTTCAGGTAGAAAAGCCCTCTTGTTAGCTGGGAGACCTGTGTGAGTGAGTCTCTCACTGGCTGGTGCCCGTCACCAGCCCTCTGGGACCATGGAGGTTGGGTTTGTCACCCTGCCTGGTCCCCAAAGCTAATGAGCCACAACAGGGAGAAGTCCAGTCCCTGCCACCCCAGGATGCCCCCTCAACCCCTCTGCAGGAACACAACCAATTTTGTCACACTCTTCCACATTGAACCCCTAGAGTGTTGCCAAAGTCCTGGCAAATGACAGGTGCTCAATAAATATTTTTGAATTCTCTCAGAGTACGACCCTCTTCCTTAATTCAGCTGCCATTCCACCGAATTAGACAATGAGGAGAGCGTGCTGTGGTTTGCCAACAGTGGAGCAGAAAGAGCAGGATCTCAACCTCCTGGTCAAATGACGGGCTGATGGCTTGGCCCTCTCAGGTGGCAGGATGCTGGGAACTCACTTGAGAGCTCTCTGGTTAGGGACATCTGACTGCATTGCATTGTTTCTTCTTTTTTCTTTATTTAGCCAAAAGGAAGATTTTGGAGAACAGCATTCAGTGTGTATTTTGCATTGTCCATGTTGCCACAAATGCATCACTAAGCAATACCTTGCCAGAAATATTCAGCACAAAAGCTCCTGCAAATATATGATTGCATTGGGTGGGATGAATAATACATTACACACAAGGTGCAATTGGGCGTCTGTTTTATATTTTCCTGTGTAGTTTTATAGCTAATTAATCAGGTGACCATCTATACCAAAAAGCTATAAAACCAGGAGAACCAGGAGGAATGTGCTTTCAGACAAATGTGCCACAGACGGCGGGTGAAGAAGGAAATCTGACAAAGGTTTCGTAGTAAACTAATGAAAACCCCGGCGCAGTTATTCTGGGAACACATTTTTACAAACGATGTTATATGCTTCCCCTCTTTCCTCTCAAAAGTCAAAGTCACAGAGGAAGTGTTTTGTGATTAAAATCTGGCTGCCAATTATATTTATAATTTTAGTGAAAGAATTTGTGGAATTCATAAATGGAATCAGTAAGTTTTAATGAAAAAAACTGAATCATCTAATGAGAGTGGGGAAAATTACACTGTCCTTTAAAAAATTGTCCTAATCCTGTTTAATAACATTAAAAGTAGCAGTTAAAGTGTTGGCTGGCTTCCCCAGTAAGCTGCGTTATACCTGTTACTGAGAGACCCCATGTGTGGAGCGTGCCTTCCACACAGAGCTGTGATGTCTCAGAATCGGCATGGCTCAAAGTCACCTTGTCATCTTTCCCAGGGACCCCTGACCCAGTGCTCCCAGGCAGCATTCCGGCTGGGCTCCTTCCATCCTCTCCCCAACCCCAGTTGCCTCCAGGCATCCCCCTCCACATGTGCCCTGGGAACTCTGCCTTTAACTCCCTCCTCACTAGTCCCAGCTCAAGCCCTCAGTATCTCCTATGTCATTGTGTTTATCCCATGGTGTTTATTTCTTCCAGCTTCTCTGTTTGTTTCTACCATCTTCACTTCTATAAGAATAACTTGCCTAAAATAAATTTCATCTCAAACACCTTCCCCCGGATCAAAAGGCTAAGAGGCTTTCGATCACCTGCAAGCTTCTCCTTGCTCTAAGGTCCAACCCGGACCCACCTACTGACTTGTACATCCTGCCCCCTTCTCCCCTATCAGGACCATCTCCAGTGGCACACGCTCATGTGCTGGCTTGTTCCCTGGGTCTGTTCAGCCTGTTCCTTCTTCCTTTGCAATAATTCTCCCCCTCTTGGGAGAGCCCTTTGCCTCCCTCCTCTTGCATCTTCTGTTGCTAATTTCACCAGGAGCAGAAGGCCGTGAGTGGGAGTGTGAGCTCCAGAGCCAGAAAGCCTGAGCTTCTATCCACTTACTGGCTCTATAGTCATGGGGGAAACTTACTGACCCCTCTGTGTCTCACTTTTCTCATCTGTAACTAACAAGGACATCTGCCTTCCAGGTGGCTATTGTAACTTCTGAGTTACTAGTTCCCAGTGCCTGGAACAGGACCTGCACAGGGGAAGCCCGGGGTCAATGCCACCGTCCATACAGCGTTTCTTCCAGGAGGCTTTCCTGTTCCTTCACTGTGGCTCTTGGTGCTCCCACCATCCCTCTGCAGTGCTCTCCAACCAGATAATAAACTCCTGAGCTCAAAAAGCACACCTACCACCTTTTTATATTCCTAGCACCAAGCACTTAGAGACCACAATGTTTCTTGGCAATAACACTGCCAGATTTCAAGTGCTTTCTGCGGAGTAAGTAGAAAGTTGGTTAAAGGATCCAGGCCTCCTCACATCCCATATGAACTTTTACCAGGTGGTTGGAACAAATTCCTCAACCTCCATTCCTGGATAGGATGAGAACTAGTAAGTCTGCAAAAATCATTATTGCCTTTGCCAAAATATGTAATTAAAGATAGTGTACCTTTCACATGCAAGAGACTACTTAGCCAACCCAAGAGACTTAAATAGTTCACATGAGTTTTCTATCAGGCCTTTGAGTGGGCCATTTTCTTTGGACTAAATTGAGTCAATTTCATCAAAATTGAAGAAGCAGTTGTGCATGTAGATAGAGTCTCTGATGGTGAATTTAATCAAATCCAAATGTCACCTCTTTAGGGATTCAAACCACCACCAATTTTATCTTTACTGCCAATTCAAGACTTGCATACATTTTTTAAAAAATCTGGAGGTCTTAGCCAGTTTATCTTCCTTGTCTTCTGTATCCAAGAAGCCAGGTCTCCCCACCAAGAGGCACTAAAGACTCACTCGCATGAAGGGCTTTGCCCTCTCCAGGGCCTAAGTCACTCCTGGGCTGTAAATAAGGTGCTGAAGAGAGATGGATTAATCCCACCAACGCTAGTAGGTGCGCCATAGCTTTAAGAGGCTTAGTTAATTCACACGCTTAACCATCTAATCCTTCAGCCTTACCCAGTAATAAATGACAGTGAGCAAAACCCTCTCTTAGGAGAAGAGAAATAATCTACATGGGTAATTCAACTTTTGCAGGGCATGGGTTTCATTTACAGTGCAGAGGAGAGGAAATTTTCCTAATGGGTTGATGGGGCAAGGAGAGTGAAGTTACTTATCCTGGCTGAGTCCTTTAGGAAGCTCACTCTGAGTCATCCTTCCTGTCTTCCCTGCAGAGTCCTGGGCAGAATATCCAGGGCAGCATTGAGGCTGGGTCCTCCCTCTTGAGGTGCAAATGTTTTCCAACCTTAGCTGCTATCAGCATCCATCAATGACCTTTACGGCTATGATGTCTACTGTACCTGCCTCCTAGTACCTCTGAGTGTAGTGCCTTTTCCTAATGACAGTACAATGTCTATTTTCACATTTATTCCACACGAGTTTTATTCACTAAAACCATATTAGTTTTCTTATGCTTTAAAGGCAATGTACCTGCAGTGTGGGGCAAGCAATCTCATCCTGTATGCCTTTAGTATTTGTCGTTCCTAAATGAACTAGATATGTCGTACGATGGAATTACCGGGTTTGTATTAAATTGTAGCTTAGGGACCCATCACTGTGTGACGCTAGTTACTTCCCACTTGCTTTGTTTATCACAGAGAGGGGAACTGAATTAGCATAAAATGCTACAAAGTAGTAAAAAGGATATTTTAGCACCCTATCTATTTGACCTACTATTGACCTGGTCTAATTCGTATTCTCTCTGGGATGTTTTAACAGATCATTTTCCTTGTTAATATTAGGTCAGATTAGAGAATTATGACCCCCCATTTATTCTATTCAAAAGACAGTCATTTCTGCTTCTACAAGAATAACCCCATCTTCACTGAGATCTTTCTCGTTAAATAAAAACACATGCTTTACTTTGCCTCTTAAACTGCAGTGCTGCCTCTTGCAACTGATTACTGGTGAATGACTATTTACCCAGTACTGTCTTCCTAAGCCCCGGGGAATGATACTGGTCATTCATAAATTGTCTATTGATTAGTTGCAACTAGAAATTAGATCCAAATCTTTGAAAGGAATTATTAGACTTTGAGTAACATTTGCCCTGGAACATTCCAAGGTCTGAGTGCAATTCTCACCCAACCGTGAGGCTCCCGATTAATGACTGCTGTTTATGCAAAACCCTCCATGTGGAAGTGCAAAGTCAGACATATGCCACTGCTGGGGGGTGAGCCCCACCCTGCCTCTGGCCCCTCTGTCCCTGTCTCAGCACAACTCTCCTCAGTTTCACAAGGCGCCACTTTTAGGCAAGAGATTTACAGTAGGAATAAAGGTATTCACAAACATGATTTATGATCTGTTTAATGTTGAGACACTGTGTAATTTTTTAATTGATACAGTGTCTTAGTCTTTGATTTCTCTTCAAAAACACAAATTTAACAGTTGTCCTGGCAGTCGTTTGTGCACACACATACACACAATGTGGTAAAAGCAAAGCTCTCTGATAGCTACCTTCGCCTGACTGGCCGAGTGTCCTGTCACCGTGGCCATGTGGCCGGGCATGGGCACAGGAGTGTTTGCACGTGGGAGACACAGGAACGAAGCCCAGGGAACGTGACTCTAATACTCCTTTAAAAATAAAAAAAGGAAGCACACTGCAGCAAATGCTCTGTGGAGCCCCAAACTGATTAACTGCAATGCCAAACAGCTTTATTCTGCTTAATAAGAAATTAGATCACAACGGGGATTTGCAGAAATTACCTTGAAATGTTTGTGTGTTTGAATGATTGAACAATTTATGCTAAAAATTATGTTACCCGGGTTTGAATCCTAAGCTTGCGAACAGATGCATGTTGGGCTAATCAGTATTCCAGAAAGAAAACACTCTCGGCTCTCACCGAGGTGGATGGGGACAGGAGAGGCTTTCGGCGGCAGCAACTTTGCCGATAGCTCCATTGTCCACCCATTTGGATAGACAACTTAACAGTTCATTTGGAATTAATTAAATCTTAAAACTTACTGTCGGATAAACTCAGAGCCTGGGACGGCACCATTTGATTATTCACAGACACCCTCTATTCTACATGCAGCTTGCAGGGCAAGTGTCAAAGACGATGTCCAGCACGTTAAAACCCAGGTGCTTTGAATGCGGCAGTGGCAGAAATTTAAGGGAGCCCACTCGGTTTCATTAGAACGCAAAAAACCCCAGCCTGATGCACAGCTCCTTGAATAACTTCTGAAAATCTTTTAAGTCAACCTTGTGTTTTAGTCAACAGGGAAGGTTTGACCCTTAACCTCTCAACAACCATCCGTTTCATTATTTATCTGAGGGAATCAGAGAGTTTTTGTTCTTTCACAAAAGTCCCTGACACCGGGATATTTTTAATAGCTGAAATTTTTCATTCTTGTCACTATGCCTTTTGAAAATACAGGTATTTTCATATAACACGTAGCTAATGAGTGAAACTTCAGAATCCAACCTTTCCCTATAATCACGGCACAGGGCCTGGAGAAGCCCCACTAGTAGAGAACATGAAAATTAATTATTGAGCTCCCTGTTTTATCCTCCTCATCTGTTTGATATTCTCTAGCACAGAAGGAGTCAGACAATTAAATTACTCCTCCCTCTGTCGAATCACAATGCTCCCTGCACCTTTTCTTCCACTCCGGAGGCCAGAAGCCTGTCTGTTTGCAAAGGGTAAATTGTGGAGAGAGGAGAAGACAGAGAAGAGGGTAGTTTTCTAATGGCAGTTCTGTTTTCTTCCACATAAGGATTTTTAGAGAGGCTCTGTAAAATGTCCCCTTTCGACAGTGGTTATTTTAAATGTCTTCTTTGCCCTTTTGTGCTGGAGTCAAGGATTCTCACAGGAAAAAGTCAAAGGTTGTGGCCTCTGGACCATACACAGACCATCTTAGATGTAGCTTCCACGGTAGAATCTTCCCTTTCCCATCATTTTACAATCTCCTCCTGTTTCTCAGATAAATACATAAAACCCCCTAACCACTAGCAAAGATAGCTGAATCAATTAATTTGTTTTATTGAACAATAAAGCTGTCATTCTCTAAACTAGGGTGATTACATCTAAAGCCAAGAGTAGTTTCCAAGCACATCTGATCCCATGCTTGGGAAGTTGGGTGTGTCCGTGTGTGTGCACATATGTGCTTGTGTGTGTGTGCACACGTGTGTGCTTGTGTGCTTGCGTGTGTGTGCCTGTGTGTGTGCTGACACACTCTAGGTTTGACTGGTTTTGATTTACTGGCAGTACAGCCAAAGAAAAGAGTGAGATGGCTGGATTAGCGCTGGATAAATTGTGCCCTTCCTGTCCTGGGTGGGTAGATTGCTCTGTTTAGCCTCCGGGGGTGGACCTTACGTAAAGGATCATGTTTCTTCTGCAGAGGTCAGAAAAGTCAATGTTTTGCATGTATATGAATTCTTTTGGGGAAAGAGAACTTGCTTTGATCAGATTCAAAGAGGGGCTTTGTGATCCCTCAATCCTTATGGACCTCAGGCCAGTGAGATGTTCCTGCTTATGAGGTTCTGCAGTGCAGACTTAGTGCCTGACTCCAGGGCTTGGGGTTCGAGGTCAGGGGCAGCAGCCCAGCCTCCTTCTGCCACCCCACACAGCCTCCCCAAAGATGAGAGGAGGCTGATTCTTCTGGCCGCAAGCCCACATTGCTTAGTAATTCCACCAGCATTTACTTATTAACCCAGAAATTAGATTTTAGATAAAAACTCCTTTCTTATACTTTGTAGCTGATTTTTAAATGAGAATTTAGGAATTATTGATATTTGCAGTGCAACAACATTTAGACTTATCGAATATACAGCATGGCATAATTTGGAGAAAAAGTCTCAATTTCATAAGCAACTTCATCGCAGACAAAGCTAAGAGGAGGATACATGAAGAAAAGGTTGCTCCTACTTGAAGATCATCATTTCCCTCTCTTTTGACCAGAACATTTCACAAATAGAATCTGCATTCCTATGTCAAGCAAATGTATTTTTTGGGGGGTGGGCTCCTCAGCTCCCACTCAACAGTTGGGTTTTCTGTCCTGTCCTGTCCTGGGAAATTCATCATAGAACTACACCGAAATCCACAAAGAGCAGATTTCATGTTTAAAACAAAATTATGATCCACAGTACCAATAATAATAATAATAACCCAGCAAACAACATGCACAGTGTTTAAGGCATTTCTATTCCTGAACCTTAGCCTTGCAGAAGGCCAAACCTTGTGTCCACAGGCATCGTGGAGGTGTCTGGGGCAGAGACATGGTGGCGACCAGCTTGGAGAACAGAAGTCGGAAAGAACAATCGTGCACCAATGTCATGATCAGAGCAGCAGACGCTAGGGCATTAGGGGGCGCAGAAGGACTGTGTTCCTAGCTCCTCCTGCACCCTGTCTTGCCCTGAACTCTGCAGGGGCTGGAGGCAGGTCCCCAGGACACTGACAGCATCTCTGTGCGTCCTCTGAGCAGCCCTCTCAAGGCTGATCTCCTGGCTCTGCAACACCTGCCTGCCCACAGAGGAGGCTCGGTGTCTCTAAGGAGGGGATTTTCAGGCTCTCCGCTGGCTGTTGAACACACGGTGAAAGCTTTTATGGAGGAGCAGAAAGAGACCGACCTGGTGAGCAGCCTGTGATGGCTGGGCCCAGTGCTGGCACTTAACAGTCAAGACTTTATTAAATATTTACAACCGCCACCAGGAAGGGAGGGGACACTATTCTCCCTACCCGAAATGTTGTAAACCACCCTATCAGCATAAACGTGCCTTTTAATATCCATGTTTGGTGCATCAGAGGACCAGATTCACTGCTGGTGATTGGTCTCATTAAACCTAAGTGATGATTTTGACCCAGCGGATCTGCGGTGGCAGAACAGGAGGACCCCAAGCTCAGCCAGGGAGAAGGCTTCGAGGAGGGTCAGGGTGGGCTCCTCACAGGGGTTTAGAACTCAGGCCGAGATGTCAGGGACCAGGCCCACAGCATCCAGGCAGGAGGGGATGGCTTACCAGAGCACTGGGGCTCCATCTCCCATCATTGTCTCCAGGACACCTCTTATATAGATGTTATGGTACCACACTGTTTTCTGCACCTCAAAGAGAGCTCAGTTTTGTTGTATCAGTAAAAGTAAGCTTTAAGAAAAGTGATTTGAATTTTTGCCTTTTAGTGGGATATATTGGGTTGATGCACACACAGTTAGCCACGGATCCAATACTCTCATTTAAATATTCTACCTGTACAAAAAGGGTGATGAAAGGAAAACTTACAGAGATGTTGCTAAGTGGAAGATAGTTGTTGATCACCAAGCACCTAGTACTGTGTTCTCACTCTTTCCTGTGATTCTCCCAGATGCTGATTCTCATAAAGGCTGGGGTGCACATCACTCCAGTCTGCAAAAGGGGAGCCCCAGGCAGGCAGCCCCGTGTTGCACTCCATCCCAGGAGGCAGAGAGCCCATGGGGCTTCTCTTCTCAGCCGGCCTCTGTGTCCAACATCCCCTCATAGAGGTGACAGGGACTGGGACAAGAGGGTTTTTGCTGATAGAAATATCAAGAAAGAGGTGATAGAACAAACTGAGAAATTAAATTGTAATAAGTTACCGAGGCCAGATGGTATTCATCTGAGAGTTGTAGAGGAATGAAAGACCAAAATAGCTAAGCAACTAATAAAAACATATAATTCAGCCTTTAAAGTGGCAATGGTCACCAAAGGATGGCCAGTCGCAGAGCAAGCATTCCAGAGTAATCACGGGCCACTGTCGATGTGAGAGCCTTCTAATTATTTTGCAGTTGGTTCCTCACACCCATGACATATACAGAAATGCCCCTGAGTTTGTGTGTTAATAACTTGGAAGAGATGATAAATGTTTGCATGGAAACCGCGCCAAATTATTTATGTTAGGAAGGAAAAACAAACAAAACAGTGGCATGGTAACCCCACAGAAGTTCCAAGTGGAAAAAACACTCACGGTGTTTGTATACACAGGGGCCAAAGGGAGCCGGAGGCGGATGCAGTGATCTGGAACTGTCTAGCAAGTAATGCCTACAGACATCAACCTCCGATGGGTGATACCCTCTGCGCTGAGTGTGACTCTTTCTCTGTCAAATTCTTATTCTTCTTCTGGAGATGTCTAATACCCTGGGCTAGTTTGAAAAGCAAACACATAAAATTATCTTTCACGAACAGTCAAACAACAAATTGGATGGAGATAATTGCAATAAATATGACTAAGGGTTAACCTTAATATTCAATCAGTAAGAAAACCTGAATATTCTACTGGATAAATGGGCAAAGACCATAAATAATTCACTGAAAGAAAACACAGAGAACTAATAAGCAGGAGAGAAAATGCTCCGCCTCAGCTAGATATCAGGAAAATGTAAATGTAAACAAATGTTAAGGTATAATTTTCTATCCATGTTTTTAGCAAAATACTAATGATAATGCCCACTGCTGGTGGAGGAAGAACGTGGTGACCCCTTTCGACGGGTGCTGGGGACCTTGTAGATTTCCTCAGCCTTTGGTGGGCAACTTGAAAGGAAGTTCCTAGAGCCTGTAAGTCCTTACGCCGTTGAACTTGGAATGTGAGGAAACGCATCCTGATGTAAGGAAAGAAGCGCAATGCATGTTTTATGCACAAGGCTGCTCATCCGTCATGAAATCACCTCCATTTTCACAAGAGCAGGTTGTTAGAAAGTGTGCTCTGTCCAGACAGTGCAATATTACTCAGCCATTAAAAATACTAAGTGAAAACACAGGCTGAAAGTGACATATGGTTGAGAAATTTGAAGGAAATAAATTGAAATATCAATAGTGGGTACCTCTTGGTGGCCAATTCATAGATGAACCTTGCCTTCTTCTCTGTATTTTTAAGCACTTGATATTCCGTGAGAGTCGAAAGCAGGGTCACTTTGGCACTGAAGAAAATCAATTTGACCAACCAACTCTGATGCCTTTATTTTCTACTTTCCCAAGCAAATCAAACCATGTGCTTGACAATGTACTAGGATCGGAGAGATTAAGCTGTTATAAAGTCACACACTAAGTCAGGCATTGGGCTTGATGATTGTATCTAGTAGTAACACTGGGGATAACCCTGTTTCTTTTTCGTTTTAGCTTCCATTCAGCACATGCTTATTGAATGCCGGGTACTCTGTAAACGCTTTAAGCATGTTATCGCATTTAGCCATGTTGTGCAAATCAGGACCATTCCTCTTTTGTGGACGTGAATACAGAGGTTTAGAGAGAAAATGATAGACCAGGGTTCATTCACAGCTGCCTATCTGCACAACTCTTAATGCCCCATGATGGCACCTCCAGAGCTGCGCAGTGTGCCACTGCACAGCCGCCAAGGGTTCTAAATCAGTTTTTCTGACCCACAATGAAGCCCATGTCCTTAATCTCCATGACATGTCACTTCCCCATAGTAGAAGGGTCCCTCTTTCCAAGATGCCTCCCTCTCTGAGCCTCTCAAGGACAGGGATATGTCTTCACTGAGAACAGGTTCCACTAGACAATGTTTTACTGAATGTTTCCACTGGGCTTGGCATTATGCTAATAGCTAGGAATTGGATGAAAAAGATATTGCGAAGTGTGCGAAATGTACCCAATTTAACATTTTGAGAAATGCCGTATTGTGAAGACGCAATGCTTTTGTATAAATGCTTGTGAAACTTGCAGTGCCAAACCAAGGGCTAGGTTTTACTGAGTCCTTTCTTTCAACCCCAAGCGTGTAGATGTCAATGTAGCCCTCTGCTATGTGACGGGGCAGCAATTGGAATAGAAAGCAGACACACGGCTGCAAGAGATGTTCTGACTACTTATTGAACAAGGAGAAGAGGAGGGCCACAGCCATGAACAATCAGGTCTAAGCACTAAAGATATTTCCAAGCTATAGACTAGGATGAACTTTGGTAATTAGGATTCTTTAAAATTAAACTCTTAAGGGGTTTCCAGAAACACTCTGCTTTTGGGCACAAGCTAATCGCTGGCTGTGATCAGGAAGAAACTGGCCTCTTTTTGTACATCTACAATAAAAGCATTAAGAGATCTGCACGCTTTCCGGTACTCAGCTCTGGTCACTTAAATTTAGGACACGAGGCAGGACACTGCCTGATGCAATCTGCCAACTCCGATCTTGCTATTTGATTCGTACAAAAGTCAGGTGTCTTGCAACAACCAGGTTTTCCCTGCCATTGCACTTCCCGTCTGATAGGTAAGCACACAACTAGTTAACTCTCCTCTTTCTTTCTCCTTTTCTCACCGACTCTGCTTGAGGCAATTACAGCAATGCTGCATTTGTCAATCACATTCATTCGTGCATGGTTTCCTGAAATAATTATCAGGTGACTGGCATCTCTGTGCCTGGAGAGCCGGCTTGGAAACCACAAGCCCCAGAGTATTAATTACTGAGCGCAAAAATTTGCAGAGAAGCAAGTCTTTTAATGGTAGAACTGACGTAACATGATTGTTTTGATTTTTTTTACTAACATGACAATCATTGCTGTCCCTCTGGTCATCACCACAGATCAGCTCGAATTATCTGGGGAGGCCATTACCAAGCCGGGTACCATTTGATAAAATGAGGCGCATGCTTCCTGGCGCGGTGTTTGTTGATTTTCAGAACACAGCAAAGCCTGAAAGTCAACAACGGGAATAAAAGTGGACTTCTGCCAAAGCGAGCCAGAGAAACACACTCTTTGGCGTGGCAGAGAAGATACTTTGGTGGTTCCATTTTGCTGGAAGAAACACTTTTAAGAGGGTGTCTTTTGCATTCCTTACAACTGTGCCACTCTCTGAAGGCCTCAGCTCCTGTTTTCGGGGTATGTAGGACATCAGCATTTTGTCAAATTTAACATGAAAGGTGGATTACACCTTTTTCTAGAGGCTCAGTTCATGCATGTTATCAAAACCCATATATCACAACACTCAGTCTCCCGGTAAGGAAAAAAGAAGATGTTTTCTGGGTTGTGTGTTCCCCTCTTGAAGAGGAATCTATTGAATCCAGCAAAATGAGAAAGAAACATCAAAAGAAAAGGATTCAAAAATCTGTTGAGAGAACTCAGAGGACTGTGGCGGCTGTTCCGAGTCTGATTACTCCTAATAATCACACTGCTTTCTGCTAGGATTTCTGTCTCATTCACCTTATTCAATATCCTTTCTCCGAAGAATCCTGTTCTCTCTCTTCCTCATTCGGGATTCTCATTCTCTCTCTCTCTCTCTCTCTCTCAATCTCTCTCTCTCACTCTCCCTCTCTTTCTCATAGTTTATTTTTCCTAGGCTTGAAATAGACTTTTATTCCGTTGGTGCTAATCTCACTTTTCAAAGAGCCTGAGCCCCTCCTCCCACCTCCCATTTGGCGGGTCCCTGGAGAACTTCCTCAAACACCCATATTCTGCAGCCTCTTTCTTTCTTGGGTTTCATTTTTCAAGGGCCAGTTACAACAGTAAGAAGCAAGACCTCCTCTGGGGTGTGCAGGAAGAGCTCTTCCTTGCAATTGCAGGATCTGGCCCTGCTGGGTGCTCCATGGGCCGTGCTCCCTCTTCTGACCCTGAGAGGAAGGACCAGGGAGCCCCCACCCACCCGGCTGCCCTGCACCGGTCACCCCTTCTGGGAACACCCGTCCCAACTGCTTTTCCTCTGAAGTTGTCGTGTTATGATGTTTCGTCTTTGTCGGATCCTCCGCACAATTTAAACTTTTATTTGTTGTTTGTGGGGTATTTTTACTGGGAGAAAAATATCATCTTCCAGTTTCTATATGTGGTCTGCTAGGCGTTGTCCTGTCCCATCAGCTGCCTAATTCCTCTGAAGTCCTCGAGTTCACCAGGATCACCCAGTCAGGCCTCCAGAGTGCGGTTTCACGGTCACAGAAGGTACAGCTCCTCCAGCAAGCCACTCAGTGGCTTTCGTGTGCTCCTCACTTCTCATTATTATGAAAAACGGAAGTCCAGTGGGGCAGAGAGGATTTTCACAGAAGGATGGGCATAATAGCCCAGTGAACCTGGGGCTGCCGGGGTGGCAGGCCCTGACCCCATCCTCCCTTTCTTTGGATTCAGCTCACGGATCCTGCTCTGTTCACAAAAGATGAGACAGAAGAACCCACATTGTGGCAGATTGGAAACACCCACGGAAAACCTGCCACATGCAAATTCAGAAAGCATCCGATGGAAATCCCTAAGAGTTCCTTACCATCAGAATAAAAACACTACTTAGAGGTACGGCTGAAAGCACTGAAGTCAGCTTCACCCCAACCAGCCTTCCACTAAGCCTGAGAGATACAAATTAGAGCCATGGACTGTGCCTTCAAGACTGGGCTGAAACTAGCAACCAGCTGGAGTGGAAGTGCCAGGAGCTCAGTTTCCATGTTCAGTGCCTGTGGTGCATTTGAAGCAGGGAGCAGTGAATACTGCATCCTGGGCATTGACCAGCCACACGGGGGTTCCAGCTCTGCGTGCTGAGATCGGTCACAAGTATGCCCTGGGGATGCAGATTTGGAATCCGAGAACACTCTCCATGAGGCTAGAAGAGACCCATTGTGCTGTGATGAGCTGGGCAGCTATTTGAGGTGAAACTCACTTATCTGGTGTAACCAAAAGTGTCTGGCTGGTGAGCATCCAAAACTCTCCAATGAGGAGCCAAAGGAAAGCAAGAGGCACTCGCATATTTCCCTGGGCCTAACAATGGGGAGGCTCCCTCCCTCACTGTGTGCTGGGCACATATCCCATGCTGTGTGGGAAACCCGCCCTGCAGCAGGTGCATGGCCAGTGGACTCCCAGCCTGGGCAGGACCATTGCACCCTGCACTCCAGGGAAGGGAAAGCCCAGAGCTAGCTCTGGAGCCCATCCTGGGGGATAGGAAAAGAAGCAACTCACCCAGACCTGCAGAGGCAGCTCCATCCATCTCTGCTTAGCCTCCATACCACCCCGCCCAGAGGTAGGGAGCTGACCCAGGAGACGGTACTTCCAAGGGCTTACTTGGGGTGTTGATACTAGGATGTGCAGTTTAAAATCCATCCCGCGCCTGTTCCCCAAGCTCAGGCCTGGCTCAGTGGCGTTCCCCCAAGAGTACAAAGACATCCCATGGGACCTGTGGCCAGGACATGGTGATGGTGGAGCCTTCTGAGGAAAACAGGTTTCTTCTAGGAGGTTGCATCAGGCACTGACCCTGGCTCCTGCTCTTCTAATGTGTTTTGAAAGAAGCAACACAGTGTTACTTGGCCTTGTCTAGACAGGAAGTAGAATTGAGGCACATTCTAATGTGACTGAATTGTGGCACATCCACCTAGAATTTGCAGGCTGTGCATGTCCACACCGACCCACAGCAGCAGCACAGAGACTCCTGCAGTCTCTCCAGGACACAGAGACCTAAAGCCCACACTCCTCTGCAACGTGGCCAAGGTGGCTTAGCTTCCTTTATTTTGCAAAGAAATGTAGGACTTCTGTTTGGAAGCCACAGCAACCCACACAGGGTGCTCACTGTGCATACAGGACCTCCACTCCGGAGCCTCTGTATCCTCATGGGGAAGGAGCCTGTTCAGAACCCACAGCACTTTCGGATTTGTCTGGATCCTGGGGCAAATCTGTGCTTCTTCAAATCACATATTCTAGTCCCAACAGACAGAAAAGGTGCATGTTTAAACAAGCATTTTAGTGAGATGTTATTGCATTTCAGATAAATATGTGTGTAAGGTACTTTGAAAGTGTGTATTTGGCATTATATTGGCAGAGCATTTTTCCTTTGGGTCTGAAGGTAGAAATGGCTCTGGGGAAACTGCTTCTCTCTCTCTCTTTCTCTCTCTCTCTCTCCCTCTTTCTTTCTTTTTTTTCTCTCTCTCCCTTGTCTTTCTCTCTCTCTCTCTCTCTCTATATATATATATGTGTGTATATATATATATACACATATATATATATGTGTATATATATATACACACATATATATATATTTATCTGTGTGTGTGTGTGTGCGTGTGTGGAGATGCCCATATGTACACAAATATCCATATATAGAAACATATAGTGTTTTGTGGTTCTTTGATGTAGTATATGTTTTGAAACCCTTGAAATTGTTACATATTTTATGATGAAAGGTATTCAAGAGAAGTTTCAGAAGTTTTCTTTTAAAGAGCAAATTATAAATTGTATTTGATCTTTCAACCATAGTCTCAGCCTCAGAGAAGGCCCACATTAAACGTGAGGGCACTGGCAGGCCCCTGTCCGGAACCGTTCACTTGCTGGACACTTAGGGCCACCTTTCAGTCAAATGGGAAACAGGTTTATTCGGACAACTCAAATGCAGAGGGAGATGGCTGAAATACCAATGAACAAGGCCTGGAGGGTGGGCACCCTTCTCGCACCAACCTGGAGGAATGCCCTTAGGGTGGCGTTCCATGACGGGAGCGGCAATGGAGGCCCAGCACGCAGCAGGTGCCATCACATTTCCGCCAGTTAGGACAAACACACGAGGGACCTTCCAGTTCCTCCCCCTTGGCTCTGCTCTCCCAACTAGAAGACACAGAGGCCTCCAGAAGGCAGAGGAGTGTGGGGAACAAGTAACCGCTCCCACACTTCTCCTAAATGCACATGTATTTAAAAAAAATTAAAACATTCAAAGGCACCCTGCCAATGGTCCCTGGTGGGTCCCAGCTCTTAGAACTCATCTACCGGATGTCATGCTGGTCTGGGGGCCACTTGCTCCCTCAGTATCAGCGATAGAACTGCTGACCTCAGCCACATCAGCTACAGCACCCAATCTCTCCTGTGTTACATGAGCTACCCCCAAGCCAGCCCCCACCACGGTCCCCAGTCATCTCCTTGGCCCCTGGCTGCCTGTCTCCCTGACCCGATGCTCCCTGAAGGCAGGGGCTTTGAGACACCCACTGCCGTGTGCCCAGACCTCAGGCAGCGCCTGGCCCCAGGAATGTCCAGTTCACACTGGTGGAACAAAGGAAGAAGTCAGGGCTCTGCTGTTACAATGGGCTCCAGTAGCTGATGGTGCAGTGAGAATGTAACAACAATGCATTCACTGAGGCTTCTCCTACCCTTTCTCCCCTCAAACACAAAGTACTTAAGTGTGTTCTAGAGCATTCACTCTGCAATATTAGCAGGTGTTTCAAGGCCTAATACACTCGGAAAGCATTTGGCCACACCCAAAGGATAAACGTTTAGAGATCTTTCTAGGGGAGCTGCCATGAGCCTGGGACACGGCAGTGAGCACCACGGATCTATGGCAGGGGGTGCGCCCTCCCAAGTGCATTTGGTGGGACAGTGCGTCTGCGCGAGACCACTGGGCGATCCGGAGTCTGAGGCGCTTCCTTCGGAAAACGCCAGCACAGGTGGAGCTTTGGAGCAACGGCATCCTCTAGAGGTGCCCAGCCCAGGACGAGGCTCCTAGCAACAGGTGACTGCTGAGTCTTGACTGAGGCTTGATGAGTGCAGATTCACTAAGTGTAGAATGAACACCAGGTTCCAAAGACTTATGCAGAAACAAATGAAAATGTCTCATTAATAATGTTTATATTGATTACATGTTGACATGATAATATTTGGTATATATTGGAGTAAAAAAAATATAAAAATAATTTTACCTGTTTCTTTTTATTCCTGCACTGTGGCTATTAAGAATATATAAAATCACATAGGTGGCTCACATCATCTTTCAACTGGGCAGCACTGGCGGTGAGCCCTCCGTGTCCTGGCTCACCCTTGGACTTCCTCGACACTGACCTGCAGGGTGTTGGAACCTGATTCCACCCTTTGGATATACTCAAAGAAGAGCTCAGGCTCAGACCCTGCAGGCCTGGTCCTGCTCACCTGTCCAGGAAAGGCAGGGACTTCCTTCTGATAATGACACAGGTGGAAGGAAAATAGCAGAACAGGAGTTCTCTGAGGTCCTGCTCCAAATCTGCCCCGCGGAGGGTCCTAACTCCCCAAAGGACTCTTGGCAGGTGATGGGACCTCCCAGCTGACTTTCATGAGAGAGTCTGGCACAGGCCTTCTAGGAGGTGGCATCCAGGGCACTGGAGCCCTGTTCATACTGATGAATAGGCCACACTTCCACCTAGGTTCAAGGTAGCCCAGGTTCCTTTAAAATCTCCATCTGGCCATGTCTTACAAAACATGGCTTTCAAAGTCCACATCTGCAGGTCCCATTGTCTAAACATTTCCAGAGGATAGTGCCAACAGAGTTTCTGTATATGTGTAGTTTTGTAGAAAAAAGTTCCCTAGTTCCAAATTTTGCCCTGACTCTTGAGAATCAGGGTGAGAACAGCTAAAATTAAAGCAGAAATTTGAATTTGCTGGAGAACATCTTGAGGGTGATAAATCACAGGCAGCTCTCACGATGCAAAGGAATAGCTAGTTGCACACTGCACACAGTCCTGCCCCAGCCTGCAGAATCTTGTGCTGGTTGCTGGCTTACACCAAGCCCCAGCCTCTCCCGGAAGAGGAGGCATTGGTCACGGCCTCACTGGGGCCTGGGTGCATGAGAGGCTGCCTGGAGGCCCAGAGCCCCAGATGAGGTGCTAAGTGGTGCCAACTAGGAGGCCCACCAGCAGACAGGCTCTTCCATGTGCCAGGCTTTTGGAGATTGTGCGGGAAAGCTACCAGAAGACAGGCCTCACCCAGGGCTTTCTAAGAAGCCCACGGGTTGGGATTGGTCTTACTTGGGCTCCAGACAACCCCTGCATATTCTCCATCAACCTCCTGTGGCAGAAGGTTGGAAACTCTACACTGGGGGTGGCAGATGCATGGAGAAGCATCCTCCCTTTCAAAATTCAGCAACAGCAGTGTGTGCCCACGCCTCTAGATGCTCCTTTCTCTAGCATCAGTGGGGTCAGGGTGCCCCCTCTCTAAAAAGCCCTGGGAACATTTGAGTGCTGCTTTTTATAATCTTCAGGCCTCTTGGGACCCATAAGAATCTTGTATTTCCTCTCACTTCCCCAGAAAGGCCTGCCAGTTCTTTCTCTGAAAGCCAGTTGACTCCTTACCTCACTGTCTTTCACGGCTCCCTTTTGGTTTCGCATTAAAGGGCAGCCGTCAGGTGCTTCGGAAAATGGAGATGCCATTCAGTGGACTTTGGGCTCAAGCTCAAGGGTAACCGCTGCTCTGGGTTTGGCTTTTAAAAATCTCACCCAGTATCAGTTCTGGAAGAAAGAGACTGCACACGGCACCCAGCTCTGCCACATGGGCTGGAGGCAAGCTATCTGTCTCCGAAGGGCCTTTCAGTGACCAAGTCCCACTCTGAGGAGGGTGCAGCCCCGCACTGGCCACCAAGCTAGCAGGAGGCTGGGCTGGGTCCTGGCCACAGCTGAACGCCCATGCACCTCCAGGCTGATGACCTGGATGGTGTCCTTTGTGCCCCAGCCCATGCCCAAGGCCCTGGGCTCCTCCGCAGAGCAGAGTGGGCTGAGAGCCTGAGCACAGCACAGAGATTAGACTTAAGCCTTTAGTCTCTCTCAAGTGCTTAAATAACCACCTCTCCAGGCTCCCGTCGGCGCTGTTGAGAACGGCCGCCGGAGCTGCACTTTATCTGAATTCTTAAACTCTATCTTTAAAAATCTCTTTCTGGGTCAATTGTGTGCCTGTCTCTGCTTAGTTAACATCGCGGCCTGGCCTACAGTCGTGCCCTCCTGTTTAATGAGCTTGTTCTCACACAGCCTCTCTCATTTCAGAAGGAAGGAAGACAAGACCTTAAAATCCCTTGAAGTACCTTGCGACCTGCAGAAACCAGCCCCCAAATGCAGTCCATCAGCGCTTCCCAAGGCGTTTTGCGCCATGAGCCACTGTGCATCCCGATGTTTCTCTAGCAGCAAAGGTGGTCAGATGCATTTGCCTTTTACTTAGCAGAGACTTGCAATCCCTTTACGTTGCTCAGGAGTTCTTTCTCTCTAACCAGACTGCATGTTCTCTGTGGGAAGGGCCTGAGCCATACCCTTGCTCTAACAGGGTTTTGACTTTTGTAACCACCGGACAAAAAGTTTTGACATTTTTTGTTGGAGTTGAGAGAGGAAGGTGGCCTCCACGGAAGCAGGGAGTAGAGACAAAATGTCTCTGGTTTATTGGCAGGGGCCCCTGGAAAGGCACTGAACTTCTGAGTCTTTTTTTTTGGAAATTGCCAAAATGTCTACCTCCTGGGAGCCTGAGAGCCAAAAAAATAATGGGTATGTAGAAGGAATTGGTAAACTGTAAAGTCTAAACTGAGTGTCATGAGTAGCTGAAAATCGAGGGGAAATCAGAACCACAACTCCTTGCCCACTTAATGAAGGCTGGAAGGGTTTCCTGCCTCTTGGAAGCTGCTTTCCCAATACACTGTTCTCAGAGGCTGTCAGTGGATCAGATTTTCCCCACCTTGTGCTTTAGACCAGGTCGGAACTGAAGGCCAGGATTTCAGGACATGCAGGCAACTTCCAGACACAGAGCTGAAGGAAGTCTGAATAGGAGCAGGTGGCTACACGGCCACAGCCCTTGCCCTGCCTCTTTCCAGGTGATCTGCTTGGGAAGGTCAGGAAGCTGCTGGCAGAGCTCAGGTTATCCACCTGGAAGCTAATCCCAAGATATGTCATTGTGCTACCCCTATTGTGAGCAACAGGAGCTCAACCCTGGAGACTGGGGATCTGATCCACTGATAGCCTCTGAGAACAGTTTATTGGGAAAGTAGCTTCCAAGAGGTGCAAAAGTCTTCCAGCCTTTAGTAAGAGGGCAAGGAGTTGTGGTTCTGATTTCCCCTCGATCGTCAGCTACTAATGACACTGAGTTTAGACTTCATAGTTTACAAATTCCTTTTACATACCCATTACTCTTTTGCCTCCCAGGCTCCTCAGGAGGTAGACATTTTGGCAATTTCCAATTTAGAGAAAAGACTCAGAAATTGGGTGCCTTTCCAGGGGCCCCTCCAATAAACCAGAAACTTTCAGTCTCTACTCTCTCCTTCTGTGGAGGTCATTTTCCTTTCTCATCCCTAACAAAAAAATGTTTAAACTCTTTGTCCAGGGATTACAAAAAGTCAAACCCTACTAGGGGTGCCATGTAGAACGGGCCTTAGAAAGTGTGGCGGTAAAACAAAGGCAATGTTTATCTACTAGATCCCATCCTAGGTCAGTCAGGATGTGTCCTCTGGCGTGCTAATTCCTTCCCACTTACTGGTGGGCATTTGCATTGGAAAGGGTAGGAGAGATTCTGCAGGTTCCCCCTGCAGTGGCAGCAGAGAGTCAGAGGTGCCGCAGCCACTGAGGACAGGGGCTGTCAGGTACACCTGACACAGCTGGGTGTGTCAGCAATGGCTGCAATGAGCAGGTGGAACAAGAGGGCAGGAGGTGGGAAAAAGCAGAACCCAACTCATCACACAGGGGTGTAACCATAGCTCAGGGCTCGGAGGTAAAACACCTCGTGGAAGAAGACTTGTCAATCGTAATCACAAGAGTGTAAGTCCAGTGTTGTGAATGAATCAACACTCAACAGACAAGAGACCACAGCGCTAACTGGAAAGGATCTTGAAGTAACTCAACCATTAAAGCCCCCACAAGATTAAAGACAGACTCATTATGTATGAAATAGTAACAAGTGGTTATGATAAAAGATGAGGTGCTTATACAACAAGAAGACATAGTTACAAAAATAAAAACAACTAGAAATTGTGAAAATAATATAGTTATAAAAAACTCAATAGATGACTAAATAGTTCATGAATCACTGACGAAAAGCAACTAATTAACTAAAAGACAGAAGAGAGAAAATGACATGAACTGCCGCAGAGAAAGTCTGAGACACAAAGGGATGAAAACAGGAAAGGAGGACGAAGGTGGATTGAGACGCTGCAGCGCACAGCCTCAGTGAGGCTCAGAGAGAGAAGACAGATAAGATGTTGGTGAGGTAATGTTCAAACTGATGATAATGAAGAATTTTCTAGAACCAAAGCACTGAATGAATTAGATATAAAAATTCAATTAAATGCCTATAGAATCGGTAAAAAGGAACCCGTACCTAGACATGTCACCATGTAACTGCAGAATGCCAAGGATAAAGAGGAACATCCAGAGGCAGCTCCAGGGAAAGCAAAGATCAGCTACAAAATAACTACAGCCGGCAGAGGCAGACTTCTTCTCATCAGCTTCAACAGAGACCAGGAAACAATGAAAGGATAGCTTCAAGACGCTGAAGACAACTTACTGTGAACCCGAAAATCGACATCCATTCAAGTTGCCATGAAAGAATGCAGTGGAATGGAAATATTTTCAGATAGAAAGGGGATCAGAAAGTCTGATCCCTGCTAAAAATTACTTAGGGAATGCACTGTAGCAAGGAAAAAAGAAACCCAAGAAAGTCCTGAAATTCAGAAATAAATGGTGAGCACCAAAAAATCAATAACATGTAAATACTGTATTTTGGAAATTTTTTAAACTAGACATTGAAAGAGACCGATAATGAAACCATAATAAAAGTATTAACTTTTTGGCATATATTTTGAATTAAACATTTTCTCCCCTAAAATGTATGTGTTGAAGCCCTAGCTTCCAGCGTGACCGTATTTGGTGGCAGAATGGCTAAGGAAGAAATTAAGCTTAAATGAGGTCATAGGCATGGGACCCATAGGATCAGTATCCTTATAAGGAGAGACACCAGAGAGCTTGCTCTCACTCCCTCTCTCACCCTCCACATCACACACTGAGGAAAACCCTGGGAGGACATCACCATGAGGCAGTGAGGTGGGTGGTGGCTGCCTGCAAGCCAGGAAGATGTGAGGACATCACCATGAGGCAGTGAGGTGGGTGGTGGCTGCCTGCAAGGCAGGAAGAGACCCTCACTAGAAACTGACCCTGCCAGACCTTGATCTGGGCCTCCCAGCCTCCAGAGCCGTGAGAAAAGAAATGCGTCATGTTGATACCTCCCAGGCCATGGTGTTTTGTGATGGTAGCCTGTGCTAAGACAATGTATATCAATAAGCCTGTGATAAACTGCCAGGCAATCATGTAGGAGTTGGGAGAAGCTTTGGAGTGGAATCAGTGTGCTAAAGTTCTTGCTCATCAAATTTAGTCTTTGCTAAAATAGGTGAGTTTACATTTTAAGTTTTAGCATTAAGCTTTTAGAAATAAAAGACATTGTTCTTCACCCAGTAAAGAAAAAAATAGGACAAAATACCCTCAGGTTGAGTGAAGGAGCAGCAACCTGACACACTTTGGGATACCCTTTGTGGAAGATGCATGTAAAATATTACAGTCACCTGGAAATAATTATGGGTGGGAAGATAAAGTGTCTGACATTAAAGACGTAATTATTCTTTTAAAAAGAGAAATAACATTGAGTATAATTAAGTATTGTCTCTGCTTTGCTCATTCTTTAGCTTCGAGATACCCATAAGTCCAAACGGCCCTATTAGGGTATCAGTGTGAACCCTGATGTCAGTATGGATGTGGGGCTTCCAACACTCATCATGCCAAAACCTGCCCTGCACCCAAACAGTGTCTTTGTATTTTGTGGTCAAGGTGAATCTTGAAACTGACCATATTCTCCTCATGGTTTTGGCTACTGGGAAAATCAGGTCATTATTTAGGAGCTAACTCTAGTGGCTGTGAAAGTCATTACAGCATCCAATGACCCTACATTCACTCGGCCCCACTTTACTATTCAAAATTCCTTTTCCCTTTGATCTAATGTCCTTATCTTGTTTGTTTCACTCCCTAATTACTGTTTGTGTGACCTTGAGCAAGGAACTTTACTTCTTTGTGGCTCGTGTCTGTAAAATTTCAATAATTAATAGCACCTGTGTGTTAGGATTAAATGGGTTGTGTGTATGTATGCGTGTGTTTGTCTGGGTGTGTGTCTGCATGTGCATGCTGCCTGTGCGTGCATGTCTGTGTGTGTGTACGTGCGTGCACATCACTCAGGTTAGGAAGGCACACAGGGCACTGGTGAGGCTCAGCAAACATGGGCCATCATCACCACTATCCTGAGGATGCAATTTTGTGAACTACCTCAAGTGATGAGATCAGAGGGAGAATAAATGAATGAGAATATTTATTGAGTAAACACTAAAAACTAATGGAAGGCACAGAGCTAGGATGTCTCAAAAAGAAAGGCATGTCATATTTGCTATCATGCTCCTAATAAGACAGATGAAAAAACAACTAAGTAAATAAATGTGCAAAGGAGGCTGTAGAAGATGAGAGAAGGCCCAGTATTCCATCGCTCATGGGTAGGAAGTGTGTGTAGCATATGTAGAGGATTGAAGCTGGCCGAGTAGCATAGAGTGAGCACCACCAAGCCACTGAGCAAAATGCGAGTGTAACTGGCACAAGCCTTCACAGAGGCAGACAAAAATCCCAGGGTCGAGGTTCAGGAAACCGAAAGTTTTATTAAGCATTTACCACGTGCCAGGCACCTTGCTGTCGGTTTCAGATAGTTGGTTTCATTTACCCTTTCGGGTAACATTATTACCAGAAATGTAGAGATGAGGATGTGGGGAAGGAAGAGTTCAAGTAAAGTTCCTACAGTTGACAGCTGTGGCCCTCCAGGGCCCAGGACTGTAGTCACCACAAGCTTGTGCCCAGGCTCTCAGAATAGCCAAGCCTCCCACAGGCTGACATCTGTGCAGTCCGGGGGCTGACCCTGGTAGGTGTGAAGCCCAACATTGCCACAGCCTTTTCCCACAGCAGGGAGCAGTGTTGCTTCCGGGGTGTCTGCAGAGCTTTGCCGTTGCATTGTTTGTTGCTCTCTGAGAAAGGGAAGCACCAAGAAGGCCGGTGTCCAGTTGCCTGTGAGTGCGGCTCCTCCAGGAACCAGGAAATGCCCATCTGGAGCTCCCGGGCTGAGGGTCAGCCACAAGGCTGAGCTGCGTCCTCAGCGTGGCTGTCAACCCATGTGCGTTCCATGCCTCAACTCTGCTGTGAGAACAACAGGGAGGGAAATTCGAATCAGCTTTTGACAGAGACTCAGGAAGTCTAACAGTTTAAAATTTCCAAAGCAGGACACGGTTTTAACATGGTGCATGGCTTGTGTTGTCTCCTGCAGGCGACACGCCCTGTCAAGGATCCCCCAGGACCTGTGCACCCCCCAACCCCAGGGCCCTCTCTCAACAAGCTCTGGCTCTACCATTCCTTCTCCCTCTCCATCTCCATCATGTTAGCCTTTTTAAAAATGTGCATTCTTTCCTGAGGTGGAGGAAAGCAGTCTGACTAGGACAAGTGTAAGTGATGGTTCCAACCACCCCATTTTAAAAGAGAACAACTGCTCTGTGTGTGTGTCAATGGCCCATTTCTTTTCATTGCCGAGTAGTAGTCCCTTGCATGGATGTACCACCATCTGCTTATCCAGTCACCTGTCGATGGACAGTGGGTTGTTTCCAGTCTGGGCCTTTACAGATAAAGCTGCTAGAAGCTTTGTAAATCTCTGCTTTTAAAAACACCTCTTTAAAAAGAAAGTGATAACCCGGACAAAGAACCCTTATCTGAAGGTGCCTGGCCAAGAGATCACCACCCACCATTTCCTCCCCATACATGTCTTGACTCAGAATAGGGGCCTTTTCAAGGCCCAGTTTGCTCTGCTTTTTCCTGTGACTGCAGGAGATTCACTCTCAACTCCAGCCTTGAACCAGTCCCTTCCCATCAACCAGTCCCCTTTGAAGCTGAGCAAATGAGGGGCTACTACTTAGGCAGAGCCAAAGGAGGTTGGATTAACCATAATCATGCATAATTTACGTGGAGTTTGTGCAGCCGTGAAAATAGGCCAAGGCATATTTTAGACAGTAAATCAGACTTGATGAATTGGAAAGGCTGTTTGGCCTGGGTCATTTCCAGGGAAGCCTGCATGGCTGCTTTCCAGCCAGCCTGACTCAGTTTCCCCTCGAGCAGCCATCCGAAGGGCCAGCTTTCCTTATGTCAGCCAGCGGCTCCTGCCGCTGTCACAGCAGGCATCTCAGGGTGTGGACTGTGACTTCACCGGGGGCACAGGGCTGAGTCTCACTGAGAAATTCTGCAAGGGATCTGAATCAGTGATTTCTCCAAAGAACCGGACAGGGGCCTTGCCTGTTTCCCCGCATGTGTGCCACTGCCGGCTGGGCCACCACAAACAGGGCTGTGTACCTTTAAGAAGCAAAAATTAATGCAAAGCTTATTACAATCCCGGTGGTTGCTAGCACTCTCTCTCTTCCACTGCCCAAGTGTCTGAATTTCAGCTTCAGATGAGTGTGGCCTGCTGGGATTTGAGCTGCCAGTTTAATTAGTGTTCAGTAATTTCAATAATGAGTGACAATTCATCGGGGCTTTTAGGTTGGTCTTCTGTTCAGAAGCAAATCAATAATCCACAGTTTTTCCCCTTCTTTAAAGACAAGAAAGTGGCATGTGAGTTACATCAGATGAGAGAAAATAAATGAGGAAACGCTCAAGTCCCTCAGTAACTGGAGAGGCAATTGGCTTTAATGGCATGGGCAGCCTCCCTGGTTTGTTGATGTTATTGGAGGAACAGAAAGGTCATTAGTAGCTGGAAAGAGGCTCTCGGATTCTCACCGTAAACAGTTTGCCCTGGCTGTAACCATAGTGATTTGGGTAAATGAACACAGGTATACGGATTACTACTGTATTCCCCAGGCTGCCTGTATTATTGCCTCCGAAGATATAAAAACAATTGAGGCTAATTGTATGAGAGTGAGTTTATTACAAACATAAATGGAAAGGAGAAAAGAAAACCAGAGATGTTTTCCTGGAGACTCCCCCTACCTCTGTATCTATCATCTACGCCCATGCTGGCGTCTGATCTGCCGTTGCTGTCCTCTTGTCCTGGGCTGCCTTCGGAAAGGCACCACGCGTGGAGATGCACTGTTGCTGGAAATTGGGGCTTCTGTGGGTTTGGAGATCTGGTTTTAAGTGGGCTGTCATTAGGCTCCAAAGTGCGATCAGGACTCGCAATTATTTTTGTACTGCTGGTGGCTGCACGGACCAGAGGCGCTTCAAAGCCAAGGAAACGCATTTATCTCACCTAAGGCATCGGGATGGTACGCCTTGCCCCAGCCAGTGGCTGAAAAGTTACCTGCATTATGGCGGGTACCCTGCCAGTCAGCGGGAGCGGTAGCTTTTTTGTAAACTCGCATGCTCCCTTTTGTTACAGCTACAAAGACTCCATCTTCATAAGGTGTTGTGATTTGCCGTATACAAACCCATTAAAAAAGCACAAATGAAATCCCCAGCTGGGAAGGTCAAGTCTAATGAGGTGGGCTGTTGCGAGGAGTGGTAGCTCACAGCATCCCCCATGTAGGCCAGAGGTGCTCCAAGTGAACAGCTGCTTATAATTATTCTCATCTGACACTTTTCATTCACCTCAGGTGCTATTTTTTTTTCTCACAAGAGAACAGATTAATTGTATATCAACTGATATACATAAAAAAGGGTTTGATAGAAGGCTTAATAAAGTAACATTAAATAGGCAATCCCACTGAAATTCTAATGTGTATATTCTTAATTAAATTCCCTTGTACTGTTCAGTAATTCAGGTGCATCCTGTTTCCTTTTGCACTCACGGAATAGAAAGCCTGGAATGAGGGCAGAAAGGAAGACAGGCGCACGACGATATCACACTTTCTTCCTTTCAATCCCTGCCCACCTAGGAGGAGTCTGAAAAGAAAAAAAGAAAAGGAAATTGGCAAAGTGGTACCCAAGCTCTTATTGGAACCTGTGCCAGATTCTAACACTAAAGAATCCATTTGTGCCCGTTAGGATTTTCAGAGTAGTTACCTTGTGCCGGGTGAGAAGGTGTAGCCTCATTAAAATAAAGGATTCAAATGAGAGAAAAATAATAGAGAGAAAGAAAAGAGTAGAGAGAGAGAAAGAAAATAAGAGAAGGAAAAGAAGGAGAAAGAGGAGAAGGTGAAAAAAGAGAAGGACATGAAGAAGAAGAAAAGGGGAAGAGAAAGAAGGAGATTATGAAGTAGAAGAAAAGGAATTCTGAGGAGAAAGAGCTGCTCAGCAGCCCTGGGTTCACTCCAGAGTGTAACTGTTGAGCTAGAGAAGAATAAATATGTGTTTAAAACCAACATGTAGAGGTAATGATGTGGTTGTAATTCATTAACTGCCTTGAAGGGAATCCTGCAAAGGCCCTTTGCTCAGCTCCAGAGCAGCTGCACCAAGAACAGCACCTCGGGGCCATCCTCTTTCAACTGTCCAATTTTGCCGCGTTGGGGAAATTGCAGATTTTCCTTGCAGGCCTAAAAGTAACTCTTTTGCTACAAGGGAAGAGAGAATATCAAAACAAGGCAAGTAAAGTGAAGTACTTTTTTCCAAAATATTTGCATGGAAATAGCCATAGGATTGATAGAGACAGAAGCCATTGCTGAATTGTCTGGAAAATGGCATGACTCTTGGTCAGATGCAGATTGATAACTTGGTTTGTAAAGTAAGTATATGACAATTCAGATAGATCGGGACTCAGCAGGCACAGCCCGGAGGACCTGCCAGTATACAAACACATTAAAGATGGCGGTGACCTCCTGCCAGGCAAGGAGGCCCTGCTGGAAGGAATAACTTGAATAGCTTCTGAAGTCAATGGGCTTCCTGGCCTGTGAGTTGAATCCCACCAGCAGGAAGAACAATCTGGAATCCTTGTGCTCACATGGTGCATTGCACTGTCACATGGACCACTGGATTTGTAGAAGAACCGATGATGACCAGGCTCTGCTACACGGAAGCTGCATGACCACAGGCAAGACACTGGCCCCACAAGCCTCAGTGACCTTTTCCATAGATGGGCTAATACTGTCCACCTTCCAGGTCTCATGCTCTCACATGTCCATTCACTGACTGTCCCCTAGCTCCCTGCACTGTGCCAGGGGCTGCCTTGTCCTCTGCAAAGGGACATGACCATGCCTTGCCCCCATGGAGTCGTGCTGGTGGATGCAACAGCAGACACAAATGCCACAGTGTCCGGCATCCATGAGTGCTGTGGAGGAAGGGATCATTTAGGGACCATCCCAGGGATGGCTGGGTTTCCTGGCAGGACCTCTCTGCCCAGAGTTGAAGGAAGCAGCCTGGAGAAGGCAGCAGAAAGGCATTCTGGGCCCAGAGAAACTCAAGGGTGATGAGCTGGTACAGAGGTGACCCTGGCTTGCAGGTGAGGCTGAAGGGTGTGGCAGGAGCGAGACCCAGGCTGTGATGGGCCACTTGAACTCCGAGAGCCATGGGAATCTCCAGAGCATCATGCCCAGAAAACCATCAGTCCAAGAGCACCAGCTGAGGTGTGGAGAGTGGGGCAACCGGGAGGAGGCTAAGCAGAGACCCACTGAAAGGCTGTTAGTGACTCTCAGTGATGGTGGAGCTGGAGGAAGATGGCAGTGACTTGAGCTAGGTTCATGGCAGCAGGATAGAATGTCAGGGCCAGATCTGGGACATGTGTGGGATGGAGAGCTGCAAGCACTCTAAGGACAGCACCCAGAGCCGTGTGGCCTGAGCCGTGGCCAGGGGCAGGGTGAGAAGGCAAGGAAGCCTGTGTCAGGGGAAGAGGCTGGAGGAATCTGAGGTTCAGCTGGAGATGCCTGCAGACACTCCAGGGCCGGTAGGCAGTTAGGAGGCCTGAATGAGACGCTGCAGACCCTCAGTGAATGCCCCCCAGTGCAACAGAAATAAGGTAGGAATGAAAACAACACGGCACAAACCATTCTGAGCTGTATTTGTGATTCCTCTGTCACTGTTAGTCTCGCCGGAAGCTGAGCATAGAATCTTCCATGGTTGTAAGAGTGAAACCTGAAAAATAATTAAATGCACACAAGCAGGTACACACATATACATACAATACAACATATAAGCACACGTACACACAATAGATGAAGACGAGCCCACACAATCCTACATATACAAGTGCACGCTCATGTATGTACACACAGATGTGTACATATATGCTTACATGCATGCACACATATGCATATGTGCACACATACACAATATACACATGCACCTACACACAGACTCTCAGGCGCCTCTGAAGTCCTTTGGCTGTCAGTGCTGGCATGGAAAAGCCTTCAGTGCCTGCACGGTATATAAGATTTGTTCTGGCCAAAATGCACGAAAGGTCTTACTGGAACCTTCTTAGATTCTTTATCTTTCTGGGCCTGAAAGGTGGTTTTTCCCCCATCTGCTTCAGGTGGGTCCCAAGGAACTTTGAGTTAAACCTGCAGAATTGGGGCAGCTCAATCCAAGAAGATACCTGTGCTGCCCTTAGAGCAATGGGGCTAGAGTTGTTCCTCTCCTGAGACAGGACAAGCATTGCTTTGCTAGCTGACCTTAATAGGAAAGCGAAAATTCTCTTCCTTGTCAGGAACCAGACAGGGCAGGTGGACCTCCTGCGCCAGTTGGCTCTGTCCTGGCCTGAAGATTCCATGGCAGGTGCTTGGTTTCCTTCAAGGGCAGTCGGCCACCTGCCACCCCACCCAAAACCTGTGTCCTGTAGGCCCAGACAAGAGCAGCAGGAGCCAGGTGAGCATCTTGTAGGAGGTGCCTCCTTGCTCTTTCCAGCCACAGCCCTCACTCCAGCCCTCCTTCCCACTAAGCCCCCAAGGGCTTGCTCTTGCCTGCCAGATAAGGTCTCAGTGGCTGAGCGCCCCTTCCTGACCTGTCATGTGACCCTGCTTCCTGCCTGACCCTCTCCACCATGGAGTCTCCTGACCATGGAGTCTCCTGCCTGACCCTCTCCACCGTGGAGTCTCCCGGCTCATCCAAGCTGGGCTCGTGGCTGTTCTCCTAAACGCTCCCTGTGTGTGGCTCTACAGGCCTCGGCTCAGGCTGCTCCCTCATCTTGCACAAGTATCCCATGACTCTTGTTGACTCTCAAACCTTATGCTGAAGACAGCCCCTGAGCCTGGGCCTCTGGGACCAGCGGCCAGACCAGTGTCAACATAACACCCAACAGCTGGGTAAAAACCAAAAATGTCTATCTGGAATTCTCACAGATAGACTGTCCCCAGACAACCAGATGCTCAACTTCATGGAAAAAAAACAATGAGACTTGGGTTATGGAAACTCTATAGCCGAGAGCATGGCTTACTGTAGCCAATGTCAACCAGGATCTGGGGCTTGGAGAGAACGAGCCTGCAAATCCATCACCAATTAGAAGCCCTTGAAACTCAAAGATATTCAGAGGGTGAATCTAGGTCAGAATGACTGAAAAGTCCATCTTCCCAAAGGAGAGATGGGGCATTCCTCCCATGGCCGCGGTTCCCTCTCTGTCGATTTGCTAACCCGCCAACTGTGCCCCAGGGCAGGGGAAGCCATCAATCCAAACTTCTTTGACCTCTTGAGACAGGGAAGCTCTGTGCTGGGTTCCTTCCTAGACATATCAGACAGAATCCTCACCCAACCTTGTGAAAAGTACCATTATTATCCCATTTTTAGATGAGGAAATGAAGGCTCAGCTAGAACAAATAAACTATCTGAGACCACCCAACTGGGATATGATGGAATCTTGACATGAGGCAACCACCCAACTGGGAGATGGTGGAAACTTGACATGAGGCACTGATGTTTTCAAGGCATTTCTTCAAGCTGTGCCTACCTTTAAGCAAAAGGAGACATATTCTCCATCTGACATCACCATTAAAACTTCAGTTCCTCATAGCAAAATCTAAGACACAGAACGAACAGTAAGAATTTAAACATCTAAACCACACAATACATATTTTTTAATGTTTGAAATTCTGTAGAGGTGAAAATGGCCCAGGACGGTGGGCTTTGGCTTGGCACGGGCAGGTCCCAGACCTCGGTGAGCTTCCACATCTCCCTCCACATGGCAGCCAGGAAGAGGACGCTGGGCAGTGGAGATGTAGTTTTTGGGAACTAGGAATTGCAAACGGAGGCCACACAGGTGTGCAGGGGCCTTCCCTGCTGTGATGATGGAAGTCACATCAATTTTGGCGGTCAGTCCAGCAACTATTAGGGCTTTTGTGAGCAGCTTCACCCCGACAATACCTCTCACAGAACGAGCTGCCCTTCTAGTCTGACTGCCTTGCTCCTGCACGCCGAACTTCTTGTCTCAGCGGGATGTGAGAGGATCTGCTGACCTTCCCTGCAAGCTCAACTGGAAAAGACATGACAGACGCAGGCCCCGACAGGGAGCAAGGCAGAGCGCTCCGACAGAGTCATTCAGCAACCACTGGGCACTGGTGCTTGCCAGGCAACAGGCACCTACTGTGTGGGAGGAACTGGACCCACTGTGTGTGAGGAATGCAGACCCACTGTGTGTGAGGAATGCAGACCCACTAGTTGTGAGGCCTGGGGCTGGGAGTTGGGGGATAAAACTGACAATTGGCTGTCATGAGGAAGACTCAGTAGCCTCTCTGTCAGTCCCTTCATAGTCAGGGAGGCGCTGGCATCTGAATGTCCCCTGCCTAGTAGGGCAGTCTTGCCCTTTGACTCAAGCCTTTCTTTAGGAGACACAGGAGGGTCCCAAGAAGTTTCCAGAAGAAATGCCAGGAAGTCAGAACCTGTTCCTGAACCTCACTGCCTGCAGCCTGCAGGATGCCAGGGACTGGGAAGCCGGGCGCAGCCTCTCTCTCCGGGTGATGAGGCCCAGCACACAGGACCTGGATGGGGAGGAACACATGAGATCAACCCCCAGCCCCGCCCCTGAAGGCCGTCCCTGCATTCCCTGGGCTTTAGTTGGCTTGTCCTGAAATAACGGGTCTGAAAGAGGTCATGGCCTCATTCCTGCCCTCTGTAAAGTCCATGCCCACCTTTTTAGCCATCTCTCACTAAGGTTTCCTTCTGGGCTACAGGCATCAAGTTCCTGCCCAGGAGCAGTTCGAGGTGGTCTGGTCTCCCAGACTGGCCAGGACAGGGTCCCGTGCGTGGGCTGGAGCTGGGAGAAGAGGCAGTGGAGAGCGATCCCCACACGGGGCATCTCTGTGAGCAGTTTCCACTTCGTCCCCGGCTCCAATCAGAGGAAAGCAATGAGCCCGACATCTTTGTTTTATACACATGCCCTCTGAGGGTCGGGTCTGGAGACAGAGGCAGGGTGGGGGCCACAGCTGGAAGAGAAGGGCAAAAGCCACGCGGGCATTTTGAAAACTGTCACTTTAAAATATGGGGTATCCCCACTCAGGCTTCCAGGCAGGGCCACCCCCTGCTGATGAGGAAAAGAGCTGGTGGAAAAGAAAACCGGCTAGCAGCCCTAAGGAGGCTGGAGCCCGCGTGTGGGGGAAACTTGTTTTTCAAAGAAAAAGAAGAGAACTGCTGAGCCAAAGCATGCATACACTTTCTCTTTAAAATTCACATCAATACACAATGGAGGCTACGCCAACAGAAGCATCTATGAACACACACACACACATATACATCGGCAGAGCCTTACCTTCGTGTTTAGATGTAAAAATCTTCCCTGTTTTCTTAGCAATAAGAAATGAATGGATTTCTTTAGACTTGAAGCTGGACGATGACTTTGGAGAACTTGAAAACCCCACCATGTGGCCATGGGTCTCCCCTGTAGAAACTGCCACCAGTGGGGTCCAGTGATTAAATTTCATGAGCTGAGTGGCATTGGAATCACGTGCGTGGCTTTTAAATCCCAAGTAGTCCCTGATTTTTTTTTTAATATCTGCCAAACAGAACAATGAGACCCTTTTAAGTCCCCCAGTGAGCAACTATTAAAACCACAATTTACAACTGTACATATCATCTAACGTGTTAACCAGGTGTTCCAGTGTTATTGTTTGAAATTCTACCTTGGTTTAAATCAAATGAAGAAAAGCCAAAAGTCCAATTAAAATCCCACATTGCCTCTTTATCGAGGGTAGGTAAAAGACATTCGTTGTAGATTTAAGGGCAGAAATCTCATAAAATGCTAGGCCATCCTTTTTGCTTCTCAGTTTCTTATTTCTTACTAGATTCTCACAGCTTACTGGCATTTCCTGTTCCTAGCTGAGGGAAAGAAAAAAAAAAAAAGAACGAGAATAAATCTAGGAATTTCTGGCTTAATTTTAGTAGCATCCTGGACACTCTAGCTGAATTTGACAATTGAGTGTTGTCATGGGATGTTAAAATTGCGCAGTGGGCTCATTTAGTCGATTATTTCACAGGCTGTCCCTTAATAA
The DNA here is from genome assembly GCF_000001405.40 of Homo sapiens. NCBI lineage: Eukaryota > Metazoa > Chordata > Mammalia > Primates > Hominidae > Homo > Homo sapiens. The sequence goes on along the minus strand of NC_000010.11, from coordinate 128,714,457 downwards.
GTTCCATGCCTCTGCTGGGCCCTTCTTGCCAACATGTGTCCATTGTGTTTAATAGTTCAGTGACAACAAATTTATGTTGCTAAGCTCCAAAAAGTGAATCCAACCCAAATACCTCCCCCAACTGCCTTTGCAGACATTGACCAAGGCAATATGGAATTCAGTTGTCTTCACTCGATGTAATTATTTCCAGACTTAAACTGCCTGTCTTTGTCTTTGGCCATTTTTCTCATTCCATCATGACCCTGAAATACTGGTGATACTTTGGGTTTGTGGTTTTCTACTTAGATTTCATTGTCACCTCCCTCCCACCATTGAATCTTCTGTAGACCTTCATATGCCTCCAAGTCTTCTTCCTTTCCCAGCGGACTCTCCTTTCTCTCTCCCTGGCAGAATGAGCTTTGCAGAATGAGCTTTGCCGTGAAGCTGGCTCACACAGTTCCCTGGGCCCACCTTCCTCTTCCAGGGGATGAAATTGAAACAAAAGGATTTTTTGGTGCCCTGGGTGCACTATAATAAATAGGATAATCTGATCAATCAGATCAATTTTTTTTCTTTTCACAGAATTCGTGAAACTGAAAAAAAAAATGTGTCTGTTACAGCACATCTGTTCTCCTTTACGCCTTATTTAAGAAAATAATTCTTGCCAGATTTTTACCCACCCATAATCATTACACCATTTTTACAGATGTGGTTTTTAACAGCTTCATTTTGGCCCCAAATCTTTTATACAATTTGCAATGAATTTGCTTCTTGGCTTGCACTTCATTATGATTTGGCAATAAACAGAGGGAGGTAAACGAATCTGTTCCCAGGACTACACCTTTCATGAATGTTCTGCTAACCCAAACGAGGAGAGCAAAAACGATCACTGTCATCATTACCGTTATTATTGTTATTATTATCAGCAGCAGCAGAACAAGACTTATAAGTTTTGCACTTGAGTATTTCATTTGGCAGTCACCCTTGGATTGTTTTTCTTTATTCTTAATTATCTACTCCCTTTCTGAGCCCAGCCCGGAGAAGGGCTGTTCTTGCAAGTCCCTGGATGCAGACAAGGAGACAGGTCTCTCCTCCTAGACAGCATTCAGCAACCCCATCTCAACAATGTGCTATGCACAGGACAAGCACTGTACAAGGAGCCCCCCCCGGTCCAGGTGAGTGCCCAGCACCCTGGTGGGTGAGGCAGATACAGAGAGGCCACCGGAAGGGGAGCAGGTGTCATCCTGTGCCAGAGGCTCCAGATATGCCGTTGAGGAAGGTGGGAGCTAAACACAAGGCCAACTAAGAACCAACAGAGTCAGGCAGACGGAGCCGGGAGCGGCTGCGATGGAAGCCCTGAGCACACTGGGAGGAACCGGTGTGGATGATGATGTGGGCCATAAGCTGGAATCTCCACCAAAGAGAACCAGCAATAGTGCTGCACACTTCCAGGTGTTTGTCCACGGGTTGTGTCCTTTAGTGCTCATGGCAAACTTTGGTGGTAAATGCTCCGTCCCCATGTAGATAGGGAAACAGACTCAGTGAGATGGCGTCCACTGTGGTGGCAAAGCTCGTGCACCCCGTAGGTGTCATGCTGTGGCCACATGGGGGCTCGGGCAGGTCTCTTGGCCTTCCCTGTAGGTTGTCTTCTGAGAGATTAGAGTTGGCGCCACCATCAGAACCCATGTGAGCTGCACTGTATCGTGCCAGTTTCCGATTACGAAGCATGAGTTCCTGCTGGCCTTGGAGCCACCTGAGGACACACACCACTGGGAACAGGAAAGAACTCAAGTACAAGACACCACAGTCAGAAAAAGATGCCCATGTGCCAAGGGCCAGCACAGGTTCAATCTCCACAACCACAGGATGGGGGTCACCAATCCCCAGGTTGGTCACCAATTTCTGCTGCCTGCTGGTCCCCATATGGCTTGGCATTCCTAAGTTTGCTGGATTTCATTAGTTTGCTTTTTGTCCCGAACGTTCTGCACTGTGTTGACATAGACATGAAAATTATTTATCTTCTTTAATATCCACCCAAAACAACAGCAACAACAAAAATAATGCAAGCAAACAAAAATCACTCACAGGAGAGTCAGACTTTCCTGAAGTGGAATACACGGAAGGGTTGACATTGCCAAGACAAAAACCACTGGAAATGGAATGTGAGATAAACAAAATATTCTTTTAAACCTATTTCTAGTCTATTCTCACAGCTCAGACCCAGGCCTCCCAAACTATGGTTTGAGCCTCCACTCTTGCCTCTTCTCTTTCTGCTTCCTCCCTCCCGGTCCAACAACAAAATCTTGCCATTTGCTCCTACTGGTTGATTCTGCCTTTCTCAGCTGGTTCTCTCAATCCTGGCTCCAGGCCTCTCAGGCGGAAGCAGAGGAATCAAGTTCATCAAAGTCCTCAACCCTAAGGCTTGCTCTAGGTTGGTGGTGGTTGCATTTTTTTCTAGTTAGTAAATAGTTCTGCAACGACTGCAAAGAAAAAATGCAACAAACTGAGCAAGGCCCTGCATCGCAGCATGCCAAGGCGTGCTCCATCGGAGCCTCGGGGCAGGGAAGGCCTGAGGCAGGGCAGCATCTGGTGGCATCTGCTGCTGCCACTCCCAGTCCTCTGCAGGCACCTTTTGGTGGGTCCTCTGCTGGGCAGACAGCGCTATCCCCGAAGCAGAATGGTTTCTCTTCTCCAGCACCGGTGCATAGGAGGTGCTCAGATATACTCATGAGTATTTCATGAATGAATGAGGGTCTTACAGACAGTAGGAAAGACCTTGGACAAAGCCAAGCTACAGCCCTGCATCGGACCCTAGAGAGTGCTGGTGGAAGAGAGCTGAAGGAGGACACACCTCATGGACCTCATTCTCAGGAGGGGAGAGGGCCTGCAATTCAGGCCGTGGGAGCAGGAAGAGCATGGACAGAGGTTGGGAGGGGCCCCCTGGGCACTTGGTGGGCAGCAGGCCACCTCCCACGTTTCCTTCTATGTGCCCTGCCTTAGAGTCTGTCCCTGCTCCTCCACTTTGTCCCTCTCCTCTCTCTTGCCAGCCCTGAGTCTGATGTCTCTAAAAATTATTGTCCCTATCTACAGACGGCATGATGGGGGCAGCAAAGCCAGGTATGGCCAGAGCAGTGCGGCCCCCATTCAGCCCTGGTCAGACAGCTCCAAAATCCCCTCTAAAACTCCAGAGCTTGGTGAGTTCCTCTGGCTGAAGGGAACATTTCAGGACGAACGTGCACAGTCTGCATAGTCCCTGTTTTTAGATCCCATTGCCTTTGCAAAAAGCCTGAGTCTCCACCACCAGGCTGAGCTCCCACAGAGAGTCCCCAGGCCTGCACCATCGAGGGAGGGTCTTGGGCACTGGACAGGCTTCATGCGTCCCATCATAACATGGAGAGACTCCCTGCAGGGCCTGTGCTCTGTAGCCCACCCCGGGCAGGACGTAGGGGAGTAACTTCCTCACCCTCCTCCTGCAAGCCCTCCCTCGAGGCCGGGTGGGAGAGGCAGAAGTGCGGTAGGCTGGGTGGGAGAGGCAGGGAGGGAGTATCAGACCCCAGATGAAACAGCCTCCCAGTTCCGAGTGCCCACAGCATAAAGAAAAGTAATTCTCTCCAGGAGCTTCCAGAGGATTTCAAGTTTGAGAGAGAAGGGCCCAGCTGGCCAGTAGCTCTGACCACAGCCTGGCCCCAGCCTGGGACCTCAAGTGGCAACTGTCCCTCCTAGCGCCCTGCAGCCATGTCCCTGGCGACCCTTGCTGGGGATCCTGGGCCAAGTTAGGTTGTGTGGGGCAGCTTTGTTTTTGTTTCCCTTCCAGTGTCAGCCCAAGGCACTGGCAGCCTGCGAGAATGCTTTGCATGTTTCCTGTGGTGCACAGGGCCTGGCATCCCTGCCCGTCACGGCCCAGGGACCTCTAGGGTACACACTGCCCAGGGTCCCCCCAAAAGGCCGGAGCTGCCCTTCCAGCTGGGCACCCACCCAGCGCCCACGTGACTTCCTCCAGCTCCTGGCTCCCTGGGCTCTGGGTACCCCTGGGGCGTCAGCGGCAGGTCTGGGGCCTGGGGACAGGGGTGGGGCCCAAGTGGGCCGGCGGGGCCTCCGGAGCTGCACGCACGCGGCTCGCTCTGGGCTGGGAGGACGCGCACTGCCGGTCATGAATTTACATGATATTCAGCCGCCTCTGCCACTTAATTCACGCAGCGGCCTTGGAGCCGGAAGAGGCGAGCGGAGGGACCAGAGCCGATCTGGTCGACGCGGTGTCAGAGCCGCCCCGACAGCAGGCGCGGCCAGCCCCGGCCCGCGACAGTCACCCCGGCCCGGCCTCGCGGGGCAGGGTCCCCCCGGCCGCCGGCCCGACACGGAGCAGCAGCGCGGCCCGGGCCCTGGGTGGTCTGGGGACTGAGGGTTGCTTCCCCGCTCATTTGCCTGCAAACGCCCTCACCTTGTCAGCGCCAATAATTATCCAGTCGGTGCTACTCAGAGCTGCCATTCCTTAAGATTGGATTAGATTGAAGAGGCTGAGGCCGGGCTCCTCTGTGCATTTTCGCAGTCAGTTAGCGTAATCACTGGGGGCCTTGCCGGGCCTACAGCAGAGCTACACTAACTTTCTCTCCCCTTCCTTATTACGGAGCTTAATAACAGCAGGCAGTGTATTAATATGTAAGAGATCAAGAGATTATTGATTAGAGTCACTTGCCTAATATCCCCTGTCCGTCATGTAGTTCAGCAGCCCTTTCATGATTTTTTGTGTCAGGCCATTTAAATATTCATGACTGAGTTGCTTTGTACCGCCACGGCTGAATTTCTAATTAATCTGTCAAAAGAAATACAATATGCCCGGAAGCCTTATTATTATAAGGGTCAGCTGAAACAGAGTTGGCCTGGCGCGGCCTGAGGGGTAATTAATTATAACAATGCCGTGTTTACCTTGTGTGGTACCTGCGGCCTAAATGAGGGCTAAATTAGACTCAAACCACTCCAGTCTGCGTTTGAAGCTTCCTGATATGCCAGACTAGATCATGATGACGGGAGGACAGAGCCGAGAGCCGCGGCTGTGTAACAACATAATCAGCAATTATAGCTGCGAAATGGGGAGAAGGGGGAATTTTATCTCATTAGAAAAGCCCAAGTAGAAAGTTTTTTTTTCTGTCACCAGCTCTTTCCTTTAGAATTCAAATGGTTCCACTCTAAAGGTGAGAGATCTCAAATCTAATTCCAGTGCAGAGAGCTGGCCTAATTAGTGGTATACTTTGGCTAAAATATGAATGACATTTGTTCCAGCTTGCAGCGGCCCTATTAATAGAGGGTGTCAGAGTGAAACATTAAGTGTATCATTCTTCTGTCAATTTATTTCTGTCATTATTGTTTCTTTATTTCCTCTGCCACATTATGGTCACTAATTTCTCCTCACTTTTATGAGATTCTTAATGCGGGCCTTTAATGAACTCCAAAAACTCAACCACAACTCTGAAATTAAAATACTAGGCTCCTGTCAGGGTGGCACGACAGAGTAAAACTTGAATAGTATCATTCTTCTGTCAATTTATTTCTGTCATGATTTTTCTTTATATCCTGCCACATTATGCCCACTAGTTTAATTCCATTTTTATGTGACTTGTTAATGTGAATTTTAGGTGGCTTTTAATCACCTCCAAATTTGTAGAATATCACAATAAATCATAACTGTATCCCCTCTTATGACAATTTATTTCTGTCATTATTTTTTATTTCTCCTGCCTTATTACAACTCTGAGTTTCATCTCCTCCTCTGTGACCTTTACATTGTTGCATTTTAAAGAGAAGCACATAGAAAGTTTGCTCTTTCTCAGGAACTCAAAGAGGGAAGCCATTTTCCCGGTCTCCGGTTTTCGTCGCCCGTGCGGTGGGTCACAGGTGTGCTCGTTCGCTGACTCGGGACGGCAAGACGTGTGCCTCCAAGGAGCAAAACATTGGCTGGGAATTTAGAAAGAGAAAGGGATACTGGAGCAAACAACAACAACAAAACGGAGACTGTCTAGAGATAGAGTGATGCGGAAACCCTAAGTTGAGTTACTGAAAACATCACTGATTTCCTTCCTGAAATGAGAGTCCCATGATTGTGCAACTTGGGGAAGAGAGAGCCTGTCAGACAAACGAGCTTGTACTGTGGCTGTTGATTCTGCTCTCTCAAGTTCATCTCTTAAAGCGGATTAGCCAAGGCTGGCCTGTGGGCCAAACCTAGCTCCAACACCACTTCTTTGTATACAGCCTGATTGTAAGAATGGATTTTACATTTTTAAACGGGCTGACAAAGAAAGCAAAAGGAGAATAATATTTGGTGACATGAAAGTTACAGGAAGTTCCAATTTCAGTGTCCACCAATATAGTTTTGTTCGAACACCACGGCCCTTCGTTTATGGGTTATCTATGGCTGTTTTCACGTTACCATGGCAGGGTGGAATATGCCCCGAGGCTATCTGGCTCTTTACAGATAAAGTTTGTTGAGTCCATTGTAAAGAAAAGTAAATTACTTAGCAGTGGCTAATATTTCTCCTGAAGAACTTTCACAAAGATTTTTGGTTCAATATTCAGAGATGGTTTATAGAACTTTGCAGATCGGTTCATTGCAAGCTGGGTAACAAGGATGCCTGAGCTACTAAGTCCAAGCTCTGAGCCACACTTTGGGTGGTTGAGCCCATATTTCTGAGGGACTTTCATCCAGTTATTTATTCAAAACGTGTTTTCTGTGCTGCAATTCTGCAGCAGAGATTGTGTCAGGGTTTCAGGCTTTTGAGAAATGGAGATATTGAAGTCCTCAACAACTGTGTTCTCCACCACTAAAAGGAACACAGATTTAAACTCTACAAGTGGAGAAATAATCCCAGACAACTCTTCTTAATATGAGTTACAATGTTTAGCTGGGCAGGGGAAGGGATTGAGGCCATCATAGCCTAAAGCTGACCAGCAATTTCATTTCCCTTATTGATCACATGACGTAGGCCAGGTAGTTTGCGGTGGGAATTCAAACGTGCAGTCACTTAAAAGACACCCTGCCTTCAAGGCACTCCCATCCTCACCCTTTACCTCCAAGACAGTAAAGTGCATGTGCATTGTTTTCTGGTCTCTGGCACTTCCTGTCATTTTACCTGCAGGAGTGGGTGGGACTGACTCAAATACCTCCCAGTCCTCTCAAGTTATGGAAACCCATGGTTTTCTGGACTCAACTAACCAAGGCATCCAAAACAACAAAGGTCCATGGCTCTTATTGTCTGTGGGTTCAAGTTCACACCCCTGTGCCTAAGCAGACCCATCACAGGCTGATCCCCACAGGAATTCTCACATAGGATCCCACTCTAGCCCCCCAAGGAGCCTTCTGGCTGCTGAGCACAGATGGACCCTCCCCTCTGTGCTGTAGCTCATGGCTTGCTGCTTCTTAGAATATTCACTCTCAAGAGCATCTCCATGTCCTCCAAGAAGCCATCCCCAAGGGTTCTGGCTGCTCCAGAGCTTTCTCATTTTCTCACCCAGAAACTAAGACACCTGCCATCAACCACTGAGAATGCAGCCTCGTAACTCCTTGCCCTGAGCACACACATTGTGCTAGTTTTCACCTCATCACTGGCGTGTGTTTGCATGCACTCCCTCCTTCTCTCTCTCTCTCTCTCTCCCTCCCTCTCCCTCCTTTCACTACCCCTCCCTCAAATTCAAAATAATTGTATTTATTGTGATTTTTAGTGATTCTGTCCCTCCTGATAATAAAAGTAATATGTTCACTTATTGAAAAATACAGGAAATTCTCAAGAAGAGAAAAATGAGCATCCATCATCTTACCATCTGGAAAGATACACTATTAATTCTTTCCGTTTTTTTTCCTATGCTTTTCTCCATTTATAATTGAAGTCCACTAGATAACATTTTTCATTTTAAATTATATTCTTAACATTGTGTTGGACTCATTTTTCTGCATTAAAAAATTCCACCAATATGTGTTTTTCAAAAGGCTGTATATAACCTTTTAATGATTAAAAAAAAAAAGCAATACTCAACACACTAGAAACAGGAGGGAGTATCTTCACATGATTAAGGGCACTTGTGAAATACCCACAGCTGACATCATACTTAATGGTAGATTACCCCTCGCTAAGATCAGGAGCATGGTAAGGATGTCCATTCTCCCAGCTTTCAGGTGGAGGTTCTAGCTAAGGCAATTGGGCTTGGAAAAGAACTAAAAGGTATTCAGTTTGAAAAGAAAAATGTACAACTATCTCTATTGTTAGATGACACAATTGTGTAGTTGTATACAATTATGTTTTATTTTATATTGCTATATTTTTATGGAAAACTGATGATGAACCTAAAAGCTTTTTTAATTTTACTTTTTATGCATCAAAAATTAATAAAATACTTAGAGATAAATTTAACAAAATAAATGGAAACTATATACACTGGAAACTACAAAAGTTCATTGAAAGAAGACGTAAAAAATAGAAAAAAATCCCATGTTGATGGGTTAGAAGACTTAATATTGTTAAAATGTTAATAGTCCCCAAGTCAATCTAAAGGATGAATTAAGTTCCTATTAAAATTCAAGCTGATCTTACATTTACATGGAAAATGCAAAGGACTCAGAATAGCCGAAACAATCATGAACAGAAGAACCAAGTTGGAGGATTCACATTTCCCAATTTTAAAACTTAATACATAGGCACAATTATAAAGATAGGTTGATACTAGCATAAGGATGGACATATAAATTAATGAAATTCAATTTAGAACCCATAAATAAACTTATACATTTAGGGTCAATTGATTTTTCAACAAGAGTGCCAAGACATTTCAATGGAGAAAAAAATAGCCGTTTTGGCAAATGGTATGCCAAATTGATATCCATATGAAATAATTAATTTTGACCCCTACCTCACATCATATATAAAAAATAACTCAAATGGACCAAAACACAAAAAGTAAAATGTAAAGCTATAAAACTCTTTGAAGGAAACATAGGTGTAAATTTTTATGACCTTTGAATAGGCAATAGTTTCTCAGATGTGACACCTAAAGTATATCTACCAAAGAAACAGGAGATGAATTTGACTTCATCAAAAACTATTATGCTTTGAGACACTGTCTATGCTTCAAGACACTATCAAGAAAATGAAAGAGTAGCTCAGAGAATGGGAGAAAAAAATGACAAATTGTATGTCTTATAAGGATCTAGCATTAAAAAAAGAACTCATTCAACTCAGCAATTGAAACACAAAAAACCTAATTTTAAAATGTACAAAAGACTTGAATAAACATTTCTTTAAAGAAAAATATAAAAATGGCCAATAAGAAGACAAAAAGATGCTTAAAATCATTGGTCTTTTGAAATATGTTAATCAAAACCACTTCATACCCACCAGGACAACTATAATGAAAAAGACAAAAAATAACAAATGTTGGTGAGAATATGGAGAATCTGGAACCCCCATACATTGCTGGTAAGAATGTAGAATAGTGCAGCTACCCTGGAAAAATCTGGCAATTCCTCATATGATTCAGGAATTCCACTCCTAGGTACGTATCCAAGAGGACTGAGAATGCATGTTTACACACAAACACAACATTTACACAAAGGTTCATACCAGCATGATTCATAATAGCCAAAGTAGAAGCCATCCAAATGATCATCAACTGCTGATTGGATAAATGAAATGTGATTTGTTTTGCCACAACAAAAGGAATGAATTACTGATACATACTACAACACAGCTGAACCTTGAAAACATTATGCTAAATGAAAGAAACTAACAGAAAAGCCATGTGTTATATGATTCCATTTATTTGAAATATCCAGAACAGGCAAATCCATAGAGATAGAAAGCAGATTAGGCCAGGTGTGCTGGCTGGTTCCTGTAATCCTAGCACTTTGGGAGGCTGAGGTAGGTGGATCACTTGAGCTCAGGAGTTCAAGACCAGCCTGGGCAACATGGTGAAACCCTGCCTCTACAAAAAGAAAAAAAAAGAAAAAAAAGATTAGCTGGGCATGGTGGCTCATGCCTGTACTCCCAGCTATTTGGTGGGGGGCTGCGGAGGGAGGATCATTTGAGCCCAGGAGGCAGAGGTTGCAGTGAGCTGAGATCGCGCCACTGCACTCCAGCCTGAGTGACAGACTGAGACCCTGTCTCAAAAAAAAAAAACCAAGAGAGTGGATTAGTGGTTGCTGGAAGGAGGCAATAGTGGAGAGTGACTGTTTAATGGGTACAGAGGGTTTTTTTGCGGGGAGGAAAATGTTCTGGAATTAGATAGTGGTGATGGTTGCAGAAGATTGTGACTATACTAAAACCTACTGAATTGTACGCTGTGAGAGTTAAGTTTATGGCACACGAATTATATTTTTTAAAGAATATATAGAATTGCATCATGGAATTAAATTGCAATGCTTATTCTCTGATTCCATCTACTTGAAATGTCATGTGCCTTGTGCCTTGTACACCCCACAACTGAAGCATCTCTCTCTACCATTAGTCCCATTCATTAGCCCTGGACAGCCGCATTTCCACAGAACCACCTTACCTCAGGGGTGCCCTTGGGTCTTTGGGGCCCCAGCCAGTTGCTCCTCTGAATGGTTATCCTGCCCATCTTCCAGCACTATTCCCCGTTGTTTCTACTGCAGGCTACAGAGGAGTTGAATGTCCGTGTGGACCTTGTCCTGAATAGGATACATCCATACGTGCCAGGGAGCGCAATGGCTACCTTCTTTGTTTCGGAAGATGCCCCTAAGGAGACGGAGGGGTAGACTGGCACTGGTTCTCCAGGCTCCTTGTCCCCAGAGATGCAGGGGCTGCCTATGGGCTTTTAGGTGCACAGAGAGGTACCATCAGGAGGGCAGTTTGCGTGCACAGAACCCCAAAGAGGTGCTGAAGCAGGCAATGAGGAAATCGGCCTGATCCATGTGATCCCAGCCCTCAGCATCTCCACCTAAGCCAGTCACACCCCAGCCATGGCTTCTGGGGGTCCACCCCTCTTGCAATGACCTGGAGAGCTCAGGCGAATATGTATGCAAGCATGTGTGTATGTATTCAAACACACACATACACGTATGCATATATATTTATTTTTAAATGTTCCCCAATGTGTTGTTATAAAAATTTCAAAAAACAGAAATGATGAAAACATAATGCGAATGCATAATTTAATGATTGTCACATTTTCCTATATTAACTATCTCCCTCTGTAGAGGTTTCTGCAACATATTTTGTTTTGTACTACTTGAAAGTTGGAACCTCATGATACTTAAATTATAAATACTTCACCTTGAATCTCCTAAGAATAAAGTGGTGTATTTGTCTACACAGCCACAATACATTATCTCACTGAAAAAACTATAAATAACTTCATAATATTATCTGACATCCAGACCAAAGTCACATTTTCCTAATTATCTCAAGAATGCCTTTTATAGGATTCGATTTAGATCCACATTTGCTTTTGGTTGCTGTCATGTCACTTTGGTCTCCTTTAGTTGGGAAAAGTCCACCTCCCTCCTTTTTCTCTATAACAATGTCTTTTTGAAGAACCCAAGATAGTCGTCTGTGGAACACCCCACATTCTGAAGCTGTCTAATTATTCCCTAATGTTTGTAGTTTAACTCTTTCCTCCAGCCCTGTATTACCTCTAAGCTAGAAGTTTGGTTTAGAATCTGATTCTATTTTAATGATTTTTAAATATTAAATTAATAGAGATTGAAGAAAATTTGGAAAGTAACAAAAATGTTTGAATCACCCACATTCTCTTTTCTCCTCACAATTATTTTCCATCTTTCCCTGCAGTCTTTTGTGAACATTTCTTTGGATATTTTTTCACCCATCCCTTTAATAAACATATTCATTTATCTTATACTCCATCTATGGAATATCTGCCACTCACCAGAAGCGGCATGGCCTTGTCTAGGTGGCTGTGTTCAGGCTACATAAGTACATTTTAATTCTGCTTTTTTTTCACTATGCACTTTACCATAAGCATTTTCCGTGTTATCACACAGACTGCAATCTTCATTGAAATTAATTGATACAGTCTCAATTCCTTTTTTTCTTCCAAAATTCAAAATAATGTTATCACCACAATTTCAACCAGTGAAACACTATAAAGATGCAGAAAGATGACAAAATCAGCACACGTTCTTGGCATCTCCAGATGGCCCATGCCAACCAGTCCCAGCCTAGCTCATTTGTCCACAGCTCGGAATGGCTGCAGAAATGAGACACACTGGGCAGCTAAACACGGCTCTCTCTTCCTTCATTGTCCTTGTTTAGGGGGTTGGTGGCTTTGTGAAAAGAGAAAGCCTTGCATTGCAGTTTGGTCTTGGAATGAACCTGATTTCATTTCTCAGGCTAGTTGCCCCCAGCTGGGGTGAGTGTGAAGCCACCCCCACCTCCCCCTCCCCCTATACCCCCACCCCATCTTCTGCTGAGTCCACTTTCTCCTGAGCTGCCGGAGGTCCCTGGGTAGAGGTGATGGTGGGGAGTCAAGATGAGCTCAAGGGGCTGGCCTCTGCTCTTGGGAGTCCTGAGTATTAGGCTCTTCATGATATTCCTTTAATGAAAGGCCCCCCTGCCCCCTCTCACTCATTAAACAGCAGTGCCTGCAAGATTCTCATCTCCTGGACATGCAGGGCTCAGGGTCAGCTGCCCCAGAAGTACTCAAGAACTTTAGAGACAGCTGAAGCTCACCAGCCTGAGACCCATCTTGCCTCTTCAGAACACTGAGGGAGTCCAGAGATCAGTGTCTAAATCCAGCTCACCCAGGCCGACCTGAAACTTTCCCAGATGCAGGGATGCTGCACATCTTGGCATTGGTCCCCAACATGTCTGGACTCCTGTGCCAAGCTCTGCTCAGGGGGCAGCCAACGTTGGTGGTGAGGCAGGAGGGAGGGAGAGAGGGAGTCAGGATCTCAATACTCTGAACCAACCGGGGGCAGAACTGGAGGTCTGGGCCAGCTCCCCTCAGACAGAAACCCCCTCTCATAGGGATTGCCCCAGGAATGCATATGGAAGGCTCAATTCTTCTGGCCCAGGTATAGCCCCAGCTGACATCTCATCCCAATCATCCCCATCCTCCACCTCCACGTGGCTGTCCCTGGCATGGCTACTATGCATGAGGTTGGGCCAGGCAAGACCCCCCGACTACAACTGGAAACATACTTGCTCCTTAAACATGCAGTGACATCCCAGAATCTTCTCTCAGATTTGTTGCCTAACAGGGCTGTTGAGCACCCCTACTTTTTAGTTGTTCAGAAGGGCATGCTATTTTAATCTGAACAAAAATATTTTCTTCAAAGATAGCTTTATGGTTTTTCTGATTATAAAATAAAGCCATGCTCATTATTAAACTATTCACAGTTATGTAGAAATCCATTGTTGATTTTTGGTGGATGTAACGCCAGAGTTGATGTGTTTTTTGTGCTTGTATGCAAGTACACAGTAGTGCAAGACGGGGCTGTGGAATGTTCACTATAAATTTGCATCATTATTTTAACAGTTATGTAGTATTTTATTTTATGGACATTTGACAATTTAGCTGAACAGTTCTCTGCTATATGAAGTTCCAGTTGTTTAAAATATTTTTCCTCTTATAAACAACTTAGAAAAAATTGCTTTTATATTATCTTCCATGAATTTCTGGATTTGATTATTGGAAGCAACATTTGAAAGTATGCACACTACTGAAGTTTGTTCTACATTTTAATGGTCTCCTTCACAATATTTTTAAAAATTTCCCCCCGTGACAGTTTAAGAATGTCTATTATCTCATATCATATTCAACATTACATATGATTGCATTGTTTCATTTTTGCATATTTTTATTCTTTTTAACCTAATAGGCATACACGTTTCAGGTAAATTTTTATTTTCTGATTATGAGTGATTCTTAACATCTTTCTATCTGCTTATTTCCATTTCCATGTGTTTGACCATTTCTATATGAAGTGTTAACCTTTTCCAATTGATCTGGAGGAAGCTTTTATGCATAAGGCTACCAGCTCCTTCTCTGGACTCCCCTTGATCTGCCCTTCTGGTCTGTCACATGTCTGCATTTTCCTTGTAGATGTTTGCTTTTTTTTTTTTTTTTTTTTTTTTGCTTGTCTTATTTTTAAATTTCTACTTGTTTGCTATATGCATGCTTTTTCCCCCTAGCTAAATCTTTCCATCTTTTTTCTTCTTTATGATTTCACCCTCTGATTTAAGCTTAGAAGTCCTACTCCTTCTCAAGATCATTTATTTCTTCTGCTTCATAGGGGGCTTTATTTTCTGTGTTAAAGCTAGGATACATCTGGACTTAATTTGGGTATATGTTATGTGCACTAGGATTCTTCTACCCCATAGGATGCCCTTGTACAAATAAGAAAAAGATGACTTTTTCTCAGAAAAAAGAGTTAATATACTATTTCTCAATGATAAGACGACTATGTGTCACATCCTTTGCTAGACCCTGGGGATGTGAACACAAGGACAAGTTCTCCAGGGAAGATGTGCCTCTTCAAAGGTTCTCCTTGTGCTGAGAGGGGGTCTGGCTTGCAGGCGTCGGAGCCAAGCTTGGCTGAAGCCTTGACATTTTCAACTAACCTAACAATGAGGTGAGGAGCAAAAATTATTGTTTATAAAATAACTTATTAATAGAAAATAAACATTAGTAATTACATAGTGATTCATGGCAACGGAAGGTATTTGTAGTTTAAATTGAGAACTTAGCAATATTATCGTGATAAATTATGCAAACAGCAAAGGATATAAACTACAACATGAAAGGTTCAAAGTCTTAGCCAGGACATGACTGATAAGAGATCTGTTTATATTTTATTTATTTTTCTTTTCTAAAAAATATGTCTATAGATGAATACATCAGTAGAGAAGGCTGTCATTGTTCAGTGGCTCTGGTCATATTTGATATTGCTAGATTTACAAGATCTTTCAATAATTGAGCTTGTTCTTTCTCTCCAAGTCTTAAGTAGGATGATGTATATCGACCATATCTGAACTAAGCACATGACTTTCATTTGATGAAAAATTGCCATAATATGCTAATTTATGTTCAAACAAGATTCTTTACTGCCATCTGCTTGAAAACTCTCAAATACATACAAAGACTCCAAAGACAGTCAACAAATTCATAATACAAACGTGAAAAACGTTAAAAATAATAAAATGACCGTTACGTAAAAGGCAGACTCTTCATTGCGACTCTTCTCCTTGTGAAATACATACCTGGACACCTGGGTGACACCCCAGCAATTCTGCCCCCTCCTTTCAAAAATGCTTACTTAGAGGTCGCATCACCATTTATTAAACAGTTTGTTTTTCTCATTGACTTCGAATACCACCTCGAAGCACATGTTGAATTGCTATGCATACTTGGGTATCGTTTCTGCATTTCTTCTTCTACATTTTGATCTCTTTGTATTTGCACAATTACAGCACTGTCTTAATTCTATACTTTGTCTAATATATGGTACAATAAACTTCTTCTCATTATTCATATTTTGTTTGTTCAGTAATTTTCTGACTATTTTGCATGTTTATCCTTTATATTGAAATTTCAAATCATTTTATTCATTTCCAAAACTGACCTCACACACATACACACACACAAATTCTGCTGGAATTTTATTGGGATAATGTTTAGCATAAAGAATAATTTGGGGAGTATTGTCATTTTTACAATATTGAGTCTTCCTGAAAAAACAGTATGCCTCTCCACTTATTAAAATCTTCTTTTATGTTCCTTAGTAGAATTTTATAGTTTTCCTCATATACTTTTCCCGTGCATTTCTTGGTAACTATTCCTAGGTCCTTCATATTGTGGTTTTGCTATTGTTCTATGGAGTCTTATATCCATTTTATCATCAGAATGATTGTCATTGGCATATGATAAGGCAATTAACTTTTGTTTATTTATTTTAAACTATGTATGTCACAGAAAACTTATTATTTTTAATATTTATAGTGATCCTTTTACATTCTTACATTTTTCAATCATTATTTTTTTGCAAATAATGAAAAACATGCTTCCCCATGCGAACATTTACACTTTTTATTTTGCTTTTCTGATCTTATTCAATGGGGTTCACACACCGTAAACCATGTAAAAGAAATAGTGGCGATAGTAAATGCACAGAGGCTCTGGTGAGCTGTTTTTCGAGAATGTGTTCATCCAATGAAAGACGTCACCCTCTGTCATCTGGCAGTTTTCTCTTTCTTCCATAGTCCTTAGCAGGCCCAGCAGGGCTTGGCTGTGGAATTCAGCAGGTGGGAGACTTGGTGGACTGAGGATGGCCAAGGGGCCCCAGATGCTTAGGTTAGATAATGAAGGAACATCCCTCCTCAGAGCCACCTGAGCCTGAGCGTCCCTCCTACTCAAAAGCAGCCAATCCCCACCCCCCATAGCAGGGGTATGTTGGAGATTCCCCCCAAACTGCCAACAGGTAAGGGGAGCAGGAGCCTCTTTGCTCCGTGACTGTGGGTGCGAGAGGAAGCAGGCGGCGCTGAGCAGTTGCCTGGGTACCGAGGCCTGGCTCGCGTTCTGTCAGACTGGCTCGACATCTCGATTCCCTTCTCATTCACTGATTCAGAAAGCACCAACTATGTGTCACGTCCTCTGCTAGACCCTGGGGATGTGAACACAAGGACAAGGTCTCCAGGGAAGATGTGCCTCTTCAAAGGTTCCCCTTGTGCTGAGAGGGGGTCTGGCTTGCAGGCGTCAGAGCCAAGCTTGGCTGAAGCCTTGACATTTTCAACTAACCTAACAACAAGGTGAGGAGTTCACCAGGCAGATGGGAGGAGGAGGCTTGGCACGTGTTCTGGGGGTAAGAGGGAGAGGCTAGGGTGATGGGGCCGGGCGTGGGGATGAGCAGCAGGAAGGCACCACCACTGGGGACTTGCCTTCTGAGCTCAGAGCTCAGACCACGTCCCTCGCACCTGGAGAGCCTGCCTTTCTTTCCTCATGCCAGAGGCTGGCACGTTTGATCACCTGCTTAAATGGTTTTTTTCCTAGATCCTCTACAGATGAGTATAAGTTAGAACGGCCATAAGTTCTAGAGTCTTGAATCGTATCAGTATGACTGCAGCAATCCTCAGACTTAATTATAAAGTAGGTTTGCCTTGTAGATTCTCAGCTCACCATAAAACTGGGTGATCTTTGCTGGGACTTCTAGCAAACCCTACAAAACAAGTCCCAGACTGCATTCTGACCGCCAGCTTCCCTGGTAACTTCCCAAAGTCTCTTGAAAACCCACATCATTAACAGGGTGCTGGGAGGTGCTCGGGAAGCTGAGGGACTCCCTTGCCTGGCCGCTGGAGTTTCATTAAAGGGAACACCCAAATTATCTAGTGAGTTGCTCTTTATCCCATACAACCTTGTTCTTTTAACTGAGTACAGGCTAATGATTGTGAACAGGGATTAAAGCCCCTTATTTTAAAGAACGACTACTTCCCATTTGAATTACTTTTAAACACACCACTTTGCCTCTAATTTAAAATGAATAACAGGCTTAGAGCAGACAACAAAAGATCATTAACCTCATAAGATAAGTGTATCAGGAATTTTGTGTTTTGCCAGCAAATGGAAGAGAATGGGAGAAATGTGCTAATGGGGAGATTTTTTTTTAAGCATCATTATCTGGGGGACATCTTTTTTGGTATTCAAATAAGAAAACGGAATTCTCTCCAATGCCCACTTGAGCTTTTGTTCTGCTCTAATTGAAAGCAAACCTGTACATGGAAAATGATCCTTGTAAATGTGAACGGTTTAGTTTGGGTTAAAAAAAATTAATCTTTTTTTTTTTTTTTTTTTTTTTTTTTGCAGAGAACAATTATCTTAGAGAGTAGTTTTCATCTTGTTGTTTGTCCTCATTTCATTTTCTGGCTTAATAATAATTCAGAATAAAAGTGCGATTTCATAGTCCTGGGTTTTGCCATTGAAGATACAAAAATCCAAGGGAAAGAACAACAGGTAATGTGAGGAAGCTCTGGACTCAAAGATTCTGGAATTTTGCTTTTTATTAAACATGTGTTTCTAGAAAATGCTTCACTTTTGTAAACCTTTAATTATTTTGTTTGAATGTGTCTGTGGATAGAGAAAAATCAGTAAGAATGCTTCTTTAACAAAAAAGCAGAGAAAAAGCAAGACGGTTTGGAAACAGAAACAGAACCAGGTAGAGACAGGGGGACAGGCTGAGGGCATGGAGGGCTGTGGGGTGTTTCTAGAAGCTTCTGGATTCCTGGGGAAGGTGGCCCCACCGTGCCTGTGGCTGGGCTGGCCTGGGCTTAACCGTCCAATGCACAATGGGGGTCCCACAGGCTCTATCCCCTCTGCTTCTCCCTGTGGCTGGGCAGGCGATGGCCCTGCACGGCAGCCTTACACCGCATAGGAGGGCTGCAGTGTGCATGGGGCTCCGGGAAGAGGCCGGGGTGCTGGGCAAGGCCGAGAGGGGTGAGCCGCTGTCTCTTCTGGGCTTTCAAAAACTCCTGTCAGTTGGCTACTGACTTCCTAATGCACACTCTTCTAATTCTTAATTAGAGCGACATAGCTAATTAATAAGTTTTTTCCAATTATAAATCAACTTAGGATCAGAACTCTGGCTTTGCATGTAATTTCCTATAATCGCTAAAGCTACTGCAAAAACATGCCTCCTGCCAACCGGAACTTTTTTATTTAACACAGACAGACAAGTTCTCACTGGGTTTACATTTTACAGCAAATTATCTCTGTTGGGATTTATGAAGAGAAATTAAATATATATATATCAGAGTTCCCCCCCTTCTTCTCCCTCCCCTCTTCTTGCTTAAACAAAATAGCATCCTTACAGAATCATTTCTCTTAGAAATTTTAAAGGGAATTTGTCTTAATATTTTCATGTTATTGCGGAGTAGGAAAAGAGAAAGAGCAGGTGATAATTCGTTTTTGTTCATAACTGTTACCACCTTTTCATGGCTCCTGCAAAAATGAATTGGGAGGTGCCGGCATGCTGTTCATTTATAGAATCTTAACTGGAGAGACACTTCTCTCTTTAGTAATGGAGAGTAATTAAAGGTGGGCCTGTAGACCAGGCACCAGCTCTGGTGACATGTCACATCCTTGGCTGCCACAATTCCTCAGTGGTTTATCAAAGACTACTCCTTTAATATGGAGATTACACTTATGTACTTGTCTGAACTTGAAAGGCATTTGCCTAATTTACTTATTAATGAGATGTAAATCTATTTGTATGGCACGTCACAAGTTTCCCCGAAATCGCTGCTACTTAACCGGTGATAAACCCTATGATTTAAACGAAAAATAATACATTTAGCTTTCCACATTCATTCTGTTAAAAATTGATATAGTCTATGTTAAATTTATTAATATTGCTTGCTGTCATTCAGTTTGCAGCTCTTGGTGAAATACGACTTGACAGCGGCCGCATTAAAGATGTATGCCATTGTATTCAACAAAGATTAATGAAGCCCGGTAAAAATAGCTGTAAAAGAGAAAGTGATCCGAATGTAAAATCAGTGAATTAAATGAGGCCGCGCATACCATTTGTTAATATGCATGAGGAGGGAGGCAGCGAATGAAAATGTCTCTATGCAAAGTTCATTTGGGAATGTTTCAATATTGTCTGGATATCCCGCAACTACTGAACAGCGGCCTAATGGAGCAGCGTCCACGCAGACTGGGTGCGCCCCGGGCCCAGTGCCCTCCTTGGTATGGCCGGCTGGGGCCGGGGCAGACGCAGGCAGCGAGGGGACCCACGCGTCTCCTCATCCTGATGGTTTTCTCCAGGTCTCTCTCCGGCGCCTCCTCCTCAAGACCCCTTGCCTGCATCGGCCTCTGTCTGTGTGAAGGAGAATGAGCTGGGAGCGTTTCCGCTGGGGGTTAGACTCCAAGTTCAGGTGCTGGCGATACCAAGTCTGTGCTGAGCTTGGAGTCAGGTTGTAGACCAGAGATGGAACCTTTCTGTGCCTTGATATTTTCCCCTCTAAATGAAGAGAGAGCTTAGCATTCCACCATTCAAAGCACTTGGACATCATAGATGAAAGACCTACATGAGTCCAAATTATTCGTAAGGCACTTAAAGAGCACAGAGCCTGGGGATTTCACCCCGGCTGATGCGTCGGTCTGTCTGTTTGCATGACGAGCCTATTCTATTCTGCCACTGCTGTATTGAAGGATCGGGTAGTGCTTTCTTTGTACTATTTGGAGGGGATGATTTATTTCCGCAGTTCTCATTATAAAATACTGCTGGTGTCATACCCTGCCAGGTTAAGACTTTCAAATAAATTAACAGTGACAGAAAATTGTATGCAGTAATCATAATATAAACCCGGCATGTTTATCAATCGAGGAGGTGTTTTGATCGATTTAAGCCATTAAGGAGAGGTATTTCTCCCAGCTTTGCCTACAAGGAGGTCAAAGGCTGTCCAGGAGAAAATAGTTTGAAGTGTTTTGTTTGGCTTTGTTTTTCGAATTTGCTGGGGATGGGGTGGTTGTTGTTTGCACGTGTGTGTCAGTTTTAATTAACAGAGTCAATGGCAATAGAGTAGCTAGTGCTGCTGCCTGACTGCCAGCTCAGAGGCAGTTGGCGGGGAGGTGCACACATGTTGAGGGTAGCAGCCCGGAGAAAGTGCTGCCTAGAGCACTAAATTTCCCAAAAGGGTGAATACAGGTGTTCGTGCTCAGAATGGTTTAGAGGGATTGTTGTTCGGCAGCTCAGCAAATGTCACCCATTCTGCAGTCTCAACAGGTACGGAGAAGCCAGAAGAATTTCCCAGATAATGCAAGAATGCCCTGCATGGGGGCTGGGCAGGTCCTTCCCTGGGTCAGCCTCCATGAACCACGTGGTGGGACTCAGTCCCAGTAGCTGCAGCAGGGACAGGGACCGGGGCAGGGGAAGTGGCTGGGGAAGGGAACATTCCCTCCTCGGGGATGTTCTCCCAAGGCCAATATTTGGCCACTATTTTAAGGTGATCATTAGACCTAAGAGTGGTTAGTGCTGTAATTAAAAGCCAAGGGAAGTCGGGTGCAGTGGCTCGTGCCTGTAATCCCAACACTTTGGGAGGCTGAGGCAGGTGGATCACTTGAGGTCAGGAGTTCGAGACCAGCCTGGCCAAAATGGTGAAACCCCGTCTCTACTAAAAATACAAAAATTAACCAGGTGTGATGGCACATGCCTGTAGTCCCAGCTACTCGGGAGGCTGAGGCACAAGAATCACTTGATCCCGGGAGAAGGAGGTTGCAGTGAGCCGAGATTCTGTCACTGAACTCCAGCCTGGGCAACAAAGTGAGACCCCATCTCGAGAAAAAAAAATGCCATGGGAACGTGCAATGTAAAATAAAGTGGCATTTTGATGGCTTGGACACCCTACCAACAAACATCAGGTCCCATCTCCCTTGGGCCTGGTCCCTGCCCCAAGCTCATAGCTAATCCGGTAATTTCCACCTGGGTTTGAACCCTCCAGGCCTCAGACTCACTGCCATTTCAGAGTGGGCTTTGAAGGAGCCAGGTGAGCTGGCATCCTCTCCACCTGCTTGGCAACTCAGCCTCGCAACCTTCCACTGCCCTCTGAGGAGCAACCTTTGGAGCCAGGCTTCCCATTGGAAGAAGTCCCAGTCATAATAGGCTGCATCCGAACCTTTGCTGGGCCTCACCTCTCTCCACCATGGTGCCGACACACACTTGTGGGTGCGTGGGCCTCCCTGTCCATGCTCACTGTGGCATCAGGGACAATGGCAGTCTAGGCCCTCCTTGGAGGCACTTTCTGGAAGCACAAAGCAAGGAGACCAGGAGGACCCCCGACACTCCAGGCAACAGGACATCAGCTCATGGAGTCCAGGGCTGCAGGGACCTTCAAAGTCACTTTTTAATCCTTCTCCCATTTACTTACTCCAAATCCTGGCTGGGCTGTCCTTTCTGATTTGATTAGGATAAGGATGACTGTTCTTCTGTAGAAAGTGAAGTTACATTGATTCCATATCCAGAAAACTTAGCCCGTTGTCCAACTTTTCCCAGTCAAAGAAATGGAAATGGGGAGATGTTACCTCTAGACTCATAGCAACCACTCTTGGAAGTGGTCAGCTCTTTGGGCTGGTGGACATATCCTACAGGAGGGCTCAGTTGTTTTAAGGCAGATTTAATGAATAAACAATGCCCAGCACCTCTGCTCTTATCCAAAAGATCCCTATGGATGATTTTCTGGGATTTCACCCAAGGGGGCTAGGAAGTCACAGGCTCCTTCTGTTATCACATGATGGGGACTGATTATTCTCCTCCTTGGTTCCCAAGTTAATCCCGCCAAAATGTCCAAGTCGTTTTGCAGGTGACTGCGTCTGCAGAAGCCACAGCGCCATGAGTCCTCAACACCCCTCTGGTAACCTTTCCTCCTCTGGAAAAGGACTGTAGTGGCAGGTCACTCATCCAAAATCACATTTCAAAGTTAAGGAAGCTGAAATGTAGACACTTTGAGATGCATCCACGGTCGCATGGTGAATTTAAACAGGACCCTACTGGTCCAAGCTCAAGACCCTGATCAACCAAGTTTTCAGGGGACAAGACCAAGACTGGGATTCTGTCTTGGACTTGAAAAGGCAGGTGTTACAGTCAAGAAGAAGGGAGGGTGAACTGAGAAAATCTCAGCGCATGTCCCTTTATGCCCTAAGCTTCAAATACAATCACAAGATTGTTAAAGGAATAAGGGTATCTTTGTGCTGTTTGGATTTAACGTTCCTTTTTTAGGGAAAACGTTAAAAATAAAATAAAATTCAGATGTCACTTATTTAACTAACCTCTGAGCTATTACATGGAATGAGTTTGTGACCTAAAAATTTGTTTTAAAGGATTCAAACGAACTGCAGGAT
Source organism: Homo sapiens (assembly GCF_000001405.40). NCBI lineage: Eukaryota > Metazoa > Chordata > Mammalia > Primates > Hominidae > Homo > Homo sapiens. The sequence continues at coordinate 128,691,630 of NC_000010.11, read as the reverse complement.
GGGCAATTCTTGAGTAGCAAAAGTCTTAACATTCTGAGCGGAATGCAGTTGTATACACTTTGTAAACAAGTGCCTCAGAAATACCAGTTTTGCACGTTTGCTGTGGCTTTGTAGTTAGGACATTAATTAATGACCAAATAGAGAAATGTCTGTGTGCCCAGCAGATGGTAAACAAGCCCAGGAGAACATTACCATCTGAATTGCAAAGAAGGCTGGCAGCTTCCTGTCCCCACACCCTGCCCAGATCTGCCAGCCTGTTCCTAAGAGCGGTGGCTGTCGCTCACACAGATCCTGAGTGGACTGGAGATGGGCTGCCGGGGGCTGGCATTCTTAGGATCAAGGGCCACAGATCTTTCCATCAGAGTGTGGGAGGAGGCACAGGTCAGTAACTGACACAGGATGCTGAGTTACCGGCTTCTATTTCTCTCTCTCTCTCTCTCTCTCTCTCTCTCTCTCTGTTTAATTATAAAGCTACAGGGAGGATGCTCTGGTGAAGTCTGACCTCTGAGAGCCAGGCTGGCTTTTCTCTCTTTCTGAGCTCAGGGGCATTGCTGCTAATGAGGGTAGAGAAGGCACAGATACGACAGAGGCAATAAATGCCAAGGACCCGCCCACGAGCCATGTGTGGCCTGTGAGCCTCCAACCCTCTGCAGCACCCCATGGCCAGCAGGGTCTCTCCCCCAAAGACAGGGCCAGGGTCACCAGATGCAGGTCATGTGTGTCTTGCCCTGGAAGGTGACCATCTGGGCAATGGGCGGTGCTCAAGAGACAGGGAACCACATTTCTAAGCTCAGCACTACAGGGACGGCTGAATAATGGCTGGAATTAGCAGAATTTATTGGTCTTAAGAAGCCTGTGGAATAATCAGCTTCTGGCTTTGCTGTCAACAAGGTATCCTGAATTGAAGCAAATGTCACTCAACAAAATGTTGAAGGCAAATGGTGATGCAGAAACTTTCTTTTATTCTCAAATGCAGATTTGGTACTTTGATTTATACGTGACCATCCTGTTTACTCTTTAAGCAATTCATTTCACTAAATTAGAAACTGTACAAAATATACACTCACTGCCTACCTGCACTGATATATGAATATAGGTGTGTTTATAAATAGTTCAAGGTGGAGAATCGAAAAACATTAATTGCATAGTTCAAAAATTAGAGACAAACTTGTCTTAGGTGTTTTGAAATCAGTATGCTTAGTTCTTAACTATTTTTAAACTTATTTCTCTTTTCCCCTTCATGTCTTTCTGAGATATAACCTCATAAATACTTATACCTCTGTATTTTATTTCCAAATATTTACTTTCCCTGATTTTTTAACTACAACAACTTCAGAGTTTAAAAATAAACAAGTTGGGGCATAATCAGTGTGCACAAACAATTCATTAATAATTAAAGTCATCAGTCAGTTGGCATGTGTGGTCAGGACCAACAGGGACATACATTTTTTAAGCCCCAAAGCAGAAAAAAGAAACGTAGACATTAGAAATGTCTAGAAATGATGGGGAAAGGGCAGGAGACAGGGCCGTTTGGCAACCATTCTCACTGCTGGAAACCACTGCCACCAGCAGCACTGCCACTGATTACAGAAAACCTCTGGGAGTTTGTTTTGTTTTGATTTGTTGGCTGAAGATGATATTGATGAAAAGTTGTATCTCAAAATGGCCTGTTTATAACATTGATAGTCACTGGTTATAGAAGCTGTACTGCGGAGAGCAAGCCTTTTACCCACATTGTCATAGTCCATCTCCCTCCAGCCGCATGAAGTCTCACTGTCACTCTCACTAAGCCTCTTTTCATTGATGGATGAACTGAGACCTGGAATCAAAAACAAAGTGGAAGACTCCAGTAGGCACCACGTACCTAGAATAATGTCTCTCACTGTTACTTATTGAGCAAATTTAAAAATTAGCATCATGCAGAGATGGCTGAGCCATCCCATGCGGAGATGTGGGCGGGAGAGGCTGCACTGGGCTGGTCAGTTCAGCAGCCTCAAGATAGTCTCATAGAAGCCTGTCCCGCAAAACTGTGAACCCCCTGAGGGCAGGGTGGGTTACTTCTCACCCCACCCTCCACCCTCCAGTACCCCCATCAAGCCTCATAGCAGAGAGCCAGGTAAGCACAGGAGAGTTCTGTCTCAATCTGAAAATCGTTAATCGGCAGATTTGTCTTTTTATCCTGTAACTCAGCGCATGTGTTTTAGCCCCGACTGCTCAAAAAACATGTAAGGATATGGACTCTTTTAGATTCTCATTAGATTGGCTTGCTGATTTATTTTTCTTAAGCACCTTTCTGTGAAAGTTCCCATAAAGTCATAATAAACATGAGACATGTTGACTCAGTGCCTAGAAAGCATCTTCTCTTTTTTCACCTGCCTTATCACATTTGAGCCTCAGAACAGCCCCCTTAGTGGTGGTCTTACCTTCACAGCATATAATTTTTTTGTTTTGTCTAGGAAGTTATGATTACTTCTATTTTTCTGCTGCTTATAATTTTGGTTGTGACTCAAAACAATTTTAATGAAAATGAAAAACAATGTAATTTTTTTTTTTTTTTTTTTTTTTTTTTTTTTTTTGAGACAGAGTCTTGCTTTGTCGCCCAGGCTGCCGTCCAGGGTTGCGATCTCGGCTCACTGCAATCTCCACCTACTGGGTTCAGCGAAACTGCTTCTCAAACTGTGGATCCAGACAAGGTGAAGGACCCTGGTAAACTGAGGACAATGTTTGTAGCAGAACTCCCCAAAACTATCGTCACCGACTCATGACATCACACAGGTAATAATGCAGGAGCACACATGCTCCTCTGGTGGAGAGAACTTTTGGATCTTGTTCACTGCTACCATCCCAGGACTTAACAGGGCGCTTGATAAATGTTTGTTAAATAAATAAACGCACATCACGCATTTCCACCCAGAGTACCCCTACTGGAGTCTCCCTCACCACATCAGCGGGGCTCTGTCCCAGAAATCCCTAGTCCTCTCTTTTTTTTTTTTTTTGAGACGGAGTCTCATACTGTCGCCCAGGCTGGAGGACAATGGCCCAATCTCGGCTCACTGCAACCTCCGCTTCCCAGGTTCAAGTAATTCTCCTGCCTCAGTCTCCTGAGTAGCTAGGATTACAGGCACACACCACCACGCCTGGCTAATTTTTTGTGTGTTTAGTAGACAGGTTCTCACCATGTTGGCCAGGCTGGTCTCCATCTTCTGACCTCGTGATCCGCCCACCTCAGCCTCCCAGAGTGTTGAGATGACAGGCGTAAGCCACCGCGCCCGGCCCCCCAGTCCTCTCTTATGTGTTGACTCCTGCTCGGCACCCGGGATGTGCGGAGTGACTGATGTTGTCAGTGACCTTTCCACTGTGCCCTCCGACTTCCCCACCCAGATGGGAAGTATTTTCAATAGGACGTCTGTTGGCTGAGAAGGATTTCTTTTCCCACCCATTTGAAAGCTATCCACTGTGAAATGTAGCCAGCAACCTGCCACCAGCAATAAATTAAAATCAATGAAATTCCCAGTCTGAGCTTTTGCAAATTTAGGACTGGCCTTCTCTGCGTGGGTGTTATGCTGAGGCCTGATGCAAACCACACTCCTTATCTCTGACTTTTTAGGCGGCCTTCCTTCTGCTACCACTTGCAGGTGAGAGCAGGTGAGCCCTGTGTCTGCATTTATACTTAGTATTTGGTGACAAATCATTTTTATACCATCTGTCATCACTAGAAGAAGCCCTGACATTCTCCCCTCCCTAGGAAGTCCATTGGCAAAAGCTTCATGAACCAAGATGAAGGCAGAATCACAGTTCCAGGAGACAGTTCTCCTAGCGGAAGCTGGGTCTCCAATTCCTGAAGCTTAGAGTAATGACAATACCATCTAATGTATGTGCTTTCAATATACAAAACCCTGTCACATTTACTGCGAGTGCATTTAAGCCTAAAACAACCCACCAAGGAGGATATGAACATTTTATTTACAGCTGAGACAGCTGAGACTCAGAGAAGGGAAGGGCTAGTCCAAGGCTACGTAGTCAGAAGGAGAAGAACTGGAATGTAAACACACACTTGCTGGCTGGAATTTTATTGCAGGGAGACAGAAAGTTTAAGGACAGTTTCTGTCTCTGTTCTCAAACGGCATCTTTCTTTTGTGAAGACTTGGGTATTTGCCTAGGAAACCAAAGGCCTCCCTCTGAGGACCACATTCAGACCTACCCAAGCTTGTCCACAGGCAGGCCCTGTTCTTCTGCTGGGACCCCTCCCCGGGGCAGGGGCTCTCAGGTTGACTGGGGCTCACAGGGCCGCACAAAGCCCCCTTGTGTCATCAGGATCCCCATCTCAGAACTAGAACCTGGTATAGAATAATAACATCACAACAAGACTGACCGAGGACGGGGGAGCCAGCCTAAATTACTCCTCCTCTGTTGGGTGAGCCCCCTGCAGAGACCTTTCCAGCTGCAGACACCAGCCTCACCCAATGGCCACTCTTTCCTGGCAGCCCTCACCCCTGGCTGACCCAAGAGTGCAGAAAGGTTTGGCTGTCCTGGCTCCACTAGGAACAGATCTTGAGGGCGGTTCCAGCTCTGGGACACATGAGGAAGTGGAGCATGGCAGCTTAACCTCTCCCTCCATCCAGTCCTGCCTTCTCCCTGCCCTTCCTTCCACAGGCACTGATGCCCACGCCCACCCTCAGAACTGTCCTCCAAGTCTGCCTCCTGCACCCTAACCGGAGGCACATCTTGAGGCAACGTCACCTTGATGAAGTGTCCTCATCACCCTGGCATCAGCCAGGCGACAGTGTCCCCGCCCCTTGCTTCTGGAATGACAGCAAACTGTCGCCTCCCTCGCGGGGCAGGGTCTGCCTGTCTTCAGTCCCTGGGCTGCCTGGAGAATAATCACTCACTCTCCCTCTCTGCACCTTTTGCTCTGCCAGGCTTGGACATTTATTCAAGCAGGGTTTTATTTTTTCACTTCTGTTTGCCTATGTTAACATCTACATTGAAGCAATGCCTGAGTTATCACCGCAGCTTCCACTTTTGCAGTAAGAAGTTCATCAAATCCTTGCCCCATGGCACCTGGGTGGCCTGACGGCTGGACCTCAAAGGGCAGAAAAATTCCCAGTTCTGCCTGGGAGAGAACCACACTCTCCCAATGCGGGGAAGACGGAGTCATGCCCCATTCCCCCACGCTGAAGGAAGAGCCAGGATCCTTGATGACACCAGTAAAACCTAGCTTCCAGTTCTGCTTGGTGGAAAGCCAGGTAATTCAAGAGGGAAAGCACAACTGGAATTCGGGGGCTGATTTCCGAGTTCTCTGCCCACACACCCTCGGCTCCAGCCCTGAGCCCAGGCCCGGATGCAGTTGCTTCCCCTGCCCCGTCACGCACTGTGTGTGGCTTTTGGACAATCAAGGGGAGCTAGGAAGGAGCTTCTGGACGTACTCAGAACAAGTGGATGCCGGGGTGCCCACAGCACAGAAAGAAAAAGCAAAACAAAACAATGCAGTGTTTGGCCCTTTGCTATCATTTCATCACAGCATCCCCCATCGCCACTTCTCCATGGTCTCACTTTATGCTGTTTAGGTTACCTGCGGTCACCCTCGGTTCAAGAATAAGTGAGTACAGCACAATAAGACATTTTGAGAGACAGAGGAACCATATTCTCATAACTTTTATTACAGTATATTGTTACGACTGTTTTGTTTTATTATTAGTTATTGTTGTTCATCTCACAGTACCTAATTTATGAATTAAACCTCATCATAGTCATGTATATACAGAAATAAAAACGTAGTATATACAGGGTTCAGTCCTATCCAAGGTTTCAGACATCCGCTGGAGGTCTTGGAGCACAACCCTGAGGATGAGGGGGGACAGCTGTAATTGTAACTGCATTTGCCCTCTGCCAATCAGCTCTAGTTCTATATTTGTTTACAAATTAGATAACAGGGAAGATACATAAAGCCATAAGAAGGGCCTTACAGCAGGGAAAATGGTGAATAACAACCAAAAAAGCTTAGCTAAATTATGAAGGTAAAGGCTAAAGGCAGGACTTCGCCAGAGTTGTTGGCCTGCAAAAAAAGACACTGCTCATCAGTGAAACACATTCCAGGGCTGGCCTTCCAGGGACTCTGTGCTGATGCAGGTGTGCCCACAAAGAATACTACCTGGTGATGTTCCAGAATCCTGATCTGGGCTGGCAGGATGGCTCACGCCTGTAATCCCAGTACTTTGGGAGGCCGAGGTGGGCAGATCGCCTGAGGTCAGGAGTTCGAGACCAGCCCAGCCAATATGGTGAGCCCTCCTCTCTACTACAAATAAAAAAAATTAGCTGGGTGTGGTGGCATGTGCATGTAGTCCTAGCTACTCAGGAGGCTGAGGCAGGAGAATCACTTGAACCAGGGAGGCGGAGGTTGCAGTGAGCTGAGATCACGCCACTGCACTCCAGCCTGGACAAGAGAGCGAGACCCTGTCTCAAAATAATGATGATGATAATAATAATAATAATAATAATTCTGATCTGTCATAAATCTTGTCTTTTCCTTAAAGAGCATGAAAAAAATGTTTCCCATGCTAGATGGAAATTGCAAACTCTTTCGCTGAAAATAATCAATGCAACGCAATTTCCCGTTTCCACCACCTGGTCTTGGAAGACAGGGACACTGAGATATCCCAGCTGGGAGGACGGTGCTGAGAGAATTGTGCAAGCAGAGACTAGTGTCAGCCTTTGCTTGGAACAGCTCCATTGCATTTTTATGATATAGTTTAAAGGGAGCTGGTGGGTACAATTGATTCTTGTCCTCACATTTTACATCAAAGAACCTCCATTGGCAGTTCAGGTCACCGAAATCACAAATGCAGTGGATTTAATGGCCCAAGTTTGGTCTCCAGTGATGAGCATCATAGTTACACAATTGCAATCTTCTGGCAGGTTTTTGTTGATAATAAGTTTGAACTAATCTACTTTTAGAGAAGGCAGGAGATGGACCCACTGAAGAGACAAGCAGCGAAGTCCAGCCCCATTCACTGTGCAGTCTCCTGCAAGGTTAATGCAGAGATACCTGCATGAAAACCGCTTTGCCCCACATTAAAAGCAGCTTATCCTTGGGGCTCCCCTTACCACTGCTTCAGCTGCAGGTCTTTGCTTAAAGACTTACAGGCAAAGCACTTACAGTTCCCAATCCAGTGACATTTGCAGCTTACTATAATTTATTGAATATCGTCCAAAGAGCAAACACAAGGTTTATCCTGGTGGCGTTTTAGTTGGGTTGTAAATGTTTGCCAGTTACCAAGAATAGAAAGAAAGGGTGAGACAGGGACACAGAAAGAGACTGAAAGAGAGAGGGAGGGAGAGATGCAGAGAAGTGAAGATACAGAAAGAGAAACAGAGAGGGTTCAGCTCCCAAGATTGTGCCGAACACGATGATGATGCCACAGCTGGAGTTTTCATAACTTGGATTTGCTTCACATTCAGCCTCAGCTCCCTTTGCCCACTCGAGTCTCAGCCATCGACACTGGCGCATCTGCTAAGTTGCCTTGGTAGCCTCCTTGTTCCTCCCTGACCGGGCTCACCTGGAAGCCTGCCTCAGAGAGGGACTTGTTTCTACACCCGGGAGGGAGAGGACAGGAATGTTCTGCTCTTTCCTTTCCATAGCCAGAAGATTCTACAAGGAATAATAATTCTTGAGAAGGGGGATGAGGGAGGCAAATGGAGGTTATCTCAATTTATAAACAAGATAAATTATTTGATAAAGTTAAAAAGAAACAGCCAGATGTTCAACATCATTAGCCACTAGGGAGAATCGAATTAAAACCACAATGAGATATCACTATGTACCTGTGAGAATGGCTAAAGCCATAGAGACCGAGAGTCTCGAGCTGCTGATTCTGCCCTGCTTGTGTTCCCTGAAGTCAATTTAGAGAACTGCAACCAGCACTTTATACAAAATGAAATTAATTGAATAAAATATGAATATTAGAGAACTTATCTTAGAGGCAAGTAGAGTTCTGTGAAATGTTTCTTGATGAGATGTGTGTGTTTGTGTATGTGCACGCGTGTACATACGCATATGTATGCACTGTGGATAGTGACATCAAAAAGATTAAAATTAAGTAAAAGGTATGTTTCTGAATATATAACTGTATTTAATAAGCAGATTAATGACTTCTCTCACATTTTAAATTTACTCAGCTCTACTCTAAATTTAAATACACCAAGACCCAATATGCCCATGCTAGCATATTAAATATGGAGTTTGAAGATTCTTGTGAAAGTTAAATGTGGTGATGTTTATAGAAGTACTCTGTAAACTATAAAGCTTGCCCAGATGCAAGGGATTCTGCTGCTGATACTCTTGGAAAACTGAGAATGTTCTAAAGGGCAGCATTTTTAAGCGCCTCAGCATTTTGTCAGTTTTAGGCCTAAGAATTAGGCAAAGTGTCCCAGAGAGACCGTTCAAAGGCTAAGTTCTAACTTCCTGTCCTGTTAGAGTGCTCTGCTCGGCCACCAGCTGATTTTTCTCTTTGCTTTGAAGATCAATCTTGTGGTCAAAGTAGAGTCACAGTTTCCCAGACTATTTCTCTTGCTACAAGCTGATCCTGTGCTGCATGAATTACCAGGCTTGCTCCAGGAGGGGTTGGGGGCTTAAATTTGCATCATCATTCTTCGTTGCCTGCACAGCATCAGCCAGTGGGCATTGGGGTCAAGTGCACAATGCCAGCCACAGGTGGACATCATGCCTGATCAGATGAAGTCCCACCCTCAGCCCTTGTGCTGGCTGCATCGTGGCAGGTTAGGAGATGATGGTTCCCCCCGGGGACTCTGGTCAGAGGCTCCTTGGCAGGTGCCTGGCTGTCTGCAGAGACTTCAGGGTATCTGATCTGACAGTCCTGGCAGCCCATACTTGTCTGGCACTCTGAGAAGCTGCATTTCCACCTCCCTCCCAGGCTGCCAGAGGGGAAGATGGTGATGCTTCTCCCATTTGACAGATGGGAAGACTAAGACTCAGGGAGGCTGAAATAGTTCCTTACCTCACAAAACACATAGATGGCTAAGTTTAAATTAAAAACTGGGTATTGTATTCCCCACATCTTAGTCCAGTTCTACACCACCAATGATTGTAACACATTGCTCATCTGTAAATGTCATCTAGAGCTCCAGGTAAACAAAGGATATTGGTTTATCCACCTGTGGACTGATGGCTTTTGGATACTAAAAGCATAAATGCACCATATGTCCCAGACATCTTAAGAAAGCTAAGCATCTAATTTCCTGTTGTTCTCAAAAGACTCTAGGTTCGTGTCTATTATTTTGTTCATAGATGGCATCCTAAGGCAATAGATAAGGCTTATGCTAAACCCCTTTTAAAACTACAAAAAATAAGGCATGAAGAAAGTGACTTATTTAAGATCATGGGGCAAATTACCCAGTGCCATGACCCAGACTGCTGTTCTGCCATCGACCTGGGCAAGAAGGGCTCAGAGAGGGCTGTGGATACTGTTCAGATCTGAACCAAACAACTGGGCTTGCCCACGGCTCCACTGAGATTGGTTTTAACGTCTCCTTTGAGCCTAATGAGTACATTCTTAGTAAAGTAAAACACTCAAATACTTTCACGAATTATATCTTACAAAATGTGCCATGTCCCAGTTCCGGATGTGCAAAAACTGTAAGGCCTATTTAATATTCTCTGGCTTCTGATTCTACCAATAATATGTCGATGAATGAGAGGCATACAATCAAATCGATGTTTTTTAAAGTTTTAGGTAACTCACTGGCCAACAACACAGGAGTTCCTGTCATATACTCATGCAATATGTGGATCCCCAACAGCCTTCCAACCCGTATGTGTGTTAAGAGCACAGGTGTCTCTGAGTTTTATGAGGAAGGAGCACAGCACTGAGCTGAGAGGTGTCTCTATAGCTAACATTTCCTGGGCATGTCCCGAGCACCTACTGCTGGGTGCGCCCTAGTTTTTTCCCGGTAAATTCACACTGCATGGCCCCTCTTGGCTTGCTAATGAAGCACAAGGTTGTTACAGCGTTTGTGTATTTTGGGGGATGAGCATATTTTTTGCTGACCATAGTCCCATCTGAATAATATCTAATAATAGTATGGGAAGGTCTAATAATAGTATGGGAAGAGGTTTTCCCAGGAAGCAACTATAAGATGCTCTGGCTCTTTGCCATGCAAAATGGATCTGGCTTCTCTGATGTGAGTAAACTCGTTTCAACCCAGAAGTCCTTTTGCACAATAACGTCTCCCTATAGCGGATTAAATGTAAGAAGATGAAATCAACACTCATTCACTTTTCATGTTTATCCATTTTGGATCCAAGGCTTCATTGGAAGAAAACTCGGTGAATCGTGGCCCCCCACAGAGTTTAATCGAGACCACGACAACGTGTGGTACCTTAGAGCCTTGGAGACCATCGGATGCTCACTCTGAAGAGGGGACAGAGTGCACAGAAGGACCACCCCCCTCAACCCCACCCAGTGCCTGTGCCCCAGTTCTCATGCAGGACAAAGGGTGCTCAGAGTGGCAGGCATTGCAGATTTTGTCCACTACTGGCAGCCATGTGCCCTAATTCCATAGAACCCCAAAGACCAGACAGTTGTAAGGGCCACCTGGGCGCTCCCGGCCTCCTGGGCAGCAATTCATCATCTGACACTCACCCTTGATCTGTGTTTTCCAAACTTCACAACAAAACTTCAAGAAAAAAAACTATTAGCTGCAAATTAGATATTCTGGTGGAAGCCTAGAATTATTTTTCAGGACAGAGGGCTCAATTTCCCGCTCTCAGGTGTATGATTAAAATCAATTAAATCACTCTTCCAATGTCAGCCGCAAGATTCTCCTGACAAATGAAATTATGCGAGGAAAGTGTTCTCTTCCCTCTTCAGCCCCTTCTCAGCCTCCCTCTCACCGCAGAGGAGATCAAAATGCTCAGCTCGGGGATTTCCGAGATATTTTCCATAAGAACAGGAGCAATCCTGGGACCCTTATGTAAGTAGATGAGGAGGTCTCTGGTGGCCAGATTTGATGGCCTCTGTACGTGGAGATAGACTCACAACTAACGAACAGGAAATGCTACTACAGGAAATTTAACCGTTTGGGGGCTGAACCAGGCTTCTTTACATAAATTAATGTTTTCTTGGCAGGTAAATGAATGAGCCCTTCAAATTCGGACGTAACCTTTTTGCATGTCTCTTTTTACACGTAAGACAACCCTCCATGTGTTTTTCCTTCTGAGAAAGCTCTGTCTTATCAGCCCGGAGAGGTCTTAGTGGATTTAAAACCAACAGAGGAGCTCACTGATGCCTTCTCATCCTTCCAGAGCGTGTGCAGGGTTAGCACAAAGCAGCCAGCGCTGGCCTTGAAGAATCATGCCGGGGAGCTCTTTTCAAGGGAAAATGGAAAGCAATACATTCCCATGAAAATGAGTAGTTGCAGGACAAAGCTTTCTCATGGGCAGAGGTGCTCACATGTGGCTCTGTGCTACCTTCGGCAAATTATTTACCTGTTAATTGGTTAAAACATAAGGGCTTGGGTGTGACTTTTGCCCAAGAGACATTTGTCAATATCATACGCTCGTTTGGTTTGACTTTTTCCCCTACTGAGGATTGAACCAATGTTGGCTGCATTTCGGAAGTGTCCCTTCCTTCCTCTCTGCCTCCAGTCCTCCATTCCTGCCCCAACTCATTGTTGCCAGTCACTCTGTGTGATGTCCTTTGTTCCCCTTTCAAGTCCAGGACATCACAGTGAAGGAGGAGGCTTTTAGCTAGACATGCCAAATCTTCCACAACCCCAGCCGGAGGGCTCCCACTCAGGGCCCCTGGGCTGGCTCTGCCACCTGGAGCCCAGGAGCACCTCTCTCTCCTCCAGTCTGAGTTCAGTCCTCCTTCACACCACTGCTACCCCAGAGATGTTCCAAAAATGCTCAGACTTCATGCCACTCCCTATTTAACTTCATCAGTGTTTCCAGGGCTTTCTGAGGGGAAGCCCAAACTTTGCAGTGTCACCTGCAAGGCCGACCTTACTGGCCCCTGCTCTTTGCCCAATCTCATCTGCAACCCTCCCCCAACACACCAGCGGACTGGCCACACTGCACTTATACACACCCCAAAAGTCTACTGCTGCTCTCAACTGGGTCCTTTGCAATGACCATTCTCTCTGAATGCCCAGCCTCTGGTCCACCATGATAACTCTTGGCCTTTGTTCAAGTAGAAATTAGTGTGTAGAGTTGTGGCTAAGAGGGCAGACTCAGTGTAAGCCTGGAGGTGACTCCTGCTCTAAAACTCACTGGCTGTGACCTTGGATGTGTCACATAGGAGGACACAACCTCCCTAAGACCCTGTCTCTTCCACATCATGGCAAGGAAGGCATGCCTACCTACACAGTTGACACAAAGTTGAAATGAGCACATGGGCTGGGGGGTCAGCACAGAGCCCACTGTGGTACAACTGCCCACCAAGGGCTGCTGAAGCCTCAGCAGGCTGCACCCTCCACAATCCCCTCCCAGATGCCCCAGGCGCTTGGGCACACCCTTCTCCATGCTTGTTGGTTTCAGAGCTCTATTGCATGCTTATCTAGTCTGGAGGCTGCTGGAGGGCAGGGGGCTTTGCTGCACACATATTTCTGATTGTTATGGTATTGAACAGTGCCTGCTACCTGGCTAATGCTGATACAAGCTTCCTATTTCGGGAAATGAATAAATGAACACTGCATTTTCTGAAACTTTCAAACTTTGAATGTGAAATCAGAATTGTCAAATATCCTACAGATTTCCCCACTTGATCTGAAGGTTGTCAGAGCATTTCCTCCAGCAAAAGCCAGAGCCAATGGCATTCGCAAATGAGACTCAAGTCCTCACTCCACACTGCAGCTCTCTACAGAAGTCCCTTCTGCAGCAGAGGGGGGCACTGGCCTTGGCTGGACAAAGTCAGAGGAGCCAGTGGTACCAGGGATGACCACCTACCCCACCCCCAGTCCACCCATGAACAAAGTCCTCTGCCTCCTTCTCCAAAATATGTTCCCAATCTACCCCTCCTAGCTGCCTCCACACAAGCCCCCATACATCAAGAATGCATCACATCAAGTGCCCAGCCAGCTTCCTGCCTCTATTCTTCCCGGTCCTGCACCTGCAAGCGTCTCCCTGCAGCCTCCCTCCCTGCCTAAGTAGCTGTCATCGCTCTCCCAATAAAACCCAAATGCCTTACCCTGACTCACAAAACTGTCTGATCAACAGTGAATTTGAGCATCTTTTCAACTTCTTGTATGCACATTTGTGTATTTTCTACTGTGAATGCCCTTTTTACGTACAGAAGGCTCATCTCATTTTTCTATTTGCAATTTTGTAGATTTTAAAACAAATCTTTAAAATATCTTTAGCATTCATGTTGTCAAGACCTTCTTGATCGTCTGCCTTCAGCCTTTCCATATTGTCAAAAATCTTTGGGTTTTTAATTTTTATATAGTTACACCTTTTATTTTTTTTCAATTTGTTTTCTGCCATTAGCTAAATATTTAGAAAGTCATCAGATGACTTAAGATTATGAAAATATTTTCTGGACAATGCTTTTACAGTTTCACTGTTAATGATGTTACATACATATACGTTAACTTTAGGTAACTAGTTTTCATAACAGCATTATTAAATGAACGATCCATTACCTGTTGATTTCTTTGTCCTTTCACAATTTTATATTTATCTCCGTCTTTAGCATTTTCATTCTAATCCATTGATCTACCTGTTCTTTCTAACCCTGCACCATTGTATCCTGATAATAGGTTTCAATAACCTACACTAACGGTACCTCTCTTTCAAATGTTTCTGTATAATTCTTGTATGTCTATCCTAGAGAGTGAATTTCAGAACAGTTTTGTTTAGTTCCCCTCTCCCCTAAAACAACTTTCTTAGAAAAGAATATTACTCAACAATAAAAAAGAATATAATATTGATACACACTACAACAAGGTTAAATCTCAGAATAATTATCCTGGGTAAAAGAAGGAAGAAAAACAGAGTATACTGTATGATTTCATTTATAAAAAATTTAGGAGATGGAAATTAATATGTAGCTACAGAAAGCAGATGAGTGTTTGTTGGTGGATAAGGATGGGGAGTCAGGGAGGAGTGAGAGAAATTTTCAAAGGGGCACCAGAGAATTTTGGAAGGTGAGGCGTATATGTCTTGAGTGTGGCATGGACATACATGGAAACTTACCAAACTGCACGATTTAAATATGAGCAGTTTATTGTATTTCAAGGATACTGCACCAAAGCTCTTAAAAGAGATTGTGGACTTAGGAAAAAAATCACATTCCCCAAATTGACATCTTAACAATAATGAGCCTCCCCATGCGGGGCTTCCATCTTTGCTCTCGCTGGCTCAAGTGTCATTTTCATGATCATCTTTGTACTTTCTCCATAAAGGCCTTGGATCTTTCTTGTGAACTCTATTCCATAGCACTATATTTTTTTGTGATTATAAATAGATTAATTTTACATTTTGTTTTCTACTGACTATTGCAGATTCCTAAGGAACTGCATTTCTAAGTTTTGATTTTCACTCCATGCATAAGCTCGTTTCTTTCTTTCTTTCTTTTTTTTTTTTTTTTCAGACGGAGTCTCGCTCTGTCGCCCAGGCTGGAGTGCAGTGGCGGGATCTCGGCTCACTGCAAGCTCCGCCTCCCGGGTTCACGCCATTCTCCTGCCTCAGCCTCCCGCTTAGCTGGGACTACAGGCGCCCGCCACTACGCCCTGCTAATTTTTTGTATTTTTAGTAGAGATGGGGTTTCACCGTGTAATCCAGGATGGTCTCCATCTCCTGACCTCGTGATAGCCCGCCTCAGCCTCCCAAAGTGCTGGGATTACAGGCGTGAGCCACCGCGCCCAGCCGCATAAGCTCCTTTTTGAAAAAACAAAATGAATAAACATAAAGAAGAAAATCTTACCACTGGGTTTTATAACCTGAAGCTATTGATTTTGAAATGCTTATTTTATAACTGATCATCTTATTGAACATACTTATTATTTTTAATTTTATTCCAGTAAATGATCTTTCTTTTCGGGAGGGGGAGACTATTTGTGAACAGCCGTGCTATGCAAATAATGGTCACTTTTCCTCCTCCTTTCAAGAGGTTACATCTTCCAGATCTACAATAAAATATCTTTTTTTATCTTTTATCTTTTATTTCGTTCTATGGCAATGAGCAGAATTTTCTGAACATGTTGAATGTAAGTGGAGGAAATAGACATCTTTATCCTGTTCCTAATTGTAATAGAAATGACTCAAATCTTTCACATCACATACTTTACCAATTAGTGATTTAAGATGGTCTTAAGTATTGAGAAATGTCACTTTCAATCTTGCCATGTTGAGATGACATTGAGATTAGATGCTGACATTTTTTTCTGATATATTTTAGACATCTTCCTTAAAAGATTCTAATTTAATCTGTTGATGTGGTAAGTTATGTTTACACATAATGTAGCAGGAATAAATCCTACTAGTGTATTACTATTGTTCTATTCGTACAGTATTGGAAAGCATTCCTACTCTATATGTGTATTATTATTATATTAGTATGTTTAATTTGATTTGTTGTCATATTTTTGTACTCATAGTCAAAGGTAAAAGCGGTCGATACTTTATTTTCATGTGTGTATGTGCCCGTGTGTGTGTCTTTTTGAGCTCAGAGATTGCAGTTTATTCTAATCTTATAAAATGAATTCAGAAGTTGCCCAATTCTTCTAAGATCTGAGATATTTTAGGTAGCATGAGCATGAGTGACGTCCATAGAATTTAATGTCTGGTACAGGAAGGGCTCAGAGGCTGGCTTAGCAGGAGGTGGGTCCCTGACTGCTAGATTGTGGGGAAAGCCCAGGGCTCCAAGCAGTGGGGAGGCACTGAGGGTGTCAAGCTGGGGTTTTTACCAAGTGGCAGGAAGTGTTTTAACAACAGTTATACAGGCTGAACGTGAACCCTGACAATGGAGCTTCCCTATCCTCCGACCCTTTGTCATGACATCACCAAGAGCCAGGCAGTGACTTCAGCAGCGCATGCAGATTTTCCTCTTTAGAGCTCACTGCACACTGCAGGCAGGTGCAAGCACGTGGGGAAGATAGAAGGTATGACACGTTCTCAAGACACCGTCAATACAATAATTGGGATGGAGATCATTTTTTTTTCCATCTCTTCCATCATTTGGGGGCTATTTGGTTTTTGTTACTTCATATTTTTAAAAATACATTTATTTCACAGAGATTTTTGAAATTCTCTGGCATAGATCTGTACATGACAGCCTTTTACAATTTATTAAAGTGGCCATGGTTCCTATTAACTTATATTTCTTTACTATACTACATAGGGTTTTGTCTATTTTATGAGGTTTTTTTCTAAATGTTTATGACACCAGCTCTTTGACTTATCAGTTCTTTTTGGTTTTTTGTTTGTTTGTTTTGTTTTCGAGACAGAGTCTCTCTTTGTCACCCAGGCTGGAGTGCAGTGGTGCGATCTCGGCTCACTGCAACCTCCAACTCCTAGGTTCAAGCTATTCTCCTGCTTCAGCCTCCCGAGTAGCTGGGATTACAGGCATGCACCACCACTCCTAGCTAATTTTTTTTTTTTTTTGTATTTTTAGTAGAGATGAGGTTTCACCACGTTGGCCAGGTTGGTCTCAAACTCCTGACCTCAAGTGATCCGCCCGCCTTGGCCTCCCAAATTGCTGGGATTACAGGCATGAGCCACAGTGCCTGGCTTATTTTTAAATTATTAATATCTACTCTTTTAAATTATTTTTGTGATTTTGATTCTAAAGCATTTTAAGCATATAGTATGGTGCTGAGAATAATATAACAAAGGCCCACTAAAGTGCCACACAGATATTGAGAAAGGCAGGTTTTTGCCATATTTACTTCCAATCTCAACTGTTCATAAAATAACCCTTCCAGACACAGTTGAAGCCACCATCACCATCACTATCCACCTCCCTCACCCCAAGGGTAACTGTACCCTTGAAAGCATTGGGTGTCCATCCACCCTGGGCAGATACCTATATGTACATGTGCATATGTAGCCATAAACAATAACTATAGTTTGTTTTTGAAGTCTGTATAAATGGCAAAAACCCTATAGATTCTCTTATCAATTTGTTTTTCACTTAGCATTATGAATTCAAATTTTACACATGTAACTTTAGTTCATTTTAACAGATATTATTCTATTATATAACTTCATAATAGTTAATTCATCCATTCTTCCATGGAGGGTATTGACATTAGTTCCAATTTTTAGTACAGGGGAATAGTGATCCAATTAATATTCTTATCAAAGTGTCCTTATCTGTGGAGTGAGGAATTCTTTAGGATGTGTGCCAAGGAGTAGAATTGCTGGGCCGAAGAGCAACGGATCTTCAATGCATGGACACTGCCCGACTGTGCGACAGTTCATGCCACCCTCCATCTGCAGAAATTCTTAGACAGAGGGTGGCCACATCATTTATTGTCCAAGCCAGAACACTCTGGACAGGGAAAGTGATGTCTGTGGACATTTATGCCTGACAAGAAGCAGAAACCTGAGGGGTTCGAGTTGAGCCAGCACACGTGGCAGCCATGGCCCCAGTCGCCATGTCTCTGTGTCTGCACAAACACTATCCCTAGAGGCTTTCATTCTCCCATGTCAGGTGCAGGACAGTATCTCTCTGTTCCATCAATTTGTATTTCCTTGATGACTGGTGAGTTTGGACGATGTTCTCTCATTCCATGGCAACCCGGGGCTCACTCACTGAATGCCCAGTCATGCTCTCAGTCCTGGGACACAGAAGTGAATCAGGGAGCTAGGGAGCCTAAGTAATCTATCCCCCCGGAGCTCACCTCGACTGGAGGAGATTTTATCATTTCTTCTCAGTCTGTTATCATCCAACTTCAGGCATCATGAAGAGAAATTATGCTGGATTGGGGGACAGAGGTGATGGTGTCAGGGCCCCATTGGGTAGCTTAGGGACCTGTGCCAGGCCTCTCAGAGGAAGCCTGTGTGAGGTGGGAGTCCAGGGAGAAGCATTTCAGTCTCTGGGGCCTGGAAGAGATTTAGGTGTCTGAGGAAAGTGGTAGGAAGCGATTTGGAACAGGAAGTCAGGGGCCAGGCCATATAGAATCTTAGCCATGGTGAGAAATGTTTTTTTCCCCCAAGGGTGACTGGAAAAATTGAGGGGTTTTAAAAAGAGAAGTGAGCCACACCATATATAGGTTTTTATAGTGCTCTGGGGATAGATGGAAAAAGGGAGGCCAAGCGAGAAGTTCATGAGTCCTGGAGGGAGGGGGCTGCGGATCGGTCTCAGCTATAGCTGGAAGTTGAGTTGAGAGAACTCGTTCTATTC
This sequence comes from Homo sapiens, assembly GCF_000001405.40. Taxonomy (NCBI): domain Eukaryota; kingdom Metazoa; phylum Chordata; class Mammalia; order Primates; family Hominidae; genus Homo; species Homo sapiens. Next base: position 128,673,268 of record NC_000010.11, on the reverse strand, counting down.
GGATTATGCTGTAGAAGTTAAACCAACAGGATATGCTGGAGGATTCCATGCGGAATGTGAAGCAAACAGCAGAATCAAGAATGACTATTATTAGATTTTTGACGTGAGCAACTGGGCAAAGTTCTTCTCCTGTGAATTGTCTGAGCATGGTCTTTGCTTGTTTTTCTCATGAGATTTTAAACATTTTCTTATGAATTTGGCAAGTTTCTCTATTGGTATTTCATAGTCATCATTTGCCAGTTATAAACTTATAGATAATTTCTTGTCTGTGAGGTATTTTTTCACCTTATAGGAGGAAAATTTATGGCTTGGAATTTTTATGTTTTGTTGGACACTGTTAGAAGAAAATAGATGTAAATCTTCAAAGTATTGGGTTTGTTCTTCACATGTCAGTCTGGAATTCAACCAGAATTTAGGTGCATGTAAGATACAATGTTGGAATTTAGGTCCATGCAAGATACAATGTTAGCATCAAATTTTATTTTTTCTATGAGAATAACCATGAGTTCTAGTACTATTTATTTAAAACCATCATTTCTCCCAATCTTAATGCCACTACTGTCATGTATTATATACTAAATGGTAGTCAAGTACATAGTTAATTTCACAGACTTTTGATCTTGTTCCATTATTCTATTTTTCTATCACTGTAAAAATAATAAGTCCTTGGATCTGGTAGATATTCCCACCTAATACTTTCTCAACATTTTCTCGGCCCTTGACAAACTGGTCAAAAATTCTTATGGACTGTAAGTTTCTAGGGAAAACCACTCTTGGCATTTATATTGAAATTGAATTAATTTTTGATTAACTAGGGGTAATAATCATCGTTCTGGTACTTAGTCTTTCTTCTATGAACTTTGTATCTGCTCATTTATTTAGACCTAAATTCTATAATTCTATAATATTGTTTCTAATTTTCTCCATAAATGTCCTACATACCTTATATTTAAATTTAGGTCATGTACAGATGTTGTTGCCATCTCATAAAAAGCATCTAATTTTATCTTATTTATAATTACTTGTTACAGGAATATGGAAATGACATGAGCAACTGGGCAAGGTTCTTCTGTGAATTGTCTAAGCATAATCTTTGCCTGTTTTTCCCATGAGATTTTAACCAGTTTCTTGTGAATTTGGCAAGATTCTCTATTGGTATTTATTGATTTATTTGGAGTATAAAATTTTGATTCTTGTAAACTTCTGGTATCTTGTATTATAAGTTCTAATAATGTCTTTAATTTCTAAGCTGACAATCATATCCACGGTGATTAATGGAGACATTTGTTTCTTCCTTTTGAATTCTCATAACTTTCTCGCCTTTTCCTCCTCCTCACCTTTCCCCACTCTCTCTCTGTCTCTCCTCCTACTGTATTGTCTGGGGTCTTCACAATGAAGGCTTCTATATCTTATTCCTGCTTTCCTAATCTGAAATGATCTGCTTCCAGTGGATTTTACTCTAAGCACAACATTTGCTGTAAAATTTTTTGGTAGTTAGGTTAAATAAATGTATCTTCATAGTTTTTTCATTAAAATATATGTTGGACTATATTAATTTTTTTCAGAATGTAGGGAGGGAGTTTATCCCAGAGCTTTTCTCCTCTAATGTGTTAATTTGACAAACAACCTTATAGTTTTTTTAGCATTAAATCATCTTTACACTTACATGATTAAAGCCTTATTAAATCATAATGAGCTTTAAAGAAACATATCTGGAAATTTCACGGCTAATATTTTATTTAGGATTTTAAAATCTGTTTATAAGGAAGCAAGATCTCAGCTTTCCCTTCATTGTGTCATTCTTGATCTACATTTGGTATCAGTTAAATGCTAGCTTCCTAAAAGGAGCCATGAGTGCTCCTCTCCTATTTGTTATCTGAGATGGTTTATATGAGGTACAAATGAGATTTTACTTGAAATTTGGGGTAAAACTAAAATTCACTTGCAAAAACACCTGGGCCAAATCATGTGTTTTGGGGCAGATTTTTAATGTGTTATTTAAATAATTCAGTGATTATAGATCAATTCAGTGTTTCTATTTCTCCTATGTCCATTTTGAGGATTTTTATTTTTCTATAAAACTATTTGTTATTTCTGTTTCCTAATGTATTGGCATAAAGTTTCCAAAACATGAGTAACCACTTTGTGTTTTTTGTTGTGATACATATCATAAATACCAAAATTTGCATAAAACAGAAAGGTAGAATTCAGAAAGCCACATAACTATCACCAGGTCTTCAAAAACTTCCTGTGCTACTATATACTAAAGTATATAGTAGAGACTTAGGTGTTTTTGAACTTTAATAAGTGGAATTGTGCTTTATGTATTCTCTTGCATATCTTCTGCTCAACATTGTTTGAAAAATTAATCTGAGTTATTGTAGATGTCACTTGCAAATTTTCACTGAGGAGTACTATTCCATTATATGCATATATCATAATTTATTCATCCATTTTACTACTGATGAACATTTGGATTATATTCAGTGTTTGCCAATTACCAATAATGTTGCATAAACAGTCTTGCAAGCATCTCCAGACCTAGAGCACATTGTTGCATGTTAGGAAATGCATATCTTCATCTATATGAGATGATGCAGAAAATATTTTTCAAAGTGGTTCTACCTATTTACACTCCCACCCACAGTGTATGAAACGTTTCATTGCTTCACATAATTTGGTATTGCAGACTTCTTAACTATTGTCAACCTGATGTATGTGAACAGGAATTTCATTATGATTTTAATTTGCATTTCCATAACTACTAATAAATTTGAGGGTCTTGGCATATTTTATTAGCCATGTAGAAAGTCTTTTGCCTACATTTCTGTTAGATGATCTACTTCTGCCTTATTGATCAGGAGGGGTTCTTCATGTTTTACAGATAGTAGAACTTGTTGATTATACCTGTTACATACACATTTCCATTTTGGGTTTAATCTTTTCATTTTCCTTATGGTACTTTTTGATGAGTAGAAGTTATTATTTTTAATGTTGAAAAACCTGTCAAACACATTTATGGTTAGCGCTTTTTGTGTCTGTTTTAAGAAAACTTCTCGGCCAGGCGCGGTGGCTCATGCCTATGATCCCAGCACTTTGGGAGGCCAAGGCAGGCAGATCATGAGGTCAGAAGTTCGAGACCAGCCTGGCCAACATGGTGAAACCCTCTCTCTCCTAAAAATACAAAAACTAGCTGGGTGTGGTGGCATGCGCCTGTAGTACCAACTACTCGGGAGGCTCAGGTAAGAGAATTGCTTGAACCCAGGAGGTGGAGGTTGCAGTGAGCCAAGATCATGCCGCTGTACTCTAGCCTGGGGGACAGAGCAAGACTCCATCTTGGAAAAAAATAAAAAAGAAAGAAACTTTCTCTATCCTGAGATTCTGAAGATCTTATCTTCTATTATCATCTATGTCCTTTGTTATCATTTTATTATCATCTAATAGCTTTAGACTTTGCTTTTTATAATTGACACCTGGGATTGATTTTTGTGCAGGGCAAAAGTAGATATACCACCCTATTTTGGAATATGTTTGCCCAGCCGGCTCAGCACCATTCAGAGAAAAGATGTGGATTCCCCACTGCTCTGCTGGGTCATATTTGTGATGTACCAGCCTGTGTATTAGTTAGCTCTGGGCTGTCTCTTTTTTCCTGTGCCCATAAGACAATGTCTTATTTATTATGGCTTCATAATAAATACTGGTATTTCAGAAAGCAAAAACAACTTTCTTATGACTGTGAATGACATTGATTTATATATAATGTTTAAACAACTTTCCTGTTATAAAACACATTTTGTATATTTTTGAATTTGATAGGGAGCATTTTGTTTAGCATTTTTGCATCTTTATTCATGATAGATATAGGTCTGTAGTTTTCTTCCTTTGTAATGTCATTTTCTGTTCTTGGTGTCAATGTTATGCACATCCTGTAAAATAATTTGAGAAGTATTTATTCTTCCTCTATTTTCTGAAGAAATTTGTATAACATTTATATTATTTATTCCTTACCTGTTTTATACAATTTGCCAGTGAAGCCTTCTAGACCTGGCGCTTTCTTTGTGAGAAGGTATTCAATTACAAATTCAATGTCTTTAATACATATAGGATTATATTTATTTTCTGTTTCTTCTTGAGTCACTTTTCATAATTTGTATCTTTTGAGAAATTTGTCCATTTTAACTAAGTTGTCAAATTTATTACTATAAAGTTGTTCAGATTTTCACCTGTAATTTTTTTATATGTGTAGGATTCACTTGCATATGTGTAGGATATATCCTTTCCCTCTTTCTTTTACTTTTCTTTTTTATCAGACATGGCCTTGTTCTATTGCCCATGCTGGAGTACAGCAGTACAATCAAGACTCACTGCAGCCTTGGCCTCCTGGGCTTAAGTGATAGTCCCACCTCAGCCTACTGAGTAACTGGGACCACAGGTGCATGCCATCATGCCCAGCTAATTAAAAAACAAATTGTAGAGATAGGGTCTCACCATGTTGCCCAGGCTGGACTCAAACTCCTGTGCTCTAGCTGTCCTCCCGCCACAGCTTCCCAAAATACTGAGATTACAGTTGTGAGCCACCATGCCTGGCCAAATGTCCTTTCTTTCATTTCTATTACATGTAACTTTTTTCCCCATCAATCTAGCTAGAGAGCTGCCAATTATCACTATTTCTAAAGATTCAGCTTTCGCTTAATCAATTTTCTTTATTATTCTTCTGCTTTCTATTTTACTGATCTACACGCTTGCTGTTATGATGTCCTTCCTCTACTGCACTCTTTGATATCTAGCTTCTTAAGTTGAAAGTTAGGTTATTTGATTTTAGGTCTAACATAATATTTAAATCTATAAATTTCCCTCTAAAAAAGACTTTACTCATTATTCTGATTTTATTTCTATTCAATTAAAAGTACTTTCTAATTTTCCCTTTGAATTATTTCATTAACCTTTGAATTATTTAGAAATATGTTATTTAATTTCCAAATATTTGAGGATATTTTCAGGTAACTTTCTGTTAATGGTTTTTACTTAAATTCTATTGTGATCAATGAACATATTTTGCATATGTTTAAAAATACATTTAATTTTCAACATACATTATGTTTAAAATTTTAAAACTACATTAAATTTTATTTCCAGCCCCATTTATCGTATCTCTTAGTGAATGCTGCATGGCACTTAAAGAAATATATATTTTGCTCTTTGAGGGTGAAGTGTTCTTAAAATGTCAGCTACTAGGTCAAGTTACTCATTGTGTTGTTTGAATCTTTTAAATTCTTGCTTGTTTCTTTGGCTTGCTAATTCTATCAATTACTGTGAGATGACTATTGAAATTTCCCACCATAATTGTGGCTTTGTCCATTTTTCATTTTCTTCTGTCAGGTTTTGCTTTTTATATGTTGAAGTTCAGCTATTAGGTGCATACACATTTAGAACTATATGTCTTCCTAATAAATTAAGCCTTTGTCATTATAAACTTAACCATGTTGCTGCTAATATACTTTGTTCTACAGGCTACTTTGACTGATATTAATATCACCACTCTGTCTACACTGCTTATCTGAAAACAGTTGTTTCACTTATTCTGTCTATTTTCCTATTTGTTTATGGCATGAGAGAAATGTCAATCCTAATACATCTCTTATGGCCTGAGTGAAAGTCCCCATGGTTCTTTCAGTTGCGTTCTGATAATTTAATATTACTTTCCCAAATTTTCAATGCCCTTAAGGAAATGTCTCTGTATATTTATATGTAAGTCAGTATTTTAAATTATTTCTAGTAGTGGTATTGGTTCAAATGAACCAGACTACCATTACTAAAAACAAACTTTCTTTACGATGTTAAAAATTCTTTACTGTTCATATAGTTTTATCCTGTTTACCCAGAAATGCCCATTTGTGTACTTGTTTCCTTGATTAATTTTGCCCAAATATTGGCTCTTTTATTAATCATTTAAAAGAGCCAAGTTTTGATTTTGTTGATCTCTCTATTATATATTCTAATAATTTCCGCTCTTAACTCTTATGTCAATTTTTCTCCTCTTGTTCTTTTTCTAACTTCTTGAGTTATCTTTTATAGGCTTGAAAACATGAATTTCTATGTAAGTATTTTTTCACAGTAACCCACAGGTATTATTATTACTGATATATATTTATATGCAGTGAAATGCTCATACCATAAGTGCACCATTGAATAACTAGTAAAAGTGCATATTAATACTATACTTAGTAGATTTCTATCACCCCAGAATATTCCTCTATGCCCTTTCCCAGTCAACAGCTCGCAAGTTCTGACATGTAGAATTTTTATTGTATCTCAGTTCCAAATATTTTATAATACCTACTTTGATTTCTTTATTGACACATGAATTATTTAGATGTATATTTTTCAGTATTTGGAGTGCAGGTTTTCCTTTGGTTCCTTATTTCTAATTAATGTGGTTTAGTCAGAAAAAATGACTAATATGATACGAGTTACTTTTTGAGACTTAATTTATGGCTTACTGCATGATCAATTTTCGTAAATGGATCATATGTTCTTAAAATAATATATAGTTTCTTATGTTGCATGCAAGCATCTAGATATGTTTATGACACAAAGACCAGTCATTGTGACATTAAAATTATCTGTATTGTTAATACTTTTACCTGCTTGTTCTTACCAATGTCTGAGAGAAATGTACTATGATCTTGGGATTTTCTGTTTTTCTTTGTAATTCAGCCAATTTTTACTTTATGTATACCTACAGACAGGGCATCAGAAGCATTTATGTTCAATATTGTTAACTTTCCATTTCACAACTATTTACTGAGTTCCTACCATCTGCCAGGCACTCTCTAAATAACAGGTTTATGGCTGAAATACAAGCCATAGATGTCCCTCTCTGTGTGAAGTTTGAATAATTATTATCTTATGCTGGTGATTTTTCCCTTACAATCATTAACTACAACTAGAAAATACTAATGGTTTCTGTATTTAAGACTATTCTGTTAATATCACTGCAACTGTTTTCTTTCAGTATTTTCCTAGTGTATCTTTTCCCAACCTTTTATTTTTAATATTTCCATAGATTATACCTTAGATGAATATTTAAAAAATAACAATTAGATTTCTATGATGTAGTCCTACAAATTCCTGTTTCTTGAAAACTTTAATCCATCTAAAGATGCCAGTGGATAACATTTCTTCCCACTCTTTCGATTTCCTGAAGAAATGGGCAATTCACTGGGCTGCCTCGACAAACCTAACAACATTTGTTATCATTACTTACGTATTTGGATAATTTCTACTATATTTCATATTATAAATAAATATCTATGTTTCCCTAGAGGCTTTCCTCTTATCTTACATTGGATTTACAATTTTTGTACTCTCCATTTTTTTATCTTTACTCACTTCCAGAATCTTTGAATAGTTTTTATTTGCTATTATCTTAGTGGACAGCCTTAACATTTTGATATGCATAATTGATATATAATATCTAAAATTTATCAATGTCTCTGGTTCTCCTTAGAGAGTATAAGACCTTTTACTGAGGTCACTGTCAATAACTTCCATATTAGTATTACATTGTGTTTTTGTACAACCTTTTAATTTATTTTTTATTTTTAATTTATAAATAATATAAGACCTTTTACTGAGGTCACTGTCAATAACTTCCATATTAGTGTTACATTGTATTTTTGTACAACCTTTTAATTTACTTTTTATCTTATTTTTAATATATAAATAATAATTGTATAAATTCATGGAATACAATGTGATGTTTTGATAAATGTACACAGTGTAGAATGACTACATCAAGCTGATTAACCTATCCATCACTTCACTTACTTATTTTTTTCTAGTAAGAACATTTAAAATATATCCTTTTAGCAATTTTGAAATATATGTTATTATTAACTATAGTCTCCAGGCTGTGCAATGAACCACTAAAACGTATTCCTCCTTTTTTTTTTTTTTTTTTTTTTTTTTAAGATAGAGTCTCACTTTGTCATCCAGGCTGGAGTGCAGTGGTGTGATCTCAGCTCACTGCAACTTCCACCTTCCAACTTCAAGCAATTCTCCTGCCTCAGCCTCCTGAGTAGCTGGGATTACAGGCATGTGCCACCACTCCCAGCTAATTTTTGTATTTTTAGTAGAGATGGGGTTTCACCATGTTGGCCAGGCTGGTCTCAAACTCCTGACCTTGTGATCTGCCTGCCTTGGCCTCCCAAAGTGCTGGGATTACAGACGTGAGTCACCACGCCCGACCTAGTCCTCCTTTCTAACTTAAATTTGTACACTTTGACCAACAGTTTCCTTCCCCATTCCCATCCCCCAGCCTCTGGTAACTTCTACTCTCTGCTTCTGTGGGTTTCACTTTCTCAGATTCCACATATAAGTAACATTGTGCAACACTGATTTTTTTCTGCCTGGCTTATTCACTTATTGTAATGTCATCCAGTTTCATCCATGTTGTTGTAAATGCCAGGATTTTCTTTGTAAACAGTGTGTAGTATTTCATTGTGTAAATATACCACATTTTCTTTATTCACTCATCAGTTGATGAACATTGTGGTTGCTCCCCTATCTTGGCTGTTGTGAATAATGCTGCAATGGACAAAAGGGTGAAAATACCTCTTTAACATTTCAATTCAACTGATTTTCTCTTCAACTGATTTTAATTCCTTTGGATATACACCCAGAGTGAGATTTCTGGATCCTACTGCTTTTCATAATGGCTATGCTAATTTACATTTTCACCAGTAGTGTGCCAGGGTCCCCTTTCCTCCACATTCATGCTAAACACACTAGTTATCTTTCATCTTCTAACAAGTATGAGGTGACAAAACTCATCCTGGCTTTATTTTACATTCCCCTGATAACTAGTGATGTTGAGCATTTTTTCATATTTCTGTTGACCATATGTATGCCTTTTTTTAGAATGTTGGTTCAGATTCTTTGCCCATTTTTGATTCAGTTATTTGTTCTCTTGCTATTGAATTGAGTTTCTTATATATTTTGTATATTATTCCTTCATCAACTGTATTGCTTGCAAGTATTTTCTCCCAATCTATGGGTTGTCTCTTTATTAATTGTTTCCATTGCTCTACAGGAGTTTTTCACTTGATACAATCCCATTTGTCTATTTTTGCTTTTGTTGCCTCTGTTTTTAGGGTCTTATCCAAAAAATCATTGCCCAGACCAACATAAGGGAGCTTTTCCCCTGTTTTCTTCTAGGAGTTTTACTGTTTCAGGTCTTAAGTTTAAATGTTTCACCCATTTTGAGTTAATTTTTCATATGGTGTAAGCTAAGGATCCAATTAGCCTCATACCAAAGGCAAGACAAGGACACTACAAGAAAACTACAGGCCAATATTGTAGATGAGCATAGATAAAATAACCCTCAATAAATACTAGCAAACTGAATCTAGCAGAACATTAAAAGAGTCTTTTACCACGATTGAGTGGTATTTATCCCTGAGATGCAAGGATGGTTCAATATAAGCAAATCAATGAATGTGATGCATAATATTAACAAAATGAAGGACAAAATACACATGATCATCTCAATAGATGAAGAAAAAGCACTTGACAAAATTCAGCATCATTTTATGATAAAACATCTCAACAAATTAGATATAGAATAAATGTACCTCAACACAGTAAATGCTATATATGGCAAGCTGACAGCCAACATTATATTCAATAATGAAAAATTGAAAGCTTTTTCTCTAAGCTCAGAAACAAGGCATGGATGCCCACTCTCACCTCTTCTATTCAATATAGTACTGGAAGTCCTAGACATAGCAATAAAATAAGAAAAAGAAATAAAAGGCATTCAAATAGAAAAGGAAGCAAAATTGTCTCTGTCTAATGATAACATGCTCTAATATATACAAAACCCTAATGATGCTACCAAAAAATTGTTAGAACTGATAAATGAATTCATTAAAGTTACAGGATACAAAAACAATGTATAAAAATCAATTATGCCTCTATATACCAACAACAAAACTATCTGAAAACAAAATTAAGAAAACAATCCTATTCACAATGCATAAAAATACTTAGTAGTAAGTTTAAAGAAGAAGATGAAAGATATGTAACCTGAAAATTATAAAATATTGATGATGGCAGAAAAATATGAAAATATATTCCATGTTCATAGATAGAAATAATTAATATTGTCAAAATTTTTATACTGTCCAAAGTGATCTACAGATTCAGTGCAATCCCTATCAAAATTCAAATGTCATTTTTCATATGACATTTGAATAGAAATAAAAATAATAATTTTTAAATTTGGATGGAACTAGAAAAGACCCCAAGTAACCAAAGAAATCTTGAGCAAAAGAACAAAGCCAGAGACACAGTATAGGATTTCAAAATCTACTACAAACCTTCAAACAACATAGTAATTCAAACGACATAGTACTGGCATGAAAACAGAATCATTAACCAATGAAACAGGATATAAAACTGAGAAATAAGCTCACACATTTATGGTAAACTGATTTTTGACAAAGGTGCCAAGAGTACACAATAGGGAAAGAAACATTCTCTTCAATAGATAATGTTGGAAAAACTGAATATCCATGTGTAATCGTTCTTTTTTGTTGTTTTATAGCAAGAGCTTATCTAGATTTACAGCAATTTAACTTGGTGACTCGTCTTTATATTGACTTCCTTCTAGTTTCCTTCTTCCTATTTTATGCTCCTGGTTCTTAGAATGAAATTCCCAAAAGAAGTATTTGAACATAAATTTTCCCCTCAGGCTCTGCTTTGGAGGGAACCCAGGTCAAGATATAATTATTGCGAAGAAGAGGAATTAGATGTTTGAGAGGAGAGTTAATTTTTGAAATTACTAATGTAGACAGAATGCTGACGGGAGAAACACAAAAGATCTTATAACACAACTAATGCTAATGTTGGTGACCTTGACTTCAAGGTAACACAAACTACATTTTGGTGTCATTTCTTTCACTAGCCTTCAGCTGCTCAGGTATAAGCACTGAGATGGTGGCAGCTGGTCTGACTGAGATTTGGAAGATTTGCCAAGAATGTGTGATTAGCAATGGGTCATGGTATTTGGGGTCTTTGGAAAGACAGTGATTTTTAAAGTGGACCTTAAAGTCTACCTTGCAGAGAGAAGGAATTAAAGAGAAGAAGGAGGGTGCTGAAAAAATGAAGAAAAAGTAGAGAGATCAGATTCTAACAGTCTTGATGAGGGAGAAAATCAGTGCAACTGGTTTGCACAGTCCTGGAGACTCCAGGTGTCAGGGCATGAGGCATAAAGTCCAAGTCCCTACGATACGATGGGCTGTAAACAAGATAGAGTACATGAAATCCAAAGCAGTACAGCATCTTGCTATAGATCAAACCACAGCAAAAGCCCAGAGGCTAGCTGGCTGGCAAGGAACTATTCAGATAACCTCTCAAAGTCTCCTCCAAGTGCGCAAAGAGTCTACCGATTTTCAAATGCCCTCTTTTTTTTTTTTTTCATTTTTTCTTTTTGTTTCTGCTATCTCAAGGTCTCATTCAAAAATTTAGCATCCAAACTTATTTTTACCAAAGGAAATTTTCAGCTGGGCAATCAAATTCCTAGGTAGGAAATTACATAACTTTTCTTAGTTCACACATTGCCCTTTATGATGGTTTTGAGAAGTAGTAATAAAATTTTATTTCTTTGCACTTGGCTTATAGGAATCAAAATTCCCAAGAGGAAAAAAATAATGGTAAAAAAATCCACCAGAGGGATCTTAGAGTTGGCAAGTCTCCTTGGGATTCTTTTCTCCTTTCCCGCCCTTTCTTTGTCTCTTTTTCTTTTCTTTCTCTCTTTTTCCCATCTATTTTTCTGTCTCTCTTTCGCGCTTTCTTTCCTTTCTTCTCAGAAATCAGTCCTCAAAGTATTGTTTGGTTTCCATTTGTTTTTACAGTAGTAAATATTTTATTACTTAAAAAGGGAAGCAGTATTTGTTCTTAATTGTTTTTGATTAAATATGCTAATTACATTTTGGAATACTAATGACACACACAGTTCTAAATGTTTTAATAATGCAGTGAAATAAGATGGCAAAATAACAGCAAATTAACCTGAATTGACTACATAGCTTTCCTCATTTTAAATTGTAATAATACAAAACAGAGGGAAAAAAGTCAAAATTGTGTCATCTAATGCAGAGGAAAAAACTTTATTAAACATTTTTGGAATTTTAATGTATTTTCTCCCTAAAATAGTTCATTGTGAAACTTGTCTTTTCTAGAATAACAGCCTAGGGAACAGCCATTGGTTGTATTTGTCTGTCAGAATTCATGCTTCTGAAATCAAAATACCATCATGTTCCGCTGGGTGGTGACCAGAGCCTCCTCCTTTTGCCACGTTCGCATCAGAACACAGAAGAGAGTGTGAAAGGCAGGCCCAGAAACGGTGTGCCCTCCAGCCCAGGAAGTCGGCCTGAAACAATGATCAATGTCTCTTTGTATCAATCCAAGTTATGCCAGTGTCAGGGAGAAAGAGGTGAGGGAAAAATATTCATCCTGAAGCCCATTCATGTTTATATTGGAGACTGTTAAAGATTTTCAATAGGAGTGAAGCTGTGGTTTAGTCTATTTCTGTATTGTCTTATGAAGGGGGAACACATCCAGGGATCAGCTCCCCAGGTGGGGCTGTCCCCGTCAGTGACACAGTGACAGCAGTGGCCCCAGATGAGGGCACAGGGCTGCCTAGGAAGTGGCCTTGCCTTTATCACATATCTCATGCATGTTCATGTGGAGACATGAGAATATCATGATTTTGCCTCCCAGGGAACATTGGCAATATCTGGAGACATTTGGAGTTGATACAGCTGGAGGTGCTGCTAGCGTCTGATGAGGAGATGCCAGGAATGACGCTAAAAATCCTGCAATGCACAGGACAGTTCCCACCACAAGGAATTATCCCACGCCAAGTGTCAACTGTGCAGCCAGTTGGGAAGCCTGCTGTAGATTCAGCTCCCAAACCACATCCCAGGTGGGACAGAGAGGAACACACTCAATGGCAGGGGAGCCCCAGCCAAATGCAGCACTCGGGAGCTCCATAGGACAGCTGGCCCCTTCCTTCAGCTGAAATTGCTACGGAGAAGAAAGGACAAGAGGAGCAAAGAGAGGGGGCAAGAAAAGAAGGGGAGAGAGAGAAGGGCCAACCATCAACAGAAACAAACCAACCAGTTGCAACCCATGTATCTTATTTATTTGATTTTGATCCTGAATTGAACAATAAACCATTAAGTATATATGAGGTGGCCAGGAAAATTTGAACTCTAATTGGATATTTAATGGTAGTATAGAATTTTGTAAAGTTTTTAGGATATCGTGGATTTTAAGGAATCCTTTTTTTTTAACCAGGATAACCTGAAAAATTGATGAGCTTGAGATTTGCTTTAAAATACTCTAGAGTGGGGGAAGGTGAATGATGCAGAGCCTAGATGAAACTGGATAATTATTGTTTAAGCTGAGTGATTGGAATGTGGTAATCTTACAATTCTATTTTTGTAAGCATTTGAAATTTCCCAGAGTAATTTTTTAAGACTGTATTGTTAAAATTATACAAAGCCCATCATCAACTTCATGGACAGTCACCCAGGTGGCTGTCCCCCAAGGCTGGCTTGACCAAAAGTGGCATCTGAAATCCCAAGGCACCAGAAGACAGCAGAGTGCAGAGGCTCGAGGCTGTGAGTCAGGAGACTTGGATAATGCAGCCTGGGTAGGGTCCTGAGTTCCCCGAGCTTCCTTACACTACTGTGAAGTGAGACAGGACAGAAATTCCAGCATCCCTCACCACGAAGTCCTGAACTCCGGGACAGTGTGGATCATGGATGCTGATTAACACTGAATCCAAAGCCCTTCACGGGTGCACTGGGCTGCGCCTTCCTAAAGTGACTCTGTTGCTGGTATTCAGAGGAATAGGACATGGGGTCCCCTCTCAAAGAGCTGGAAGACCCACAACCTTCCTAGGCCAGTGCTGGAGCTCAGCAAGAACCCCAAAAGAGATGACGCCCAGGCACCATCGTGTGCCTGGGGAAAGTGCGCTGAGAGAGCCTTAGGGAGGCCAGCTGCTCTGTACCTGAGAGTTTGGTGAACCTCAGGAATGAATCTGTGGACCCTGGAGGGGGTCTGGCAGTGCCTGGGCCAGGCTCTCTCAATCTGAGAGACAGGAAAACTGAGCAACGCCCATGGGTGCTCAGCACCAGGAAATGCACCTGTCTGGCAGAGATGAGAGCTGTGTCTGGCCATGGGTAAAGCCTGGAAAGATGAATTTGAGACATGATTCTGTCATGCCTGGCATTCATCAGAAGCTCATTACAAAAAGTAAACACCTGTTACAAACATGTGTGACCTGATGGCCACGTGACTGCAACATGTCACCAATCACCAGTGGATGGGAGGCATTCCCGCCATATATATGGAACCAGATAGGAAGACCAACTTGTCCCCATTTGCCTGGGACTTTTCAGGTACTAGCACTTAAAGGCAGAGGTCACAGAAAACCATTCTGGTTTGCCCTCAGTTTCAAGCAAACTGGGACTGTTGGTCACCCTACACCCAGATGGCCTTGTGGAATGTTAGGATGTGAGCTTAAGGGCAATGTGGAGGTCCTGCCCAGGCCACTGTTGGCTCACACCTCTCAGCCCAAGGCAAGGGGGCTGTCGGGGTCTCCTCTCTGTGACTGGTGCAGGGGCCATGCTCCAGGTGCCCCAGGTGGCAGCACTTCCGTCACCAGCTCCTCCAGGTGGAGGTGACCTACAGAGTCTTCCTGGGCTCCAACTCCAGTGGGTATGCTTGTTCTCCAGGGGCCCTCCTGAATCTCCAGTGATTTACAGGTGTTTCTGTTGTCATTCCGGATAAATATTCATTTTCAGTTCTAATTTTGTATCTTTTTCTTTAAAAGGGCTGCCCAAATTGTATACAGTATAGGCCTCACTAAACCTGGACCTGCCTCTGGGTCTAGGGCAGAGGCAAAGGATTTGAACTTGGGAGTCTGTTGGAGCCCTGACCTGGCCTGTGCTTCTTAGAAGTCTCAAACACATTCACCCAGCTTTATTCAGTACATGGAATACAAATTGTTTCAACTGCAAAATTAAGGACATTTTTCTGGTTGGACATGAAGGTTCCTTTTTTTTCTCGTTGAAGTCAAAAGCTCCTTTGACTTTGTTCATCAAGCTCTTATTGAGAAAGGCCACACTGTTAAAAACCTTCAGCTGCTTTCAGCCGCAGTAGAGCCAGCCCCAGGTTGGGGCTTTCGAGAGGGACCCTAGGACTGAGCTGCATGCTAGGCAGCAGCCCAGCCCAAAAGGAAGGTCTGAGGGAAAGGGCTGCCAGAGTTTTCCTGGGGAATGCGGCAGCGTGAAAGCTTTCATTCATACATTGCCCAACAGCCCCAGCCGCCCCTCGAGACTCCTGTGGCACCTGAGGTGTTTGCAAGGTGCCAAAAGAGAAGACACACTCCAGTTGCGACAATAAAGCAGCCCTTCACAAGCGCACCCTCTGTGATTTGGTTACAAGGCAAACACTCCCACGGTCGTTCCCTGCAAGCCAGCTCTCCCTCTTCCCTGGGATCTCCCCCTCCCCCTGGTCCCCAGCGTGAGCGGAATGACTTCTAAAGAGAGAGCAGTCAGCACATATCCTCAGCAGGCCCCACCATGGAGCCCTAGAACTAGGGGAGACCCCGTCTCTCCTGAGCTGTCAGGGCAGCTGGGCAGGAGACAGGGACATGGGAGGAATCGGGATTTCTGTCCCAGTCAGGTTGTTCTGGGGACCCAAAGTCTGTGCCTAACACATTTGACCCTGTGCCTGATCCATGGTGGCCTTGAATTAATATCAGCCACAAACGCAGCTGCTCTTCAGACCTCAGTTTCCCTGAAGGTCAGAGTCTCTGGGACACAGAAGGTGAGCTGGAGTTAGGACTGCCCTACTTCATTGGGAAGAAAAAGGAGGGGTGCAGGAATGGGCAGGGGTGGCCATCAGGTTATGGCTTCAAACTGACCACGTCTGTGCCAATGCAGAGGAGACTCTGGGGCAAAGATTGCAAAGTGGTGGAAATGACCCAACCCTCATGCCATCGACTTACTGGGTTCCTGGCTGGGGCTACCTCTAGAAGAGCATCACCTTGGCTCCAAAATTGAGGCTGACCTTGAAGGAAGAACTGGGGGCTGTTGGGCAATCGTCCTTGAAGAGCAACTGGGTGGTGTGTCTGAGTCAGTCATCAACACCTCCTTTGCACGATAGGAATAAGAACTACCCGTAAGTGGGTTTTAGGATTAAGCCAGTAATACCTACAGTACACATGGCCCAGAAGAGGCCCTCCGTACAAGCAGAGCTGGCTATGCTGAGTCACAAACACCAGACTTTTCTGAAGAAATAAACCCATCAGAGGGAGATAAATCCCAGGTATTATTGTGGGAAACCTGGGACCTGCAAAAGGAAGATCTTGCTGATCAATTAATCCGAGGATCATTTTTAGATGAAAACCTCTGCTCAGCTCTTATTGTTAATATCTTTGTAAAACCCTCATGGCCCATTTTTGTCTGAGCACATGCAGTGGAAGGACCCTCTGTGTCCCCTGCCAGCCCACACTCAACTAGAGGGTAGGTTGATTTCCCTCTGACACCCCCATTGCGACTTCCATTGTGATGTGCACTGCACTTTGAATTCCAGGCGTGCAGTTAGTTCCATGGGGACAGAGACCTTTGCCTTCCTCTTCACTGTTACATTCCCAGGGCCTGCCAGGTGCGTGCACCTGACAGATCTTTCTTGAATTGAGCTGATCTTAACTGGAATTTGTAAACGCGGCCACAGCTGCCTCCTTAGAACATTGCTGACTCTGAAACAAGACTGGGAAAAACCTTCAAATATGGAGATCCCTGAAACAAAATGGCTAACTAAAAATAGAAGAAACACTTCTTGACTCTCTGAAGTCCGGTCTACCAGAAACCCATAGCAACCGTGCGCTTAACTGTGGAATGTGGAGAGTGTTCCCACCAAAGTCAGAACCACAAAGGAGTGCCTGCCCAGTAACTCATATTTTAGTCATTATTGTTTTTTCATGAAGATTCGAATAATCAGCTAAAACAAGAAAAATTACAAAAAGTTAACATTAAAACCTTAAAAAGCATAAAACTCTTACTTTGCAAATGATATAACTGCCTGCTTAGAAGTCTAAATATTCATAATAGCATCAAAAAGAAAAATATTCAGAAATAAATTTAACCAATGAACTGCAAGGACTTTACACCGAAAAGAATTGTTTAAATGATTTCAAATTTTATTATAGAATAAAGGGTCTGTTACACAGGTATGTTGCAGGTCTGTTACACAGGTATGTTGCATGATGCTGAGGTTTGGAGTACAAATGATCCTGTCATAGATCCCATTCCCCTTCTTCCTCCCTCCTCTGTCTGTTGTCCCCAGTGTCTGTCGTTCCCATCTTAATGTCTATGTGTATTCAGTGTTTAGCTCCCACTTATAAGTGAGAGCATGCAGTATTTGGTTTTCTGTTCTTGCATTAATTCACTCAGGATAACGCCCTCCAGCTCCATCTATGTTGTTGCAAAAGACATGATTCCATTCTTTTTTTTAAGTCTGTGTAATATTCCATGGTGTATATATACCACGTTTTCTTTATCCCATCCACCACTGATGGGCACCTAGGTTGATTCCATGGCTTTGCTATTGTGAATAGAGCTGTGATGGCCATAAAAGTGTATGTGTCTTTTTGGTGGAACTATTTGTTTTCTTTTGGATATATACCCAGTAATGGGATTATAGGATTAGATGGTAGTTCTGAGTTCTTTGAGAAGTCTCCAAACTGCTTTCCACAGTGGCTGAACTAGTTTGCATTCCCACCAACAGTGTATAAGCATTCCCTTTTCTCTGCAGCCTTGCCAGCATCTGTTATTTTTTGACTTTTTAGTAATCGCCATTCTGACTGGTGTAAAATGGTATCTCACTGTAGTTTTGATTTGCATTTCTCTGATGATTAGTAATGTTGAGTATTTTTTCATATGTTTGTTGGCTGCTTGTACATCTTCTTTTGAGAAGTGTCTGTTCATGTCCTTTGCCCATTTTTTAATTGCATTATTTGTTTTTTGCTTGTTGATTTGTTTAAGTTCCTTGCAGATTCTGGATATTAGACCTTTGTCAGATGCATATCTTTCTAATATTTTCTCCCATTCTATAAGCTGCTTGTTTACTCTGTTGGTAATTTCTTTTGCTGTGCAGAAGCTCTTTAGTTTAATTAGGTCCCACTTGTCAATTTTCAGATTGTTTATTGCTAGTATATAAAAGTACAACTTAATTTTCATGTTGATCTTGTACCTTGTGACATAGATTATTTATTAGTTCTAGTGAGTTTTTAGTAAATTCCTTACAAATTTTTATGTAGAAGATTGTATTGTGTGCAATAAAAGAAAGTCCTATTTTTTTTTAAATCTGGAGGATTTTATTGTGCCTTCTAGCATAATTTCCCTGGCTAATAATTCTAGTACAATGTTGAGTAGAATGTTAGAAGTGGAAATTATTGTCTTGTTCTTAAACTTGCAAGTAAAGCACTCAGTTTTTCATTATTAGGTATAATGTTAGTTAGATGTTTTCACAGATTACTTTTAGCAAGACTCAGAATTTTTATCCTATTAGTAGTGTGCCAGAGGTTTTATTACAATGGATGTTGGATTTGTCAAATGTTTTTCTGTGTCTATTGAAATGTTTTCTTTTGTCATTTATTAATGTATAATATGTAATATCTTGATTGACTTTTGGCCATTAAGGCAACATTGCACTTGTGAAAATAAAATCTTACTTGTTCAAAAAAAGTCTAGATATTATCAACAAAAACTAATATTAATGCTAATAAGCTATTTTAATATTAATTTTGTACTAAGCTCTATCCCTTTCCTTTCTTGTATGCAATCATAAACAGAGGTGAAGCCCTGAGTAGTAAGCTGTACTGCCTCTCTACAAAACACAGAAGGAAAGGCTCAACCTCATTGGTAAACAGAGAAATGAAAATTCTATACATAAGGAGCCCATGGTCTTTGCCTCTCACATTGACATACCTTTTAATGTTAGGGTTGGGACAATATAGAAAATGGGTGGTTTTCATACCATTAGTGACAGTATGCAATTTTGTACAACTGTTTGGGAAGGCACATTTTTGAATGAGCATATTTTATAATCAGTCCTTTTAAGGAAACTTTCCAATGGAAATGTTAGCATGAGTCTGTTAGTGTACATGTACAAAGATATCATTGCAATCATATATGGGAAATCAAATATCTCAATGAAACTAAATTTTAGATCTCTTTAAAATACAAAGGTATGGGAATGCCATGCAGGCAGCTCTATATTTGCTAATAGGGATGGGTGTCCACAATGTTTGTTAAAATACAAAGAATGACAGATTAGGTATTGGCATAATTTCATTTTTTGCAATGTGTAATATATATACACACACACGCACATATATGTACGCATGCATGTATATATAACATATACAGGAATGTAAGATATATAAAGTCTGTAAGGCTATGTGTCCACTTACTCATGGTTATCACTAGGCTCTGGGGGCAGGGACTTGTACCTTTTTAATTTGTGCAATTTTGTTTAAATTACTTGCAAGGAGCATGTGTTCCTTTATTTTAAAATAAGTATTATAAAGCTAAATCCTCCATACCATCTGTTTTTGTTGCTGCTGTTATTCTGGTTTACTATTTATTTGCTTATTTTTTATGATTTACCTCTTTTTCCAACAAGCAGTCTCTGAGGGGAAAATCACTCAGGAGAGTCTGAGGTAGCAGTAAGTTACTGGAGTTAATTCTCTAGTGGGTGAGGGCAGGCAGGAAATTACAAAAGCAGGCACATTTGTCCCAAGAGTCCCGGGATGGACTTACTGGGTTAAAGGGACTGGCCGTTTCGTATTTAAAAAAACATAGACCAACTGCTTTACCAAAAGAAAAGCTGTTCTAATTCGTATTTTCTTCCTCATTATTTCCGCCAGCAATGGGTAATAGAGCTTTTGCTTTTTACCAGTCAGAGAAATATAAAAATCAGTTCCCATTATTGCATTTCCCTGATGTCTAGTGAGTCTGAAAACTTTTTACCCATATTTCTATTAGGTTGTTTGCTTTTTTCTTGTCAAATTTTAAGAGTTTACTATACATGTGAGATAATTATTATATATAATATGTAACAAATGTTAACTTTATTCACTATCTGCTTTGAAAAATTTTGCCAAATCCACTTTCTGTTTAGTAACTATTTTATATTATATTTCATCATAAAATATTTTTAAATTTTATGTAGTGAAATGAATTTATCTTCTCTTGAATATTGCTCAGTTTCTTGCTTAAGAAGGTCTCTTTTGCTTCTAAATTACTTACAATCTTTTATTTTTTTTCTTATAAGAGTTTTCTTGTTTTGGTTTTTGTATTATATATACTGGAAATAGATGACCAACTTAATTTTATTTCAGAGGCATAGACAGTTGAGGCAGATTTGTTTATTAATTAATGCATGTATTTCCAATAAAATTGAGATGTAATCTTTTCATATATTAAATCACCATATACAGCAATCTAGTTTTATTTACTTATTTAATGAATTGACTAATAGTGCTTACTAGACATGTAGACTCTTCTAAGTACTTAATAGACATTCACTTATCTATTTTTTAAAACTCAAATCCACCTTGTCTATTTTTAAAACTCCTATCCACCTTACTATTATGTAATCAGCTCAACTTTTTTTGTCTGGTTCAATGTCCCTCCCCACGGTGATTTGATCATAGTGATTTTGTAATGTATTCTGGTATCTGGGAAAGTAATTATCCCCCTTCTTCTTGATTCTTCATTTTTATACTTTTCTTTGCTATTAACTTTTTTTTTAACTTTTTTAACATTTTCAGAGGATAGTGTATAGAAACCAAATTATATACCTTGATAAACTTTTCCATTTGTAAACAGCCATATAACCACCACCCAGATCAAATTACAGAACATCTCTATCAACCCAGAAGATGCTCACATGCGCCTCCCAGCCCATGGCATCAGTAAGCAGTAAAACTATCCTGATTTCTACCACCGTGGGTTAGTTTGGCCTGTTCAAATCACAGAGTGGCTACTCTTCTATTTCTTTTACACAACATTATGTCCATAAGATTCATTTTCACATAGTTCTTTTTCATCCCATATTCCATGAATTTACTAGAACTTAATCACTCATTCTACTCTTGATGGACAAAAAGCTGTTCCAGTTTGGGGCTCTTATAAATAAAGCTGCTATGAACCTACTCGCGCATCTCTTCTGGTGAATAAAAGCAACTCATTTTAGTGGGGTATATGCCTAGGAGAATTCCCAGGTCATAGCGGCTATATGTGATTAGCTCCAGTAAATTCTGCCAGATTGTTTCCAAAATAGAACCAAGTTTTACTCCCAGAAGAAATGAAACAGACCTTATTGTTCCATATCCTTGCTGACACCTCACATTCACATCCTTTTTAATTTTAGCCATTCTAGTGAATGTGTAATTATGTCATCATTTAAAAATGATATTATTCTAATGACAAATTATGTGGTGCACATTCTTATATATTGATCGACCATTTTGATTATTTTAATGTCTGCATTTGTGAATGTTTTATGCAAGTTTTGCCTATTTTCAAGTCTGTCCTTTTTTTCTTGATTGAAAGACAGGAATTTTAAAAATATTCTGCAGTTGTGTCTTTTGTTGGATATACTTTGAAAATTATAGATTTAGAGGGTACAAGTGCAGTTTTGTTACATGGATATATGGCATAATGGGTAAGTCTGGGCTTTTAGCGTGACCACCACCTGGTCGGTGTCCATTGCACCCATTAGATAACTTCTCATCCTTCATCCCTCCCCTACTCTTCTACCCTTCCAAGTCTCCAGTGTCTATTATTCCACTCTCTATGTCCATGTGTACACATTATTTAGCTTCCAGTTGTAAGTGAAAACATGCAATATTTGACTGTTTCAGAGCTGTTTCAGTTAAGATAGTGGCCCCTGGTTCCATTCATGTTACTGTGAAAGACATGATTTCATTTTTTATGGCTTAGTAGTATTCCATGTTGTATGTGTATATATATGTGTGTGTGCTGTGTGTGTGTGTATATTCCATGGCGTATGTGTGTGTGTGTGTGTGTGTATACTTAGTATTCCATGGTGTGTGTGTGTATATATGTGTGTGTGTGTGTGTGTATGGATATATATACACACATACACCATGGAATACTACTAAGTATATATATATATATATATACACACACACACACACACACGTACATTAAATTACTTGCAAGGTAATTTAATATATACACACATTAAATTACTTGCAAGGAGTAATATATATGTGTGTATGGATATGTATATGTACATACATCATGGAATACTACTAAGTACACACACACACACACACACACATTTTATTTATCCAATCATCCGTTGAGGGGCACAGATTGATTCCATATCTTTGATATCATGAATAGTGTTGCAAAAAACATAAAAGTGTGGGGATCTTTTTGGTATAATGATTTCTTTTCCTTTGAGTAGACACCCAGTAGCAGAATTGCTGGAGCTAATGGTAGTAGTTCTATTTTTAGTTCTTTGAGAAATCTCCATATTGTTTTCCATAGGGGTTTTGCTAATTTACATTCCCACCAATGGTATATAAGCATTTCGTTTTTTTTGCATCCTCTCCAACATGTTATTTTTTACCTTTTTTTTTTTTTAGATGGAGTTTCACTCTTGTTGCCCAGTCTAGAGTGCAATGGCACAATCTTGGCTCACTGCAACCTCCACCTCCCTGGTTCAAGCAATTCTCCTGCCTCAGCCTCCCAAGTAGCTGGGATTATAGGCATGTGCCACTGCACCCGGATTTTGTATTTGTAATAGAGATGGGGTTTCACCTTGTTTGTCAGGCTGGTCTCGAACTCCTGACCTCAGGTGATCTGCCCACCTCGGCCTCCCAAACTGCTGGGATTACAGGCGTGAGCCACCATGCCCTGCTTATTTTTTACTTTTTAGTAATAGCCTTTCTGACTGTTGTTAAGATATCTCTTTGTGGTTTTAGTTTACATCTCTGATGATTAGTGATGTTGGGCATTTTTTCTGTATGCTTGCCCGTCATTTGTATGTCTTTTGAAAAAATGTCTGTTTATGTGCTTTCCCATTTTTTTTTTTTTTTTTTTTTTTTTTTTTTTTGCGATGGAGTCTCGCTCTGTCACCCAGGCCGGAGTGCAGTGGCCAGTTCTCGGCTAACTGCAACCTCTGCCTCCCGGGTTCACGCCATTCTCCTGCCTCAGCCTCCCGAGTAGCTGGGACTATGGGCATCTGCCACCATGCCCAGCTAATTTTTTTTGTATTTTTAGTAGAGACGGGGTTTCACCATGTTAGCCAAGATGGTCTCGATCTCTTGGCTTTGTGATCCGCCCGCATTGGCCTCCCAAAGTGCTGGGATTACAGGTGTGAGCCACCGCGCACGGCCCTTTCCCACCTTTTAATGGGGTTATTTTTCATTGTTGTTGCTGAGATGTGTGAGTTCCTTACAGATTCTGGATATTAGTCCTTTGTCAGATGCATAGTTTATAAATATTTTCTTTCATTCTGCAGGTTGTCTGTTCATTCTGTTGATTATTTATTTTGCTGTGCAGAAGCTTTTTAGTTTAAGTGTTTTTGTGTATTTCTGTTTTTGTCACATTTGCTTTTGAGGTCTTAGTCATAAATTTTTGCCAAGGCCTGTGTCTAGAAGAGTTTTTCCTACGTTTTCTTCTAGTATTTTTGTATTTTCAAGTCTTATGTTTGATCTTTAATCTATCTTGGGTTAATTTTAGTATGTAGTAAGAGATTGGAGTCTAGTTTCATTTTTCTGCTTGTGGCTATCCGATTTTCCCCAGAACTATTTATTAAATAGTGTGCCCTTTCTCCAGTTTATTATTTTGTTGAGTTATAACTGAAACTTTATACACATTGAACAACTCTCCATTTTCTCCAAACTTAGCCCCTTGAAACCACCATTCTGCTCTCTACTTCTATGAGTTTGATCATTTCAGACACTTCATATAAGAGAAGACATGCAGTATTTGTTCTTCTGTGACTGTCTATTTCACATGGAATGTGAAAGTATTTGCAAACCATACATCGGATATGGAATCAATATCCAACAACATATAAAGAACTCCTACAATTCAATGGCAAAAACTCAAATAACCCAAACAAAAATGGGCAAATTGCTTGAACAGAGATTTATCCAAAGAAGAATACAAATAGTCAACACGTATATGAAAAGGTGCTCAACAGCACTAACCATCAGGGAAACGCAATTCAAAACCACAGTGAAATATTACCTCATACCTGTTAGGATGGCTATTATCAAAAAAAAAAGAAGAAGAAAGAAGAAAGAAGAAGGAGAAGGAGAAGGAGAAGGAGAAGGAGAAGGAGAAGGAGAAGGAGAAGGAGAAGAAGAAGAAGAAGAAGAAGAAGAAGAAGAAGAAGAAGACAAGAGTTGGTGAGACCGTGGAAGAAGTGGAACCCCTTGTAAACTGTTGCTGGAAATGCAAAGTGGTACAGCAGCTATGAAAAACAATACAAAGTTTCCTCGAAAAATTAAAAATAGAATTACTATATGATCCAGCAATACCACTACTGGGTGTATATCCAAAGGAAATAAAATCAATATGTTGAAGAGAAACCTGATATCCGCACTCCTATGTTCATGGCAGCATCATTCACAACAGACAACGTGTAGAAACAACCTAACTGCTCATCAGTGCATGAATGGATAAAGAAAATGTACTCTATAGATGCAAGGCAATATTACTCAGCATTAAAAAGGAAGGAAATCATGCCATGTGTGACAACATGGATGAACCTAGAGGACATTACCCTAAGGGGCAACATTTTTCAATCTACTTAATATTGTTTTGATTTCTGTAGGATCTGTTCTCTTTTCAAATCCTCACACTGGTAATTCCTCACACTGTTTTATCTCTGTCTTCTTTAATTAGTGAGTATTCCTAGGGATTTATCAATTTCATAATTTTTTTTCCAAGAGCCAACATTTTAGCTTTGTTCATTTATTATACATTTGTTTTATATTTTATTGATTTCTGATTTTATCATTATTGTTTATTTCAATTTTATTTGAATTTAATTTGCTGCTCTTTTTCAACTTATTGAATTGGAAGCTTAGAACATTAAATTTATACACACCTACACATATGCATACATGTGTACATACAGGTACACATATGTGTGTGTGTAATATATGTGTATGTAGGCAGGCATATACTTGTATTTTCTGGCTTTCATTTTAATTTCTTCTTAGCCTCATGGGTCTTTATAACTATTTTCTAAATTTCTGGACACTTGGAGATTTCTACCTTTTTACTGCTACTGAGTTTTAATATAATTTTCCGGTAGTCACAGAATATTCACTAGAAGATTTCAGTCTTTGAAATTTGTTGAGATTTGCTTTATAGTATGGTGTGTTTTACCAAATGGACACTCAAAATTGTATATTCTGCAGCTGTGGAATGTAGTATTTTATATATTTATTGAGCCTAGGTAGTGGGGTTTTTCAAATTTGCTCTATCCTTACTGACTTTTTGTCTATTTTTCTTTCAGTCAATTTGGAGTGTTAAAATTACCAAATATCATTGTGGCTTTTCCACCCTTTATTTTAGGTCTGACAACTTTAAGTTTACAGATCTCGAAGCTATTTCAGTAGGTAAATTTGCATTTAGGATTGTTATATTTCCCTATTGAGTTGACCCTTTTATCTTTATTAAATATTCCTTTTCTACTCCCATAATATTTCAACCCTGAATCTCTCTGATATTAGTGCAGGGTTTTTTGGTTGTTATTTCTGTGGCATATTCTTGCCCATCACTGTACTTTCAGCATTTCTGTGTCTCTACCTTTAAAACCTGTGCTCTACAAACAACATGGTGTGTGAAGGCACAAAAATTCTCCCTCCTGAACAACACATTCTTGCAGGTAGGTGACTAAGCAGCCAAAAGCACTATAGTAAGAACGCTGAGGGAGAAGCGGGGCCCAGGGAAAAGACCGGATGTGTCTCAGTCGAGGCAGGGAGTGGAGAGGCTGAGCGCACGGGAACTTGTTCACCATTGACGAGGCTGTCCAAAGGCATGCACGCAGGGAGTTCTTTAGAGAACCACAGCACTGCAAGACAGTGGGAGCAAGTGTAACACTGAAAGTAAACGCAGGAGAAGAAGAGGCTGGTCCCGCAGGGCCCTCCAGGTTCCAAACAGGGCACTGGTGCCATTTTCAAGAGTGGGAGCTGAGCTGAGCTGAGCACATGCTGTGTTGACTCTGACTGATTCCTTCTCCCTCCTCAGCTGGGTTGTCATTTGTCCTTGTCTGCCCATCAAGGCTCATCCTCATTGCTGGCACACAGTATGGACTACAGCACCTCAGTGGTGGAATGAAAGTCTTCTCAACCCTTGCGAGGCAACAAGGCAACAGCAAGTGTCCACTATCTGTCCTCCTCTGAAGGAAGGAGGAGTGAGCCTATGGTCTGTGCCTATGGTCTCTTCCTACTGTCCCAGACTCAGGGTCAGAGAGAGCCCAGCCTACCCACTGAGCATCTCCCCAGACTTGGGTGTGCAATGACGAAAAGAGCCAGAGCTAAAAATGACATTCCTCCAAGGACCACATGACACTAAGGACCAGGCTCTTTCTAGAATTCTCTTGCTCCAATTGTCCCACTAGCAGGAGAATCCAGACTCTTTCCAGCCTCACAAGGAGAAAACCCCATCACTCTACCTGCAGGAATCCCACAGCTGCCAGTGAGCTCTGAGGTCATATGCTCTTTGGGAGAGCTGGGTAGCCTGGAGTTAAGTGAAGTGGTAGAAAGTTATATTCAAGTTGCCACCTCCATGAATCCATGTGTAAATTCTAAATTGAATTGACCCTTTTGTGACTTAAAAACAGCTCATATAAATTACTTGAGAATAGGGATTTTTTTCTATTGCCTATGATTTCATTATATAAAACACTGCTGAAGCCACTATTGATTGCGCTACAGTTTGCTTTTCAGTTTGCCTTCCCTTTGAAAGTGCCCACATCTAACACAGGTTGTGGAGGTATTCGGCCACCATATTGCACACTTCCCTGACCCCCCGCCCAGCCTTGGTCTTCTGGGTCTTGGATAGTGTAGCATCTTGTTTCACATGGGGATGTGTAAAGGGATATCCCACACTGCCTGTGTGCCACATGCTGGCTGTGCAGTGGCTCTCAGAGCCAACTTTGCGTCCCCTTCAGAAGGCTGTGGGCCTTGTGCTCCTCTTGGGTTCTGTAAAGGGGACGCTGGTATCCTGCTGGGGCACCGTGGACTGGCAATTCTCATCTCTGGCTCACATGAAAGGACACAAGTGGCTACAAACTACAGAAAGGAAGATTCAACTGGAAATTCCTAGCACATTTATTCCTATGGCCTTGGAATAAGGTATGAGGGAAGAGCACATGACTTCTTGCTTGAAAGTTATTATTAATTTTTCTAGAGTAATTCCCTGAGACTCATGGATGAGTCAGTGTAGCTTCTTAATTTCTCAGGAAGTGGCATCAGAATCACAAACTAGACGTGTCCCAGGCAACTCCTGGTAATATAGTCTCAATGCTTATGTACCCCAAATCCACATGTTGAAATCCTCACCCCTAATGTGATGGTATTAGGAGGCAGGGCCTTTGTGAGGTGATCAGGCCATTGAGGGCGGAGATCAGGCCATGGGAGCAGAGCCCTCATGAAAGGGATTAGTAGTGTCTTTATATAAGTTACCTAAGAGAGATCTTTCACCCCTTCCACCATTTGTGGACACAGTGAGAAGGGAGTTTAGGAACAAGAAAGCAGGGCCTCGCCAGACACAGACTCTACTGTCTCCTCTCTCTAGAACTTCTTAGCCTCTAGAACTGCGAGCAAAGCATTTCTGTTGTTTTCAAGGTATATTGTGGCAGCAGCCCAAATGGACTAAGACACCTGGGATGCCACAGTGTCTAAGCTCAAGGATGAGCACAGATGCATTCTCCCAAAATCCTCCCCAAGTATGAGTATTTAAATGTAAGTGGATGAAAATTAAAGGAATCTTTTTTTTTTTTTTTTTTGATATAGAGTCTCACTCTGTCACCCCAGCTGGAGTGCAGTAGTGCAATCTTGGCTCACTGCAACCTCTCCCTCCCAGGTTCAAGCAATTCTCTGCCTCAGCCTCCCAGGTAGCTGGTATTACAGGCACCCACCACCACGCCTGGCTACTTTTTGTATTTTTTTAGTAGAGATGGGGTTTCACCATCTTGGCCAGGCTGGTCTTGAACTCCTGACCTGGTGATCCACCTGCCTCGGCCTCCCAAAGTGCTGGGATTACAGGCATGAGCCACCACTCCCGGCCAAGAAATCTTAAAAATTAAAAATTCCATTACTTTTTGCACTGGCCAGATTTCAAGGGTTCAACAGCACATGTGAAAAGGACGTGGGAGGAGTATCCCTGGATAGCACAGACAGGGAGCTCTCAGTCAAGGCAGAATGTTGTCTTCACAGGACGGACTGCTCGAGACAGAGGACATCTCACCTTTCCACATGCCAGCATGACACTGTAGCACTAATCACGTGAGATGTCCAAACCTCTGTCTGTCTCCCAGGTTGAAAAAACTGGAGCGCCAAGCTGGGTGTCTCTTCCCTGTGGCCGGACCACATAATCAGTTAACAAAAAACAGAGGAAGGATTCTGATATGACCCCCAGCAGAACAGTCAAGAAAATGAAAATAATTACAATAGTGCCCCCTTACCTGTGGTTTTGTTTTCCACAGTTTCAGTTACTGATGGTCAACCATGTTTCTAAAATATTAAATGGTTTATTAGTCCATTCTCACACTGCTATGAATAAATACTTAAGACTGGGTAATTCATAAAGAAAAGGGGTTCAATTGACTCACAGTTCCACAGGGCTGGGGAGGCCTCAGGAAATTTACAATCATGGAGGAAGGGGAAGTAAACACGTCCTTCTTCATTTGGTGGCAGGAAGAAGTGCCAAGCCAAATGGGGAAAAGCCCCTTATAAAACCATCAGATCTCATGAAAACTCACTCACTATCACAAGAACAGCAGCCAGAGGGTAACTGCCCCCATGATTCAATTACCTCCCACCGGGCCGCTCCCACAACACTTGGGGATTATGGGAACTACAAGTCAAGATGAGATTTGGGTGGGGACACAGCCAAATCATATCAAATAGAAAATCCAAGAAATAAAGAGTTCATAAGTTTTAAATTGCATGCTATTCTGAGTGACATGATGAAATCTTGAACCCTCCCTTCTGGGATGTGAATTACACCTTTGTCCAGCATATCCACACTGCACACGCCACCCACCTGTTAGTCACAGAGAAGCAGGCTTGGGAATGAGATCACTGTTATGGTATGACAATGCTTATGTTCAAGTCACCCTTATTTTACTTAATAACAGCCCCAAAAGCACAAAAGTAATGATGCTGGCAATTCAGATGTGCCAAAGAGGAGCTGAAAAGTGCTTCCTTAATGTGAAAAGGTGAAAGTTTTAGCTAAAAGAAAGAAAAATAAGTGTATGCTGAGGTTGCTAAGACCTATGGTAAGAGTGAATCTTCTATTCGTGAAACTGTAAAGAAGGAAAAGGAAATTTATTCACAGCATATATAGAGTTCAGTAGAATCTGCAGTTTCAGGCATCCATGAGGGGTCTTGGAAAGTACCCCAGATGGGTAAGGGGAGACTAATATATCATGAGAATAAGGCCAAATGGGGAAATTTTATAGTGAGTTGGATCAAACTTGCAAGGTTTTTAAATGTTTTGATTAAAGCGAAGCCAGTTGATGAGTCTGCCTGATTAACACAGGGGACTTGAAGCCATGTGCAGGGACTGAGAGGGAGCTGGAACTACTACGGTCTATCAGGTGGGCTTTAAAACCCAGACAAGATTTTATTATTTTCATTAAAAAATATTTATAAGTAAAAACTAAAATGCCTAAAATAACACGCACACAATTTGCTAGAGCTGCCATAAAAAATTGTCACAAACTAGATGCTGAAAACAATAGAATGTATTCTCTCACAGTTCTGGAGACCTGGAGTCTGAAATGGAGGTGTGGGCAGGGCCGTGCTGGCTCTGGAGGGTCTAGGGTAAGCTTGTCCAACGCACAGCTGGTGGGACACATGTGGCCCAGGACAGCTCTGAATGCTGCCCAACATGAATTCTTAAAATTTCTGAAAACATTGTGAGATTTTTTGTGTGAATTTCTTTTTAGCTCATCAGCTATTGTTAGTGTTAGTGTATTTTATGTATGGCCCAAGGCAATTCTTCTTCTTCCAATGTGGCCCAGGGAAGCCAAAAGATTGGACACTCCTGCCTAGGGCAAGAGCCTTTCTGACTCTTCCAGCTTTGTGGCTCCAGGTCATCCTTGGCTTGTGGTTACATCACCCGGATCTCTGCCTGCCTCTTCATACAGCCTTCCCCTCTTGTATCTCCTTCTGCCTTTTATGGGAACACTTGTCATTGCATCCAGGATGATCTCATCCCCAGAACCTTAACTCAATTACATCTGCAAAGACCCTTTTTTTTTTTTTCCAAATAAGATCAGATTGACAGTTGCTAGGAATTTTGACATGGGTACGTATTTTGAGGGACCACCATTCAACCCACTGTGAGGAGTGGGTTACTTTTTAGTTCATATAAGAAATTAAAACATTGCTCAATTTCATCAAAATTGTGGGAAAGCCCATCCCACATATTACTGATTCCAGAAGCAGTAAGAATGGCAGCAGCAGCCTGAAGGGCCTCGGAAGGCATGCAGTCTAGCTTTCTAAGGGGCACCAACAGGCACAGGCTCATGGAAAAAAGTGCTCTTGAGAAAAACCTGGACTCAGAAGAGCCTGGACCACACAAACGCACCCCAGCTTCTTTCTGAGATCATTTTCCTGTCTGCCCAAGGGAGGTTCTCCCTCAAGGGTGCCATCCATCCTCCTCCAGCCTGTGAATCATCTGCTATTTCTGAAACCCAGAGTGATGAACGAGTCAGCCCAGGGTAGCACCGTGCCTTCATCTGCATCAGACAACCTGAGAATACTCATTTCATTTCACTTCTGACCTTTTTGCTATTCTGCAAACCCACAAGATCTGGGCTGCATAATAATATCTGAGGATCAGAGGTGAGTGTTTAGAGTATCATCCAATCCATGTTTACTTGACCTTATGGTGTTAGAACCCATATTAATCTTAATTGCACTGTTAAAATATAGTAAATATCTTTATACAAATTAAGCGATAATGGGAATTTGCAGAGGGTTTTTTTTCCATGAATTAATCTTAAAATAAGCTGATTATACAAATCTTTAACCAAGCAATGACTAATCCAAAACACAAACATTACTTTGATAAGATACATTCAAACAAACATTTTTGTGACAAATATTAGCAGAAACCAAGCAATAATTGGGAGATGGCATTCAGTGACTGACGATTGTGAACACAAAGGGAGATGGCCAGATGTGCCCAGTGCTTACAACCACATTCTAGAACTGGGTCCTTTCTGGATTCATTGTCAGATGTTAGTGACTTTGGACAAAGTAAACTGGAGCATCCGGGGAAAGAAGATCATGGGGACTTTTTTGTAAAATTCAAATTTAAAGAGGGGATGATAAAATAATTGATTATACTTATGCCCATTAAGCTATGTTTTCTTTAAGGAAAAATACATTTATTTGACAATGACTCAACCTTCACTAACTGGTAGACACTGCTTATCCTGAACAACTGCTGTGTTTTCAGCTACACAAAGTACCTTCTGAACTGAGTTCATTAACCTCTTTTTTTGACCAACAGGAAGCTCAGCACTGAATATACAGTACATTTTTAATAATAGTCCAGAACCACATAATATACACTTCTTTTTAAGTTTTCATATGTAATACTTGACAGATAGGATATTTGTAATAGATATAGTATGAAACACAATAAAATTTAGACCCACAAATCTATACTGAAATTAAGCCAAAGTCTTTGTCCCAGCAATATACCTCCTCAATCCCATTTCTATGCACCCAGGAGTTACCTCTACCCAGAATTTTGTATCTATTACTCCTTTGTTTTCTTGTTTAGTTATATCACATATGTACATATACCTGTACAATATGTTGTTTAATTCTACTTGTTTCTGAGGCTTATAAAATATTGTATTCTATGAATTGTTCTAGGATTTCTGACATATTGGTATGATTCATTCATAGTGTTGCATATAACTGTATTTCCACTGCTTTATAACTGTCCATTTTAAGACTTATTGAAATATGTTTATCTATTTTCTTCTGGATGAGTTTAGGATAATTTCTGGTTTTGCTGTTATGAACACTACTTCTATGAATATTCATGTATATGGCTCCTGACACATACATGCAAAATGTTCTGCTATATCCCTAAAATTATTTGGTTAAATATTCATATTTGTAAAATAATGCCAAATTATTTTCCAAAGTGGTCATTACAAATTATACTTGGACCAACAATAAAGTCTCTGTTGATTCATAGCCTCACCAACATTAGGTATTATAAGACTTCCAAATTTTTGCCCAACTAGTGGATAAAAAAAAAAAATACATCACTACACTCTATGCATTTGCATTTTCCTAATCTCTACTGAGGTTGAGCATTATTTTATATGTTTAATTGTCATTTGTGTTTCCTTTTTAGGAAAATACCTCTTTAAATTTTTTGCACATTTTTCTTATTGATTTGTATGAATCCTTTTGTATTCTACATATAAATCCTTTCTTAGTTATATGTGGTATGAACGTCTTTTCTTAGTACATGCCTTGAAATTTTACATTCTTCCTGTGTATTTTGAAGACCAAAAACTTTCTAATGAAATTATAGAATTATCAGTCATTTATTTTATGGAATATGTATTTTATGCACTTTTTAAAATCCCTCTCTATCCTTTGGTCATAAATGTGAGAAAGCAAATTAAAATACTTTTAGAAAACAGGAGGACTAGGGGACTATTATTAAGTCTTTCAGCCACCTGTAATTGATTGTTGAGTAGGTATGAGGTAGGTGTCAGGTTCCACTGTTTTCTATATAAACAACAATTGGCCCATTATCGTTTCGCTAAATAGCGTTTCCTTTCCCCTCTAATGCACAGTGCCCACCCTGGCATGAGTGAAACTCCGTACTTCTGGGTGTCAGTTTCTGGCTGTCCATTCTACTCCATAGGCTATTTGTCTAGGCCCATGAAAACCCTAACACATCTTATTTTTGACATTTTATCATAAGAAAGAAATCTGATAAGGCAAGTTCCACCTCACCTCCATCTTATTCTTCAGAAGTATCATGGCTATTTTGGGCTCTCTCTCTCTCTCTCTCTTTATATATATATATGAACAATACTTCTATGAATATCCATGTACATGTCTCCTGGTGCACACACACGCACACGCACACGGATATATACACACACATATATATTTTATATACACACTTGTCAAGTTCTATTAAATCTGTTAGCATTTTTGGGGAATTCCATTGAACCTAGAGATCAATTTATAAATAATTTGCATCTTTATTCTACTGAGTCTTTCTATACAAGTGCCTCCTATAGTTTTCCATTTATTTAGATTTTTTTGATGTGCTATATTAAGGACTTAATTCTTTGCATAAAGGATGCTTTGTGTAAACTTTTGTTACTGAAAATTACATTTTAAAAATTATATTTTCTATTTTGATTAAATATAAATGTATTTTTAAAAAAATTTCTATATAGACAATCAGCAGCAGCAACTAATGACAATATTATTTCTTTCTTTCCAATGCTGTCACTTTTTATTTCTTTTTCTTGTCATGGTGCAATTGCTAGTACTTACAGTAAAATTTTGATTAAATATTGAATAGAAGGCATCTTTCTCTTTTCCTAATATTACAGACAATCCTTTTGAACTTCCATTGTTATATATAACGTTTACTATAAATTTTATATGCCTTTTATCAGGCAAAGATAATTTTTTCTTCTTTTGTAGTTTGCTAAGATATTTTATAATAAGTTGTCCTTTCATTAAAGCATTACTAGAAGGTGATCCTTCATTGATAAAGATCCTTCTTTAAATTTGAGGATGCTATTAATTGCCTCTTATTAAATCAGAATTGCATTCCTGGTATAAATCCAAGTTATTTAAGATGTGTTGTCTTTTATTATATTGCTGGATGATATTTGCTAATATTTTTGCTTAAGGTTTCTGGTTTTGTGTTCATGAGAGAGATGGGATATGTAATTTTTCTTTTTCATACTATGTGTGTCTGGTTTTCTTATCAATGCATTGTTAGTCTCATAAGATATTGAGTTTTCTTTTTTCTTTATTTTTTCTTTCCTTTGGCGTAGTAGAAATAGAACTTATCTTTTCTTTTGCTTTGATAAAACTCATCTACAAACAGATCTGAGTTTGGCATTTTCCATTTGAGAAAATTTTAATTTTCTTAGTGACTGTAGGACTATTTAAGTTTTCTATTTTTTCTTGTGTATGTTTTGATACATTGTATTTTTCTAAGAATTTATCTATTTTGTCCAATTTTCTATTTTTTGACATTGTTTTTAATAATTTTTATCATCTACTTAATTCTGCAGTCTCTAAACATGTTTCATTCATTCCTAAAATTGAGCCTTTTCCTTCTATTAATCTTTATTAATTCTACTGTTCTTTTTCTATGACCTTTAAGTTGAGTGCTTGGCTCACTAATAGTGAGTCTTTCATTATTTCTAATATAAGCATCAAAGGCTTAAATTTCTCTTGACTTGCTGGTTTAGAGGTACGGCATAAGCTTTTATATGAGTAGTATCCTCACTATATTTTAGTTCTAAATGTTTTTTAGTTTCCTTTTTATTTTTTTCTTTCAATATAAATTGTTTAAAAGTAAGGTTGAAAAATATTCCAAATGTGGGGAGTTTTCCAGGTGCCTTTTTCTTTTTTGTGTCCAGAATACTTAAAGCATGTTATAGCATGCTGTTAGTTCACACCCTTTGACATTTTCTGAGGCTAGAATTATGGCCTGACAAGGTGTCAATTTTAGCAAATATTCCATCTGCTTTTATCTTTATTGTTTCCTCTTTTTTGCTTGCTCTGGGTTCACGTTGCTCTTCTATTTCAAGTTTTTAAAGTAGAAAATTAGATTATTGATTTGAGTCCTTTCTTTATCATTAATATAATTCCTTAATGTTATACATGTCCCGCTAAGTACTGAGTTAGATGCATCCCACACAGTCTGATAAGTTACATTTTCATTTTCATTCAGTTAAAAATATTTTCAAACTACCCTTGAGAGTTTCTCTTTGAACCAATGAATTTTGGAAATATGTATCTAATTTCCAAATATTTGAGCATTTTCCAAGTATTATATTTTTCTGTGATTGATTTCTAATATAATTCCATTGTGGTCAGAGAATATATTTTGTGTGATTTCAATTGTTTTACATTTGTTATGGTTCTGTGTGTGTATGTGTGTGTGTGTGTGTGTGTGTGTGTGTGTGTGTGTCCTAGAATGTAGTCTCTCTTGGTCAATGCTCCATATGCCCTTGGAAAGAATGCATATTCTATTATTCTATTGTTTTTGGATAGAGTGTGCTATAAATTTCAATTTGGTCAAGTTCATTGATGGTGCTCTTCAGGTCTTCTCTATGCTACTGATTGATTATCTATCGTTCCATTGATTACTTAAAAAGCAATGGTGAAGTCTCTGGCTATAATTGTGGATTTGTCTATGTATCTTTTACTTTATGTCAGTTTTCATGTAAGGTGCATGCCCATTTAGGATTCTTATATCTTATTTGGGAATCCACCCTTTTATCATTCTGCAATGTTGCTTTCTATTTCTGGTAATTTTCCTTGTTCTGCAGGCTATGTTGTGTGATGTGAATAAAGATGTTTCAGTTTTCTTTTGACTTTTATTTGCTTGGTACATCATTTTTGATCATTTTACTTTCAACCTATCTATAGAATTATATTCTAAGTAGATTTCTTGCAGACAATATATAGTTTAGAATAATTAACAAACAAAACAGGGAACTCATCATCATATTAGTCATTTTCAAGTTTTGAATTTTCTCCTCATTCTCCTTGGTATTTTTTTAAAATTTCAGAATCTTCAAATAGTCATTGAGTCATTCTTTTCAGAGTTTCTAGCTGTGATCAGTGTGAGAGATAAGTGGAATGTGATTACTCGATCTTGGCCAGATCTTGAAGTTTCTTTTGCTAAGTTTTAATTTAATTCCAAGTTAGGAACAAAGCTTATACTTTATGATTCTAATCCTTTAAAACCCACTGAGATTTATTTGTGCTTTAATACATGAACACTGTGTTAGTCCTTTCTCATACTGCTATAAAAAACTGCCTGAGACTGGGTGATTTATAAAGGAAAGAGGTTTAATTGACTCACAGTTCAGCATAGCTGGGGAAGCCTCAGGAAACTTACAATCATGACAGAAGACAAAGAGGAAGCAAGGCACCTTCTTCATAAGACAGCAGGAAGGAGAAGTGCCAAGCGAAGTAGGGAAGAGCCCCTTAAAACCATCAGATCTCATGAGAACTCACTCACTATTCTGAGAACAGCATGGGGGAAACTACCCCCATGATTCAATTACATCCACCTGGTCTCTCCCTTGACATGTTGGGATTATGCAGATTACAATTCAAGATGAGATTTGGATGGGGATACAAAGCCTAACCATATCAAACACAGATTTTGATAAATGTCCTAAAGGAACTTCAAAAGAATGAACTTTAAAAAATTGGTGAGAAGTAACACAACTAACCAACCTGACCTAATTGTATAATATTTATATATATATAATATGTTTTATATATACATGTAAGAATATATGTAACGTACACATAAAAGAAGAATACATCATATTTTTCATATGTATTATATATGCTATATATGGTATATAAAAATATAATGGATTCTTATTTTATGTATACCTTACATATATGTTCTTATAGATACATCCTATAAAATACATATAACATATTATATATAAAAATAATAAAATTAGGTCAGATTGGTTAGTTGTATTACTCCTTACTGATTTTTTTATCTGCTTATTATTAAAAGAAGCATGCTAAAAATCTCCAGTCATGCTTGCACATTTATTATCTCTCTCCGTTTATTTCTGTCAAATTATATTTTATATATTGTGGGATTATAGTCTCATATATGTACAGATGTAGGATTCTTATGTTCTGCTGGTTGTTGAAAACGTTATTATTACATGTCCATTTTTACACCTCATAACACTTCTTGACTAAAGTCTATAATGTGTGATATTAATATGGCCACAACAGCTTTCTTTTGATTGGTGTTTTCATTGGTACAGTATATATTTTTTCTATTTTTTCTTTACTTTTAACCTCTCTATATCCTTAAATTTGATGTTTCTTGTAAACAGCATTGGATTTTCTTTTTTGTTTTTGTTTTTTTAATGCAGTCTGAGAATCTTTGTCTTTTCCATGGAGTATTGTATTTAAATCTACGCTCTTGCAATTTGTTTTCTACTTAGTTTTTTGCTTTCTCCTTTCCTGACTTTAGTTTTTGTTCTTGTTACTTAGTCAAGCATTTCTATCATTTTATTTCTTCCTAGATATTAGGTTTTTTATTGTGTATCTTTTTTTTTAGTGATTACCCTAGATTTACATTTATTCTTCGAATATACACTAGTTTAACTTAGTAGTCTTACCACTTCCTGAGCAACTCAGAGTTTTGAAACAGTTCAACTATATTTCCTCTTTGTGTTTTTGTTGTCATGTAAGTCACTCGTATACATGCTATCCATTCCATAATGTATTGCTGTTGCTGCAGTTTTATGCAGTTGATACTCAATTCTATTGACCCACGTAGGTATCTTTTCTGGTGCTGTTCTTTCTACTGCTGATAAATTTTTTCCCAAAAGAATTCAATGGTTTTTTAAGTTAGTTTACTTAAAATTTAATGTTTTATTTCCCAAAACATTTTCATTTTGACATCAATTTTTAAAGATATGCTTGATGGATATAGAATGCTAGGTTTTTAATTTTTGCCTGTGTTTTAATGGTGTTATTTGATTGTCTTCTGTCCTCCCTGGTTTCTGTTGGGGCAGCAGCCCTCTGTTTTGCCTTTGAGGATTCTATGCCCCTTCCTCCCCCTTTCCTTACTTTCCCTATTTCTTTGATTTTCAGCAGTGGAGCTGGGATGAATGTAAGGGCCTAATCATGTAGGTCTTGTGAATCCTAATGAGAGTTTGGACTTTATTTGAAGACAGAGATGGAGTCACTGAGTCATTTGGAGCTGATGTGTATTTCCTGTTGTTGGAAGAAGCAGGAGGCAACAGGGAGAGTGGAGGCAGGGAGGCCAGGCAAGGCTGTGCTGCAGTTCCAGCAGATGACACAGTGACCAGGGCCAAGAGCCAGTGGAGATATTGAGCTATCACCAGAATCAGGGCATATTTTGAAAGTAGATGAAATAAAAATGTTTAAGAGTATATATATGCGTATTAAGAAGAAAGAAAAACTGAGAATATTTGCCGGGTTTTCTACCTGAGAAATTGGGTAGATGGAGCTGCTATTTATTGAGAAAGGGAGAAGCTGAGGTGGAGGGATTAGACTGGGGAAATCTACAGTTCTGTCATCATCCTAAGTTTGAGATGCCTGTTAAATGAAGACGATGAACAGGAAACTGAAGAAATAAATCTCATCCAAGAGTCTAGGCTAGGCTGGAGATTGAAAAGCAACAGCACGTTTGAAATCATCAGAGCACAGAGGAGGCTCAATGCCATGAGACTGGGTGGGATACATCAGAAGAAACAAGTATGTGGAGAAGAGGACCCAGGACAGATTGCTGGAGAGCTCCGCTCTGTGGAAGTTCATGGAGAAGCAAGCAATAACAAAAGGGAATAAGAATGAGCCACAAAAATGCAGAAAAACTGAGAGAGGTGGTTGCAAAAATACCAAAAGCAAACATTTCAAGAAAGAGGGAGTGATAACCACTTTGCCTGCTGCCAATTGATCAAATCAGAAGAAAACCATTCAGCTGGCCTGGGCAAGTTGACAATGAAAGAACCATTTCAACGAGCTGTTGGGGAGGAATCTCTGGAGTGGCCAGGGAGCGGCTAGGCATGAGGAAGTGGAGAAAGCGAGCAGGAGCCACCTTTTGTGTTGTGCATTTTGTCTGGAGTCTCACAAGCACCAAAGAAAGATGTGCACAAAGAATCTGTGAGCCCCATTGGAACCATGAAACTGCTTGACCCTCTGCTTGTCCTTTGCAATGCATTCTCCATTCTGTACATTGAGAGAAGATGTCAAATATGATAACTGGAAAGTGGAACACCTGAAAATTAAAATTATGTGGAATTTGGGGCCAGTTCCTTGCTTACTAAACATCTCCTTTTTTTGTAGATTAACTGAATTCAACTCTCCAAATCACACAGCAGCTGTAGCCTGAGATGTGGCTTTCTAAAACAAACATCCCAAGGTCCCAAGAAACTGTTTTTTTCTAAATGTCTGAAGCCTAAAAACAAATACAGAATCATTACAAAACTTGTTTTTGATTAGAAAAGTAATATACGTTAAGTAATTAATCAAGAATCAAGAAAGACAAAAATAGAAAGTCAACCTATAATCTATTTTTCATTAGCCACTTTGTCTCATTTTCCAGAAGCAACTACTGTCAACAGTTCATTTTGTACCTATAAGCATATCCTTTAGTTTTTATACAAATAAGATAATATTAAACACACTGCGTTTTAGTTTGCTTTCACTAAACAAATACTGCAAATATCATTCCATGTCATCACATGGAGATCTGCCTCAACCTTTCTGATGGCCTTTCATTTTCTGATTTATGTATATATTATATTTTATTTAAACAGTCCCTGATCAATTTCATTTTGTTCCTTTACTTGAATGTTTTCCCTTCTAACAAACCATTCTTCAGTGAACATATCTCTTGGTGTTTTTGTAAACCTATCTATAGGTTAAGTTCTTTGCAATGGACATGTTTCTCAAATCTTGACAGATATTGCCAAATTGCCTTCAAAACCATTTTTCCAGTTTATATTTTCACCTATAGAGTATAAGAGCACCGCTGTTTCCTCATCCTTGCCCACATGTATATGGTCAATTACATTCATGGCCTCAATTTGTTCCCTTCCCTGGGCCACGTCCTTGGTTAGGTGACTTTGCAGAGTCCCTCCTTCTACTGGTTGAGGTTTCACTGCAGACTTGCTTCGGCATACTGGGGCAAGCCTTCAACAGCAATGAACCCAGCACGGTCCCTCCGGGCGGGAGAGCCCCAGGCCCCTGCACATGCTGCTGATGGAGCAGGATCCAGGTAGACACCCTGGGACAATCAGAGAGACCTGCTGAGTTCCCCTCAGGTCCCATTCTGCTGGCAACTGACATTTCCGCCAGGTGGTCCCCTGTCCTAAGTGGAGTCCCCAGGCCTGGAACTCTCCTGCTTTCCTTTGGCCACCTGCCGAAAACCAGACCCCAGCCACCTGCTTATTCTCCCCACTTAAATGGACTCGCTGTCCAGCACCTTTGCTCTGCCTCTTAGAGCAGCATCAGGCAGATGGCAGAGACAGCCAGGAGCCCATGGTCACGGCTCATCCGATGGAAACATGGGTTCTAGCTTGGGACTACGGCTCCCTTTTGGCCTCCCTCCCGTTTCTCCAGGCCATATTTCAGAGGAGAGCAGAGCCTGAGGAGCCAGCACCTCCTCCCTGTCCCTCCCCTGCCCACTCCTGCATCTGCTTTCCTTCTACCTGCTCCGCACCCTCCCTGGGCCCTTAGCTGGACTTGGATGCCAGCCAGAGTTTGGATGTCTGGCACCCCGGGCTGGGAGGAGGGGGAGGCCAGGGAGCACCTAGGGCCTATAATTTCAGCAGGCACTCACTCCCAACCTCCTTAAATTTTGCAACCTAGGCACCTCACTGCCTGCACCCTAGTCCTGACCTTGCTGATGTGCAAAATGTATTTTTAAACGTCCTCCACTTTTCCGTGTTTCTCTGAAACCCTCTGATGCCCACAGAAGTTTTCTTGTCATTCGCCGCAATCGTAGATGCACCGAGACCAGCCTTTCGAAACAGGAGCAAGGACTGTCTGTGCAAAAATATTTTACCCTCAGTACCAAACATAGCTAACTGCAAATTAGTTACGAAAGGGAGAAAACCCTGAAATTATTTTCTGCGTTTAGTAACTCAAAAACAGTAATAAGAAAACTCCCCCTACAGACGCTTTGTGGTTACTGCAAAGTAAACAGATAAATGTCCTGCAAAATATTTGCTCATCTATCAAGACCATCTAGTGTTTTCATTCGACTTCTTAAAAACAAAGCCCCTTCATTATGGCATCCAGCAACTCCGTTTCCCTGGGGAGATGAATAAGGCAGCAGAAGCACCTCTCCCTTCCCCAGTCCCTCTGGCCACGGCTGCCGAATTCAACAGCAACGCTAAAGGGGCTTTTTTTTTTGCAAAGAGCTGAAAATTATCCAGTACATTTTTATTCTCATTCTCATAAATTCACTAAGTAGAAGAACAAATTTTAATAGGGAAATATTTGATTCCTCCCAACTTGAAGATGAGGAGTGAAACACTGTGAAATGCCACATAAAAATCAGGTGTCGCCAAGTCCTCGTCGACCTTGGGAACCAACACATAATCGATAAACAAGTAAAAGGACCATCGCTTGGCTGGAATCCAAAACCGAACTTCTTACCTCTCTTTTTCCCAGAGCTGCTCTACTCTTGTCATCACCTTAAAATTCTGACACCAGCTTGTGTTTTAAGCAATGGTTGTTTAAATATTAGGTTCCAAATTAGAAGAAAAGCCTGCCAGAAAATAACTTCAAATTAAATAAAATGATGTTTTATGGGAATCCCTCCCAGCCTTGCCCAGGTAAGAAATGCACCCTCTCCACTGTTGTCCTGGGAACCATACATGAATTCAGCTGTCTGGTTATGGCTCTGGGTAGAACAGGAAGTCCATGCTGTGGCTATCCCACGGGGTATAGGAGGTGGGTGGAGGGGTAACCTCCCCATCACAAAAGAGTATTGTTTCCTTCTGGTATGCTTGTTACTTTACAATTACGTATATTATGAGCCCGAAGGTTGAAAGAGCTCTTGCTTTTTGTTAACGTGTTCTCAAACCACTAATTATTTCCTCCTGTCTTGAGGTGCTAAATACATAAACACATGGAGCCCTCAGCTTAAAAAATTAGGGCTTGGCTTTTCTTCCAGATGAATCAGCGTGAAGGATGATTCCTTCAGTCTCCATCCTACACACACTATGACCACACGCTAAACCATGCAGCAGAGAGAACAGAACCCCGCCGGGCTGGGCTGCCAGGTTGCTAGTGTCAGAAGTTCTGAGCACACACCGAGGCCGCGTGGAGACCCGCTCTCTCCTTAGAGTAGTTCACGGGGAGTGTATTAATCTGTTCTCATGCAGCTAATGAAGATATACTTGAGACTGAGTAATTTATAAAGGAAAGAGGTTTAATTGACTCACAGTTCAGCAGGGCTACGGAAGCCTCAGGAAACTTACAATCATGGCAGAGGGAAAGCAAACACGTCCCTCTTCATACGGCAGCAGGAGGCAAAAGTGCCCAGCGAAGTGGGGGATGAGCTCCTTATAAAACCATCAGATCTCGTGAGAACTCATTCACTATCCTGAGAACAGGATGGGGGAAACGGCCATCATGATTCGATTATCTTCACCTGGTCTCTCCCATGACCTGTGGGGATGATGGGAACTACAATTCAAGATGAGATTTGGGTGGGGACACAGGCAAACAATATCAAGGAATTTGAGCGAGGTCCCTTCCAGCACCTTTGAATTGACAGTGTTTGAGCACCTGCTGCCTAGTCTTAAAGTGTGAATTTGGCCACATGACAACACATTTTGATAAATAAAAACACGGGCTTCATAAATCTTGTATGGACATGAGACATGTAAAAATATTTTTTCCATTTGGTTAAATGAACATTTTCATCTGCAGAGAGAGGCTTTATAAATTCTAAAGCTCAGTAGCCATGTGGCCTAAATTACATTAATGTTTAAGTTATTCAATAGCAAATGTCTACACTTCACAGTTAATTTCGGGATGTCCCCAGAATCTGTCCTATCTTCTCTGTGATGTAGGCAAGGTGAGATTAAGCTGGCTGACTTCGTTGAAGGAAAACAAGAAACCAGCCTCTGCCTCTCGGGTCCCTGAGTCAGGCCCTGGTTCCTGGACAGAGTGGGCGGGCCTTGGATGCTGATAATTGAAGGCGGCACCTCCGGAGGAGACGGTGACTCCTGCAAAGACGTCTGGTGGGAGTCCAGTCTTATAGAGAGGTGAGGGCCCTGCCAGCCCACGGCCCCAGGATGTCAGTCACTCAGCTGTTTCTCTTCTCAGACAGGCAGGGCCGGCGAGCTCTGGCCATTCCTGGGTTGGGTGGCTCAGAGAGCCAGTAGACATGTCACAGAAGCCAGGGCCCCCGGAGTGGCACCATCTGGCCCAAGGCTCATGTTAATACAGCCAGCACTAGCCACCCGGAACTGCAGGGGACACTCCAGCAGGGACACTCCTCTGGGCCTCTGAGTCAGAGCCACCTTCTTCAAGAAGATGCAGGCCTCCCCTCACCACTGACTCTTTGCTCTCCCTCCAGCAGGGGTGAGTCATGCTGTCACTTGCAGGTTCAGACTGGACAAAGTGGTGTGGGTGACTCACCTGGATGAAGACCAGGACATGGGGTGTCATTTCCTATTTATCTGTAATACAGATGAAAACCCAGGACGTGTCCAACGAGCACGGACAAGGACACTCATTACTAGCCGGTAGGGAAAAGCAAATTAAATAGGCAAATTCATAGAGACAGAAAGTAGAAAAGAGGTTGCCAGGGCCTGGGGGAGGGGGAACAAAGAGCACTTTCAATGATAGTTAATGTCTGGGAAGATGAGAAAGTTCTGAAAATAGGTAGGTGGTGATGGTTACATAACATTGTGAATGTACTTAATGCCACAGAATTATACACTTAAGGTGATTAACATGGAAAATTTTATGTTATGTATCTGTTATCACAATTATTTTTTTTAATCCCAGGGCAATGCGACATGGGA
Organism: Homo sapiens; assembly: GCF_000001405.40. Taxonomy (NCBI): domain Eukaryota; kingdom Metazoa; phylum Chordata; class Mammalia; order Primates; family Hominidae; genus Homo; species Homo sapiens. The sequence goes on along the minus strand of NC_000010.11, from coordinate 128,629,087 downwards.
AAACTCATGAAAGTGGCCCACAGAGCCACTTTGTGGCTGGTCCCTCTCTCAGACCCCATCCCTGTGTCCTCAACTTCTTCATCTTTGCTGGTTTCATTCCCTCCCTCAAGCCCAGAAACAAACAGTTTCTCCTACAAAAAAGAGGAAAATTAAGTTCCTGTGGAAACTTCACCACCTGTTAAAAAGCTGAGGGAGGGCCTGGCCCTATTTGCCGTGCAAGTGTGTCCGCAGGACCTGCTTTTAGAACATGCCGATTCGCCCCGGAAATGCAGGTGTGGCCTTCTCCCACAGGTACAGGGACAGGCACTCATGGGCCCAGAGGCATCTGGGGCTAAAGGTTGTGTTTGTTTTTATTACATATTAGCCATTGTCATCCCCCTCGCGCCCCCTCAAAATAGACATCTGATTATCACCAATTTAAAACCAGCTTTTCCTCTCACTAAAAATTCAGTATGAAGCCATTGTAGTAGAATTCCTCTCACATTCCGAGGCTTGCAGAAGAGAAAAATATCAATAAAAATCATGTGAAACGTCCACAATAGATCAATTCAACCAAAGTGGCCAGATTCTATGCTATTAGTCTGTGCGAGGTTTATCTGGTTTTCCATGAAGCATTCCCTTTTCCTGAAGAACACAATCATGGCTATAAAGTCATTTATCGGGCACTGCTCAAGGCATCTCCAATCACACGTCATAGTTTATGAAATGCCGTGAAAGGCACAGTGAGGTGCTTTTCCAAATGGTAAAGGCCAATTTTATGCAATCACATCCCAAAGTACAGGCTACATTTTTCTTCCCTAAACTCCTTTAGCATATCTTTTTATTTGGCCATTATTCTCAGTAGTCATTACAGATCGTCTCAGTAAATTAACCTTTTCACATTGTAATCAGCCCAACAAGGATTAAAGGTCCTCGCATAGCACACAGGAAGGACAAATGGGAAGTGGGGCTCTCGGTCATACTCCAGCACGGCTCCAGCGGCTCTGTCCGCTGGCTTGCTCAGAAATGTGGGCCTGGTGGGTGTTGCTCCGCTCTTTGCTTGACAGGGTCTCTCAGCTGTGCAGTGACTCTCCAGCCTGGGCCAAGGGCAGGCTGCCTCTACATCAGAACATGACCTCCACATCAGTCCCCTGCCTCTTCCTCCCCTCATCCCCATCTCCCTTCCCACCCTTTTCTTCAGCCCATCACTCAGTCTTGATGCCTCTTCATGAAGTCTCCTCCACCTGCCACTCCTTCCCCTTGCTACTACAGCCACTCTCCGATCCCTTCTGCACTGCACCTTGAATGACCCTCCAGCGTGCCCCTGCTGACCCTGGCCTGCCATTTGCCACATTCCCTGCCTACTGGGTCATGGCTTCTTCTTCTTTTTTTTTTGAAATGGAGGAGTCTTACTCTGTCGTCCAGGCTGGAGTGCAGTGGCACGATCTCTGCTCACTGCAACTTCTACCTCCAGGGTTCAAGCGATTCTCTTGCCTCAGCCTCCCAAGTAGCTGGGACTACAGACATGCACCACCGTGCCTGGCTAATTTTTGTATTTTTAGTAGAGATGGGGTTTCACCATGTTGGCCAGGCTGACCTCAGGTGATCCTCCCACCTCAGCCTCCCAAAGTGCTGGGATTACAGGCGTGAGCCACCGCGGGTTGTGGCTTCTATTTACACTGGCTCCATGCCTCATGTCACCACACTCTCACTCCTCCCATACACGTGTTCCTCCAATGCCAGGTCTTCTATAGAACTCCAGGAACACCTGCAATCTCTTTGCCTTTATCTCTCCACTTTACCTACTCAAAACACTTTTTGTCCTCAGGTGCAGCCCTCTAGGTCTTTTGTTGTTTCCTGGCCCACCTGAAATGGCACCACTCCCAGAGGCTTCCCTGCAAGCAGCTGATGGTTGCTACCGCCCACCCCTGGCTCTCCCCGCCCGCACTCCCCAGAGGCCAGCCTTCAGAGTTGCAGATTCATACTGGGTCCTGTGCATTCTCAACTTTCCTTTTGTCTTTACAGGCACCACACACTAAAAAGAGAAAGTGAATACAAGCCCAAAACACATTTTCTTCTTCAGTTAAAACTCAAGCAAACGAATTCAGGCAAGTAATCCTTACAGGTGTCACCTTCCCGCGTCTCCACAGGAAGAGGATTGGGTGTCCCATTAGAGTGTAGGTGGAAGCCCTGCTCCATTCACATTCCACTGGATCCTGAGACAAGTAAATCCTTACAGGTGTCAGGTTCCTGCATCTCCACAGGAAGAGGATTGGGTGTCCCAACAGGGTGTGGGTGGAAGCCCTGCTCCATTCACATTCCAGCGGGTCTTCCCTGAATGCTCCCTTCCCTGGCCCATGAAGGTTACTGTGGGTCACAGCATGTGAAGCTCAGACTTTGCATAAGAAATGAAATACTTTTATTTCTAGATCTTTCATCAGCTGAGTGAGTGAAAGCAAAGCCCTCATCATAGGCCCTTGATCCTAAATGAGCCAGAGTCACAAAAAAGGAGCCTCAGATTCTTGTGTGGCCATCAGCCCGCACAGAGGTCCCCAAACTCAACAGCACATGCCAGAGCCCAGGGAGGAGGATACAGCAGGAATGGCAGGAAAATGCATTGCCACATGCTAAGTGTAAAAAGTCATCCGTGTTGGAGGAAGGTAAAGTTTTCTGTGAGATGACGGAGGGCAGTTCTGGCTGAGGAGAGGACACAGCATCAGGTAACACCCAGCATGGAGCTCCTGCTCATGATGGGGAGACATTCAGCCAACTTCAGAGCATCCCATCAGCAGTCACTACTCATAGGACCCAGGTCAGGGTGCCATCCGCAGACTGCACGTTTTCAGGTGGCTGGGGCCCATCCACGAGCTTGCTAGCAGTTCCGACAGTTGAATCAGGGCTGCCTGTATGAGGCTGAGAGATGGGAAACATGTGCCCGACACCTTTCTTTTTCTATGGTGAGAGTCTTCCCTGCTGGGCAGTGAGGAGGAAAACATAAGCTTGTCCCCACAGAATTCTTCCTCGGTGGGATGACTCAGGATCTTTGTGGGAAATGCTCATAATTTTGAAATCCTGGCTTCTCCCTTCTATACTTCATGGGGTTGAGGGGTCAGCCTGTGTGTGAGCACGTCAAGGTGGGGTAACTGTGCAGCCTGTCCTACTCCCTGCTGCAGAGAGACCCCCAGGTCTGTCCCCGGTCTGGTATCTGCTGATATGTCTTTGCCTTGCTAAACTCTCTGACCCCAGATTTTCTTTTCTTTCTTTCTATTTATTTATTTATTTATTTATTATTTTTGCCATTTTCAACTCCAGGCTTTTATTGACCAACTGACTCTCTCCCCATATCTCTAAGGCATTATCTACTAGGGCTTTGGGAACTTCAGGGTCCCCTGTGTCCCCTGCACAGCCAGAAGGGATCCGGGAGTCCTGCCACTGGCTCCCTTTGTAGCCAGCTGGCCCACCCTGCCAGGCAGCCTCTGTGCACCGTGTTGGTTGTCAACTTCTAGAGGCCAAAAGCCCTCCCCAGGGAGGGCCAGCACAGCAGGCCACACTGGCCACATTCTAGCCTGTCACCACACCTGCATGCTAGGCCCAGGGACAGGGAGATGGCAGGATCCTGGCCCCGACACCCTCACCACACTGGATCTACTGCATCCCGAACACCCCTCCAACCCACACAGGAAGCACTTCCTTTCCTTCCTGGGTGATAAAGAATTTCTGTACCCCACATCCTGAGACAATTCCATCCCAGGCTTATGGAAAAGTTCCATGATCTCATCCAGCAGGCCCAGCCCTTTGCATAGCAACTAAAGGAATTTAGTAAATCCTTCTCTCTCCCAATCTAGCATGGCTTTCAAAACCTTTGCTTGCTAGGGACTCACAAATCCTATTTGCCAGTCAAAACTGAAAAATGACTTTGTTTTCCTAGCCGGTCTATGCCAGCCCTTCCCTTGGAACACTAAAACCCACTCTCCCCAAGGCAAGGAGCCCGAGGACAGCACGATTTATAGGTTATGAAAATTCATTTGAAAATATGTTTTAAAATATTATCCCCATTACGTGGGAGGACGAGGGTGTCAGTGAGTCATGCCCGGCATCTTCTATGGAGTCAGGCAAAGCCTTGCGACACTTTCATTCCCAGAGTTGATTTTATGCCCTTGGTCTACGAGGAGAGTTCGAGATGGAACCACAGTCCAGTACGCAGTAAACGGGAGCCCATGGAAGCTGGGGCATGGATGACCCAGAGAAAGTGTGGGCGAGGGGAAGGAGGAACAGATAGGGTGCTCCTCAATGCCCAGAGACACCTAGAACTATGCAAAAGCATGCTTTGGTGAAGAGGTTCAGCAGGGTCCTGCCCTGTTTCTCTGCCTCTGGGAACATGCACCATGCTGGTGGACGCAGGCCCTCGAGTGCCATCCTGGGACCCCGCCAGCCCTGCAGCGGGGACAGTGCATATGCCGAGGAGCTCAGTCCCCACAGAGAGAGGAGCACGCACCACCGGGTGATGATATCATTGCGGACGGTCCAAGAATTATCCAGCTTTTCAGCATGAAAAAAATGCATTTTAAAAGTTAAATGTCAAGAAAAAAAAAGAGAATAAATTAAAAAATCTTCTGTGTTTACAAGACCGAGCTGCATTTAAAAAAAAAAAAAAAAGAAGAAGAAGACGACGTGCACAGAGGTGAAGCCCTTCCGTCTAGAACACTTGAAAACAATGAGCAGCCTGTGCTGTGTTGCTTCACTTACTATGTGTTATTGAAGTGACTTTTGGTGAGGTTTGCACCTACAGACTATGGCACAGTTTAATTGTTCTTAATATCATTGATTTTCTTCTTACTAAATGAAGTTGCATCATTTATTTGGCAGTACCACATGTGATAGGAAGCTTTGGAATGGATTTCCTTTATAATAATGGTATTCTCATCGTGTTGGGTCCCTAGAATATCATTTTTCAACAATGAACGGCATCTCTGATTTCTTGGAGTGGGGAGTTTTCATTTCTCTGATACATTACCGAGGCCTAGTGGCCATGCATCTGTGGAAATGCAGTGTCTTCCGTAAGGGATTTGACATCTGTGAAGCTCCAAGCCAGAGGGGGTTAAACTAGACAAAGTTACTTGTCCCTTTCAACAGAACAAAAGCCCGGGAGGCCTGAAAATGTAATCTGCAGCCTCCCCCGGCTGCGTGACTGCCGGCGCTCCATCTTCACAACCAGCGCCGCCGGCCGGGCTCTTCCGCTCTTCGGAATTCAGAAAGCTACAGCTAAAAATACTCACCTGCTAAATATCCTTGGGTAGGCTCTTTTTATTTTATTTTTTTAGCCGTTGTCTTTCTTTTCCTTGTTTCTCTTTTATTTTGTTGTTGTCGTCATGGGAGCTTGTCAGGAAGAAAGAAAAAGCACGGCATAGTTGTCCTTGATCCTGCAGATTCGCCAGCACGGTGGGTTGGAAAAACAAGCCCGTGGCCAACGAAACCAGCCACTGGCAAACAGGGAGGATGTGGCTCTGGCAGCCTGGGAAGTGGAGTTTGGCTCCACAGGGACCTCAGTGGTTTGTCCCCCATCTGTCTGTACTACTCCAATCCATGACCCCTCTTCTTGCCAGCCCTGCCCTTTTCCCAAAGCTGCACCTTCAGCCTGCCTTCTGTGCTGCTGGGACTCCTCCTGGGGACTTGCAACGTCCCAAGAACATGGGTGGAGTCAAGGCTCGGGGGGTGTCATCCCTGCTGACCTATGGTTCTCACCACGACCACCTCTCCCGTCTCTGCCCTCCCATGCCCAGCGGGCCCTTGAGAAGCAGCACTGCCGGGGGCCACCTGCTGGTTTGGGCCCCCACTTCCTAGTCATGGGAGAGCTGCTCTGAGACCTTCTGGGACCACTTGATTAGGGTCGGAGCGTGTGCCTTAGGCCTGGCACCAGTGAACCTCGTTGCTCTGGCTAGAGTGTCACATGCCCCTCTCACTGTCACAAGCTTTTAATCCTTTTTCGCCCACTTTGCCCCTGGTGTGACTATTTTGGCCAGCCCCTTCCTCTCTCCCCAGATCTCTGCGTGGTATGGGGGCTCCGCCAGCAGCAGAGCCGTTTCTGCCCAGGAAGCCTAATTAATTAGTCCACCAATCAGTGGCAAAAAGCAAACCCCTTGCTTGAGTCCTAGTTTACATGTTTTTTCTCCTGAGACCATCCGTGACTGTGAAAATCAGAGGCCATGCGATCCGACGGGGGTCACTGATGACAAGAACCTTTCCAGAGGGCTCTGGGCTACACTACTTATGTTTCTGCTTGTTGCACCACTTCCAAGGCCATTTATGTTCCCTTCACAAACACAGCCTCTGCCTCCTGTGGCTGAACTTGCTTCTCGTTTTTGATGAGGACAGTTCTGACCTATAGGCAATCACCCCTTTTGTTCCGTAGAAAGCTTTCTCAGGTTGTGGCCCACTTCTAGGTTAGTTAGCCACTTTGTGACAAATGCTGCTCTTGAGGCATCCCTGGGTGAGTGGTGAGGTCACTGGCTTGGCTCGGGCATGAGATGATGAAGACAGAGGGGGACTCTGGGCTGGTAATGAGCCAGGAGGATCTCAGCCAGGCCCAGGCTCCCAGAACAGGCAGGAAGCCTCCTACACAGGCCAGGGTTCAGGGGGAGGCTGAGGGCTTCATTGTATGGATGGCACTGGGGGAAAGGTCCCTGTGTGGTCTCATCGCACGCACCCCCTTATCTCAGGGAAGGTTTCAAATAAGAAGCCTTCCCCAAGCACTGCCAGGCAGTGCCAGCTGGGCTGAAAGGGTCCCCCGGAGCCATGCATGGCTTTGTTTAAACAAGCTTCATGGACACAGGTGTTCCAATGGTTGTAGGAGGTTTGCTGCTGGAGACGGGAATATCCTCAATCTGTGCCTGAACAAACGCCAGGATATAGGTCAATAGGCAGCCTCATCAGTACACCAAAAACCAAAAACTAGTTGTAGTTTGTTTTCTGCAAACTGCAAATTGAAAATATAGCTTGTTTTTCCCCATAAATTGTTGGAGTCAGGTAAAGGTTATTTCCAGAATGACAAGGAAAAAAGTCGTAAGCAATTTATAGGACATGTGGACATCACTTAATCACAGTTTTTGATGCAGTGGGTTGTTGATGTATTGCTCGCTATGTTTTCTGTTAAGGCACCAATGTGGGAAGAATAAAGCGGCTTTTTTTTAAGAACTTTGCCCAGGCCAGGTGTGGTGGCTCATGTGGGAGGATCACTTGAGGCCGGGGGTTCAAGGTCAGCCTGGGTAACATAGAAAGACCTCATCTCTACCAAAAAAAAAAAAAAAAAAGCAAAGCGTGGTGACTCACGCTTGTAGTCCCAACTACTTAGGAGGCTGAGATGGGAGGATTCCTGGAGCCCAGGAGTTTAAGGTTGCAGTGAGCTGTGATTGAGCCACTCTACTACTCCAGCCTGGATGACAGAGTGAGACTCCATGCTGAAAAAAAAAAGGAACTTTGCCCAGATGTTTGTCGTTTGTCTCTGGGGATGACCATATCTGGGTTGGGTGGGTTGAATGTCAGAAGCTGATTGTGATGGTTGGATTCCATAGGGAGAGAAACCAAGTTATTGCAACTTTATATGCATCCAGATGAAAGACGGTAATAATAATGGCTTACTGTAAAATGAAAACAACACTAATGATTGTATTCATTAGCAAAATGATATTTGCTGGACTAGCATTAGCAGTTATCGAATTGCAGGCGATAATAGGAATGTGAAATTAATTTCATTGAAGGAATTGAAGAATGATTTATTTACAGTGAATATCCATTCTATTTGAAACTTCACTGACTCCATTAAAAAATATAGCTGTATTCTTCTTAGAATGCGCAGCTCAAAAACTAACAGTTCGCAATCTCGTTGCTTTATGCTTTTTAAAAAGAGCATATACTTCCTTCTTATCTCCACCATAGTGGACACAGAGGTGTCACTTCAACTCTTGAATGAGGATATTTTGTTAAAGTGTGAGAAATGATTGTTGCACCACTTCCAAGGCCATTTATGTTCCCTTCACAAACACAGCCTCTGCCTCCTGTGGCTGAACTTGCTTCTCGTTTTTGATGAGGACAGTTCTGACCTATAGGCAATCACCCCTTTTGTTCCTTAGAAAGCTTTCTCAGGTTGTGGCCCACTTCTAGGTTAGTTAGCCACTTTGTGACAAATGCTGCTCTTGAGGCATCCCTGGGTGAATGGTGAGGTCACTGGCTTGGCTCAGGCATGAGATGATGAAGACAGAGGGCTTGAGATGATGTAGACACCTACCCCTCAGGGAACCACTATGCCGACCCCAACACTGTAGAGTAGCTTTGTCTGAGATCCAGTTTGTCTAAATGGAATCGTGCCGTGTGTATTCTCTGATATCTGGCTCCCTTCCCTCAACATGGTATCTTTGAGAAGCATCCATGTGTTGTCATGAATCAACACATGTATGTTCTTTTTTTATTGTCTCATTTCAGTCTTTAGATAAATGTTCTTAAAATGTTCCAGTGTTCACTGGAAAGGGCAGGGAGCTCTCTTGGGGGGTGCTGGAATGTTCTATATCTTGATCTGGGCCATGGTTACACAGGTGTATCCATAGATAAAAATCCATTGCACTCTACACTTAAAATTTGCTCACTTTTCTTTTTATAAATTATACTCTAGTAACATAAGAATGACTACACAATATCATTAGGCCAGTTGAAACAGGGAGAAGTCACATAACCTAAACTATCATTTCTTTAGTGACCTAAAGTGAACTGGTTCATTGTGATGAAATCGAGCCCATTCTAAAAGATAGTGTTGTGGTTGGGAAGGACCAGAGGACAGGGAGTCAGGAGACAGTCTGTTGCAGATGGGGGGCCTGGAGTGAGTCCCTTGGCTGCCCTCACTTTGGGGCACGGTCTGTGAACAGTGACCGCGGGGCTGCTCCATGGACTTCCTGGGGTCATGGGTCAGGTGGATGATGAAGGGCCCTGGGCACTCCAGGGGGAACTTTGCTGGTGTAGGTAGCTTCAGGGAGCATGTCCTGCTGGGCCCTCCAATATTTATGCTCTGCAGTGGTGCCACGTGCTTGCTTACCATTGATTTTCTTTTTTAAAATCAGCTCCAAGCTCTGGTATTAAGACTTAACTTTCAATTTTTGCTGCAAACATACACAGTTCTCAGGCTCCGTATCTCAACACACGACACACACAGAAACCCCCACTGCCCCGTTCGTTGATGTAGTTCGGTGTCTCCTCAATGAGCTCGTGTTTTCACTGAAGTTCTCTTGGGGGCCTGAGCTCCGGCAGCCTTCTCTTCTGTATTTATTTATCAATTAGTTTGTTAACTATGAGATCGTCCTCTTTTTCTTATTCATTGTTTTTTAAGGGTTTGAACTGATTATCTAAATAAACAGTGCTCTTAAAATGTTCCCTCAAATAGAATTGCCAACCCCACATTATATTTTTGTTAAAATAGTATAGGATCCTTCTCCCCGTGAAAAGCCCTTTTCATTCCACCTTTTCAGGGACTAGCCAAGAATGGACAAGGATTCAAAACCCAAGTCCAGTCTCATTTCCAGAGGAAAATGGAAGAAGAAAGCATTTGCTCCACAGTGAATAGGTACTAACAGCTTCAAGAACTGCCCCTCACGTATTAGCTGCAATCCAAAACTGCTTTTAAAACAGGAAATGCAGTTTAAAAGTCTACCTGGCCAGTTAAAAATCAGGAAGGGAAAATGACTTGAGCATATGTCCCCTGAATTTTTCTCCCACTGTGGGAGATGTTGCAGTGGTGAAATATTATGACTATTATGAAAATAAAGCAATGCCATCTTTGATATGTAGCCTTCCCCAATTCACGCTCATCATAAAAATCAAAGGGGGCAAGAGATCATTTGTGCTTGCTGCCAAAAAAAAAAGTGCGACTCTGCCCTATGAGCATTTTGAAAGAACCCTTATCCCAGAAGACCTCCCTTGGTGCAGCTCCCAGGAAGGAGGACAGCTGGGAGCACCAGGGTGGATGGGTGGCTTGGCATCAGGTGGTGGGGGATGCAGCAGAGGAGCAGCCTTGCTAGAAATCAGTGTGTCTGGTGCTCAGAGCACACAAGGGCCCTGACACAGGTACAGCCCTGCCTCCTTCCATCTGCCTGGTGGCTCCACAGGTGAGAGGGACCCCAGGTAAGGGACTGTCCACCATTGCCTAATCACTCCTCCGGGGGTCTCTTCTTTAGGGCGGGTTTGGTCTCCTACAGTCTCTATTACACAAGAAACTAGGAAAGACCAAGGGACTGCCTTGGTACCTGTGAATACTATTGGGAGAACGGTCTTTGCAGATGTGGCTAAGTGAAGGATATGGAGAAGAAATCAACCTGGACTTAGGCTGGACCCTAAATCCAATGGTAAGCATCCTAGGAAGTGAAAAGAGATGCAGATTTGGGACAAAGAGACACACAGAAGGGAAGCCCACGTGACCATGGAAACAGAGATGGGAGTTACATAGCTATGAGCCAAGGAACACTAAAGATTGCTAGAAGCCACCAGAAGCTAGAAGAAGGATGTGGGATAGACTACCCTCTAAGCTTCCAGGAGGAACCAAACTTGCTGCTACTTTGATTTGGATTCTGGCCTCCAGAATTTGGAGAGAATACCTTTCTCTTGATCTAATCCACCCATCCCTTGCTATACAGCCACAGAAAACTAATATGCTGAACACCCTAGACCACTAAAAACGCTGGGAATTTTAGGTCTGATTTGGGTTCAAACCCTAATGAAGAGTGAAGAGTGACCCCATTTTACAGCCACAGTGTCCTCACGTGTGCAGTGCCCATTCTAATGTCTGCCTGAGGCTTGCTGTACAGATTTAGGGAACCGTGCTCTGCATAACACTGGCAACAAGCAGCAGAAGGGAAGAGGCTGAGGAAAGACAGAGCTCAGCAGTTATCAGCTCAGTGTGGACAGACCCCAGCCTGGTTCTGTGGTTCCAAGTCCCAACAGTGATGGAATAACTTCAGGTCACTAGTATCAACAGAGAAGAAGGGAGGGCAGAGAGCCACTGCACATTAAGGGCTGAACAAGGATTGTGCCAGATATTTGTCAACATAAATACATTTTATCCTCACAACAAGCCTAAAAGGCATTGTCATTCCCTCCAGGTTAGAGGTGAGGTTGCTGAGCTCAGACAGGTGAACCATTGGCTAAGACCTCAGCAGGTGAGTGGGAAGGGCCTACTGCCCAGGTATCAACTCTGTGGGACCTCCCTGGTCGAGAAGTGAGAATCTATGTTGTCATTGTGCAGCTTCATTACACTGGGCTGATGTCACCTGGAGCTTGTGCTCATTCCTAGTTAGTGTGGTTTGAAGTTTGCCTTTAGCCTTACTCGGGCTGTGGAGTGTGAAGGGTGGGGGCAAAGCCTGCAGCAGACAGATGTTCAGCTCTAGTAAGACATAGTGACTGAGGAAACCCTTCAGTCATTTAGGATTATGCACAAATAATGTTTGCAAATGGATCCTTTCTGATAACTGGGAAATGTTCCTAAGGACCCATATGAGGTAAAGGTCATAAAATCCTGCATTAAAAATACATAAATAAGGCTCTTGGAAACACTGGTGCGTTTCCTCCAAGGTTAATTGGACAGGCTTTGCTCATAATCCTTCAAGCCACGATGCGAAACACCCGGGGCTGCTAGGAAGACCTGCCCACGCTCACTGATGGGTAAGTTATGATTGTGACAACAGTTTTCTTTTTGACATGCCTATTGACCTAATCAAAACATTTTATGTGTTTTTGAGCATTGGTTTACTTAACCCCATTTTAAGAAAGGTATAAAAGAAAACCTGCAGAGGCCGGGCGTGGTGGCTCACGCCTGTAATCCCAGCACTTTGGAAGGCCGAGGTGAGTGGATCATGAGGTCAGGAGATCGAGACCATCCTGGCTAACACGGAAACCTATTTCTACTAAAAAATACAAAAAATTAGCCAGGTGTGGTAGTGGGCACCTGTAGTCCCAGCTACTCAGGAGGCTGTGGCAGGAGAATGTTGTGAACCCAGGAGGCAGAGCTTGCAGTGAGCTGAGATGGCACCACTGCACTCCAGCCTGGGTGACGAGCAAGACTCCATCTCAAAAAAATAAAAATAATATAAAATAAAGAAAAAAAGAAAAAGAAAACCTGCAGAAAGATTCAGAGCTGAGGCACACATTCAAGTCATCATGGAATCTCTTGGAAGATTCTGTGCCCCAGAACAGAATGCTGCTCACAGGTCTGGGGGAGTTCCCAGCATTAGTGCATTGGCTGTGTAGCCAGGGCTGAAAACCACAGGCCATGAAAGTAACTGCATTAATCCTTTCTCATGCTTCTAATAAAGATGGACCCAAGACTAGGTAATTTATAAAGGAAAGAGGTTTAATTGACTCACAGTTCAGCATGGCTGGGGAGGCTTCAGGAAACTTACAATCATGGCAGAAGGGGAAGCAGACACGTCCTTCTTCACAATGGCAGCAGGAGAGAGAAGTGCCCAGCAAAGGGGGATGCCCCCTATAAAACCATCAGATCTCATTAGAACTCACTATCACAAGAACTGGATGGGGGATACTGCCCCCAAGATTCAATTATCTCCACCTAATCCCTCCCATGATACATGGAGATTATGGGAACTACAATTCAAGAAGAGATTTGGGTGGGGACACAACCAAACCATATTGGTAACATACACCTCAGTTCAGGAAAACAGGGAAAGAACTTTGAGGAAAGAACTTTGAAGAAATAAAGGAAGAACTGGGTGAGTGAAACACTGTCAGATACCCATTCAAAATATTGAATTAAAAAGATCAACATGGTATAGCCTGTGTGGAAGGGGCACAAGGCAGAAACCAGAGTTTAAGAGTGAGCACCATGAAACAGGGAGGTACTTCCAGGGAAGCCATGGAAACCAGACATGAAAATGACTTTTTTTTTTTTTTTTTTTTGAGATGGAGTCTCGCTCTGTCACCCAGGCTGGAGTGCAGTGGCGCGATCTTGGCTCACTGCAAGGTCCGCCTCCTGGGTTCATGCCATTCTCCTGCCTCAGCCTCCCCAGTAGCTGGGACTACAGGTGCCTGCCACCATGCCTGGCTAATTTTTTGTATTTTTAGTAGAAATGGGGTTTCACCTTGTTAGCCAGGATGGTCTCGATCTCCTGACCTTGTGATCCGCCTGCCTCTGCCTCCCACAGTGCTGGGATTACAGGTGTGAGCCACCGCACCTGGCTGAAAATGACTATTTTTGATGGTTAAAAGGTGGTGGCTCTCTCCAGGTGACCCTCTTCCATGACCTCAAACAGGCATTAGGATGGTCTTGATAGAATTGGCTTAAACCTTCTGGAACTTTCCACTGGTCACCCATGTTACTCCCTTGAGAGTTTAGTTGCTGGACTCATTAAATTCGATATCTAAGATGAAAGGTGTCATTGATTGAATTTCCAAAAAATCAATGCACTAATATTTTATTAGTAATCATTAAAATCTTCTAAAACAACTTGATTATCCTGGATATGGCCATACATCAGGCAACAAAATGATGAGAAATTATTGAGTTCCGACTGAATATTGAGGAATAAAGTCTCCAATGACCTGATGATTCTAAGATGGCTCGGAGCAAGGAGTGTGGATTCTAAGTTCTGGCCTTATTGAGAACCTAAGAAATTGTCAACCCCCAAAGAAGACAGACAGGTCAGAAGGGGGTGGCCCAAAGGTCCCTATCTGGTGCAGCCAGGCTGATCTGTGCACTGCAGGGCAGGGTTCACTAGAGCCAAGGTTCCTGGCCAGTCCTAGCTGCCCCTCACTTTCCCAGCCCCTGCAGTCTCCCTGCCCACCCAGGCCCCTCACCCAGCACCACCCTTGCAGCCAGTAGTGGAACACACTCCCGAGACACTCTCCCATCAACCTGCCTTTCTTTCATCTGCCACCACAACAGAAAGTCTCATTTTGGTGAAATGAGAGCCACAGGCCTGGTTTTCCATGCACAATGCAATCCTGCCTCAGTCTCATCTTTCCAAGGCCTGACCCACGTCTTCCTGTTCTTGCTGGCCCGATTCACAGGCGAAGGCCTGCATTTCTAGGTTATAGCTGGGAATGTGAGCAAAAGACCAGCAGCTGGAAGTCTGCCTTTGAAATGCTTCCAGCCAGACCAGAGGAGGAAATATTGGATTCTTCACCAGAAACCTGTTTTTATCCACTGTGAAATTCAAGTCCAAAGTCAGGCTTCCAAGGATTTAGAGGCATGTCCCTGCAGCATCTGAGTCATGGGAATTTAGGAAACTCCAGGTCTATCCTGAAATCTTGAGACTAGTCTCTCTCCTGAACAGCTACATTCACCAGGCATTTCCATGGAATAACAGGTATTGGTTTTGTTCTAAGTATCAAAAATAAAAGTATAAAACGCAATCTTAGGGTAGCACAAGCTATATCCATGACCAAGGAAGCCAGCATCAGTTTCTCTAGAAATGCTATATCTCAGTATCTAAAAAGAAAGACATGTGCACCCCTGCCATCTCATAGTTACACAACAAACTTAAAATATCATAGGATTTTAATGGGAAAATAGGAAACAATAGTTTCCTACATAGCATGTTGTTTATTTCTTATTTTCCCATTAAAATCCTACAATATCTTTCAACATCTTCACCGTAATCACAGGCAGCCCGACCACGGGCCCACCCGAGGCCTCACCGGGGGCTTCTGGGAGCCATGGCAGGCCTGCACGGCTGCTCTTTAAGAGGACGGGACTCAGGCTCTCTGGCTGCCTCTCCCTGGGAACTGCTGGTTGCTGTCACTTTCCTTTTGCTCTTATTGTCACTAACTTTGCTTAATGACCCTGTTCTCTGGGACTTACCATTCCTCCAGTGGAGAAACAGGCCCAGCTCTCCAAGGCTGGAGTTGGGGGAATTTGCTCTCTGGCTAAGACCCCAGAGTGCGCGGGCAGAACCACGTGGGCTGTGATGGGACCGAATGTTCAGTCCATTTTTTTTTTCTAAATGGATGTTCAATATTTTAAGTGGCACATCAGTTACTCTGGGGTGTTCTTATCCAGTTCACTCCATCAGCTTCAATAAATGCCAAATTAAAAAGAAAGAAAAAAAAGAAGAAGAAAGAACTAGCATGCTCTTCAGTGTCTGTGTGCGTGTGTGTGTGTGTGTGTGCGTGTGTGTGGCACAGAATTCAAACTTGGGAGTAAGAAACAAAAGGAATTAACAGACCGGGCTCAGTGGCTCACACCTGTAATCCCAGCACTTTGGGAGGCTGAGGCAGGCAGATCACCTGAGGTCAGGAGTTTGAGACCAGCCTGACCAACATGGTGAAACCCCGTCTCTACTAAAAATACAAAAATTAGCCGGATGTGGTGGTGGGCACCTGTAATCCCAGCTACTCAGGAGGCTGAGGCAGGAGAATCATTTGAACCAGGGAGGTGGAAGTTGCAGTGAGCGATTGTGCCACTGCATTCCAGCCTGGGAAACAAGAGCAAAAACTCCGTCTCAAAAAAAAAAAAAAGAAAGAAAGAATTAACAAAGCAGAGAAGCAGAAAGCAGGTGGGAAGAGGTGAAGGCCAGCTGGCAGTGCTTTCCCCAGACATTGCCATCTTCACTGCTCCTTTCAGCCTCTGGATGACCACGGAAGGACCCTCTGCTTCCTTTGTACCACCCCATCCCTTGGTTCTGCTTTCTTATTTTCTTGCCTTATTAGTAGAAGGAATAATGTCCCCCACCCACCTCACAAAAGGCATGGACAGCCTATCCCTCAAACCCGTCCTCTTACATTGCCAAAGGGACTTTGCAGATGTGATTAAGTTAATGCTCATGTGATGGGGGTCTAGATGGGCCCAATGTCATCACAAGGGTCCTGATAAGACAGAGGCAGAGGAGGGTCAGGGTCAGAGAAGCCAGTGGGAAGACAGAAACAGAGACAGGTGGGGGTGTGGGGCCAGGAGCCCAGGCACACCACAACCTCTAGAAGCCAGTAGAGGCAAGGGGAGCATTCTCTCCTGGAGCTCCAGTGGGAACACAGCCCTGCTGCCACCTTGATTTCACACAGCAAAACCAATTTCAAGCTTCTGCCCTCCGGAACTGCAAGATAGCACTTCCGTGTTGTCTTAAGCCTCCGAGTTTGTGGTCTTTTTTTGTTATAACAGCCTCAGGAAACTTACACATTTCCCCTGTGCTCTGTTCTTCAAAATCCTGCGCCTGACCACTGGCTCACAGGAGAGCTAAGGTGGTCAGAGCTGTGTGCACCCCACAGGCCGCGGTGGCCAGGTGATGACGTCATCTGTGCAGGGGCAGTGGCCGGGTGATGATGTCATCTTTGTTGAAGGTGGGTTCTCAGTGCCTCTGAAGCCAGGCTGGGCACGGTTTCCGTGGCTTGGTCAGCCTGGCATTTACCCCATCTTAATCCTGTACAAAGTGTAAAAGACAGTTCTAGAGCCACTGCTGTCTTCAGGAAACTTCCTATCTTGGCTGAAGAAATAAAACTTCCATGTAAGAATAAGAGACTGGCCCAGAAGGGCGCTAAGTGAGAAGACGGACATCGCACAGACACCACACAGACACCACACAGACCCTATGCGGCTCAGCCCCACAGCTCAGAGTTTGCCTGGGGAGAGAGGGGGGGACTTGCAGCTGTGCTCTCACTGCAGGGACAGCAGCCTCCACCCTCCGACTAATCCCTGGCATGAAGAAGAGGTTCCCTGCCAGCTGCAATGCCTGCACCCCCTCCCACACTGCCCTCTTTACATTTATGGGCTGCGATATGGCATGGCAGACAAGGAGAGAGGCAGGCCTCAGTCCGGGAATGTCCAAATGTCCGTGCCCCAGACTGGGCTATCTGGGTTCCTTCAGCAATTCAGGCCTTTCTGACTTTTCCAAAAGGAATCCCTGGGGGAAGGAAAGCATTCTCTCAACCAGGACTAAACAGCCTCTCCAAGAGCCGTCTGCTCACATTTTCAGAGAAAGACCTGCTCCCTGCCAAGAGGGCAGAAAGGAATGGTGAGTTAATGGATTTCATCACATCTGGGTCCTCTTGGGGTTAGAACATGTGAGTGTGTGCCCCCCGATTGGGATCTGCACGCAGGAACGACCATCCAGGCCAACGCTGTCCACCGGGCAGTATTTTCCACTTTAGAGCAGCATGCAAAGCTGTGGGAAAGGCCAGGGCGGAGCTCCTGCTCCTTCCGAGTGTCCAGTACCCACCCTTATTACCCTCTGCTTAGAGCAATTCAGCTAAAACATCTTCGATGACCCATTATTTCTAGATTCCATTGTGTTTCCTTTTTTTCTCCCAAGATGGTGTCCATCTTACTAATATCCACTCTCCTCACTGCTTTCCTGATGAACGCAGGTCTAATCGCTGGGCGTCTGGCCTTTCTGTCTTTGGCTCAGCCACCAGCTTAAGTTTGCTGGCCAACTCTGGGACCTGTTGGAGGGTGGGGTCGATGGCATCCTGCATTGGTTCCTGGATAAGGCTGTCATCTAGATGGCAAGGCCAGATCTCCAGGACAGCACTGGATCAATGGAAAAGGAAGGAGAGACAAGCCAACAGAAGGAACCAAGCCAAGCTCAGGCCGGAGATAGCAGTCATGGCATCGAAAAAGAAATGCATCTGCTTTGCCTGCTGTGTCTGTCCCAGTTCCTGGGAAATCATAACCGCAGGAGATCTTCATTCTCATACCAAAAATGCACCAAGAGGCAGGAGAGGACAGCCATACCCAAACTGCCTGGAAAAGGGAAGTATAAGTAATGACTTGCAGGCCCCCCATCCCCGAAGCCCCCAGCTCTCAGGGCAGGAAGGCCATGCCTGCAGCCCACCTGGACACCTCCTGGGGGGAACATGTGCCTCCAGTTAGAGCCTGCAGTGAGCTGTCTCCAAAAACATGGCCATGACTCTTCTCAGATCAGCCATGAACTCTGGATATCCAAGATCCTCACATCACTACAGCACCCGGAGAAAGCTCATTTGGCCCCATTACGGATTCCTCTCCATCACCTTTGGCAATGCAAGAGGCAAGGCTGATTATCCTGGGACATGCTCTGCAAACCGGGCATTAGGAATGAACATTTAGCATTCATCCTTTGATGTTTTCCAAATGGCCTACACAGGGGCTGTCAGCACGAAGAATTATTTTATTACATTTTCAGCTGTAACTGAAATCTCGTTTGGAGCCACCGTTTGGATGTTAAAACAGCATAGACTGATTTTCTGTAACTGACGGACAAATGGATCCCAGCGAATGCAGCGGGAGGAGGCACCGTGAGGGCAGGCAGGGAAGGTAGGAAGGACAGCGGCTATAGCAGACAGCGCCATGCCCGTGGCTGCCTGCAGGGCAGACCAGGGCAGGCCCCTGAGTCTAGCCTACTGTGCCCCCTCAACAGTGATTTCCAGGGAAATCTTTTTCCCCTGTCCAGGCCTCAGATTGTCTGTTTGAAAATGAGGGCTCCAGATTCACATCCAGACTCAAAGACAAAGAGAGAAGGACTTTCAATGAGCGCAGGCCCAGGTCTCCAGAGCTGCAGCCAGATATTTGGATCTAAAAACAACCATGTTAAGCCTTCTGAGAGGGTCTGCCCAAAGCCTCAGATGTGTGGGGTCATGGGAAACCTATTCACCCTTCCTGGGCTTGTCTGAATATTTCAAGTAGCCTAGAGAGAAGTCCTTGCTTTTCCCAAACATAGTTTTGGGTGTTTTGTTAAGAAAAGGCCAAGAATGAGACCATAAGCTGGGCCATTCCTTGGTGTGTCCATGTGTGTATGTGTGCATGAGCATGTGCATGTGTGCCCATGTGTGCCTGTGCACGTGTGCATGGCTGTTTGCACATGGACTGCATGTGGGCATGTTGCCCCACTCTCAGGCCCCCTTCTGCATTCTCAGGCTCCCCTGGGGATTTCAGCTGTGTCCACACTGCCCAAGCACCCCCTCTGTGGTCTGCCCATCGCCTGCTGCCAGCTTGGTCAAGGACATCCAAGGTCACCGTGCTGTTAAGAAGCCCGGCCACTAGCAGGGCTCCTTTGAGGAAATGAAAAGAGAACCTGGTAGGAGTTCCTTTCCCCTCCCCAAGGACCAGCTTGTTAAGATGCATGTGGACTCCACAAGCACCCAGAGGGCTCAGGCAGTCCCCTTGAGGGTGCTGGGGTGTGGGGGTGCAGAAGGAGTTCTGTCCACAGGTATAGGGACTGCTGGCCTTGTAAGTCCCCCATGTGGAAGGAACACAGAAGCTGGGCTGGAGACAACCTAGAGGCCCCTGCTCCAGGCATCCCTTCTCCAGTTGAGACAGCAGCCTTCAAGGGAATTGTGGGCTGCCCCAGAAAACAGCAGACAGGTGTGAGTGCCTGGGCAGGGGGAGGGGAGGAGGAAACAGTTGGGGGCAGGGGTGGGGCAGAAACAGGGCCAGCAAGTGGCGACTGGACCTGACCCTGCAGGCAGGGAAGGGCCCGACTCAGTAGGATCCTGCAGGGAACCAGGCAGAGTCCAAAGGCTACTTGAGTCTCTGCCATGGGCCTGTCCAGGTGTTCGACCCCACAGTGCCCTCTGGGCATTGCTTGACCTGGGTGCTCAATCAGCAGACTTCAGCTCACCCCAAGGCCTTGTCTGCTGCTCAGCATGCCTGGTAATGAAGGTCAGGGCACCGCAGCCATGCTAGGTTCCAGCCCCCAGTGCTTGGTTACTCATGAGTGCCCACTGGTGAGTCCTTCACATTCTCTGAGACTCAGTTTCCTTGTGTGTAGACACAGATGAGACACCTCAAAGATTTCAAGGGGGATCAAACTGGCAATCCCTGAAAACTCTCAGCACAGTGCCTGGTGAGCAGGAAGTGCCTGGCAAAGGCAGCCTTTATCCCAGCCCAAATCTGGTCTGCATCTGCCTCAGGACACATTCCAAGTTAGGGAGGAAACCTGGCCCTAGGTGCCAATCCTGAACCCACTGCAGCCTTGATATCTGGGAAGCTCTTATCAGAAATGAGAATCAGAAACAATATTTAGAAACACAAGGGGTGGGGAAGAGTTGGCTCTGCAAATCTATCAGCTGTTCCCCAAGGGAAGAAGATGGGGGTGAGCTGCCTGAGCCTTATTTGCTCCACAGGGGGTGTGAAGGTGAAGAGGATGGATATGGATCTCTGGGGCTGTGGCCACGTTCCTAGCAGACAGGGGAGTCCAGGAGAGCCCTGGAAGGAACCAGAATCCTCAAGTGGCCTGTGGAGAATGCCTAGTGTCCCATCCCAGCTACTTCCCATGACTTACACCACAAAGAGTCTGTCGCTTGCTCCTTCTGTTGGAACATTTTCTCCCCTTAAATGCATCTCACTCAAGACCTACAAGCTTCAATCTTAAAGACCTGGGAAGATAAGAGCTGAGGTGGGCATCCAGCCTGCTAGATGAGGACCTGGGCCAGGGGTTAGCTCAGCCCACTGCCTACCAAGGAGAGAAGCAGGCCCTCCTCGTGGCCTGACAAGAGGCACAGAATGGACAAGAATCTCAGAAAGGGGCCTCACTCACATCCGACCACATATCAGTTGGGACCCAATGGGGCGGAGGCTGCACCTGTGTCTGATTAAGAACAAGGAGAGATCTAGAAGATGCTTATCAAACCCCATATCCCTGAGAACATTGTCTCCACCAACAGCTCAACACACAATGGAGTTTAATTCTCACCTCCTTGAAACCCAGGAGAGAGAAATCTTACAAGCAAGATCTTCTAAGGGAAGAGGAAGGAATGTATAAACCAGATAATTACAAGAAAAGGATATGCACATTGCATTTTGCTAAATGTGCAATCTACAAGAAGAATCAAAAGGGTCGCCTAAGGTAAAAATCTACATTTGAGGTGCGAGTTTAACTGACAAAAATCAAATAGAAGATTATCATGTACAACTTAACAGTACCAGAGCTTACACTTTCAAGGAAAGTTTTCTTCCTGAGGAAAGTGATCACTAAGAGTCAAAGTGACAGGAAATAAATGAAAATGTGGGCAGGAAATGAGGGAAGGTTCTCCCCACTGGAGAACATCTTTCAATATTGAATCGACATCACGGACCACCTTTACCAAAAGCAAATGTCTCAATAAACTGTGAACAGGCATCTTGATTCCAGTCTTGTCACTACGCCCTGAAAGCTAGACATAAATTATCGAAATACCCTTTGAACGTTGGCCCATTAGAAGCTTCAAAGAGAATTTGGAATGCAGAGAAAAAGTGGGAAATTACCTAAGACCCAGGCTGGTGGAGCATCGGCTATATCCTTGCCCCGCTAGACTTTGCACACTTAATCATGAAATTGTGCACTTAGTAAGAGGCTGAGCTTGTCTCATACAGATGAGAGGAAAAGATGGTTTGTGAGCATACAACACAGATGCAACCATGACCTTCCCACCCTTCTGGGTATCCAGTACACGTCTCTAAACAGTGAAATCTCCAACTCTGTTTCCAGCTGTTGGTGGAAGCCTGTACCTGTCTGAGTGGGTGCTAAGGGAAGCCACCCTGGGGTGGGCTTGCTATATCTGCAACCCACAGCAAACTTATATTAAATTGATTATTGACTGATGGCCTCTCCCAGCAGCTGATCTCCCAGCAAAAAGCATTCTTCCATTTGGTGAATTAATTCATTCTCCAGGACAGAGGCGCACTTGCAGAAAGCAGAGCAATGAGAAAAGCACAAGGAAACTGGCTTCTGTTTCACCAATTTCCTGCAGGGGCTGGTGGGCGCGATTGCTCTGGACAGCCCTCCAGGAAGGGGTGCCTCTTTGGAGAGGTGTCTGTGACCTCCTGGCATGTCTACAGGGGAGGCAGATGAGGTGAGAGACTCGGAAGCAGGAAACAGAGTTGACTTGTCAGGTTCCCCCGGAGGAGAGGAAGCAGGGATCAAGAGGCCTGATTGAAAACGTATAGAAAGTATAGATTACTTTGCATGAGATTGACACTTCTGCTTTTCCCTTCCTTGGCTTTGGCGATGGAGAATGACAGACCTGGGCTCTGCTGGGCGAGTGGTCTGGCAAACTTACTAAAACAGAGTAGAGAGCATGGAGACACAGGGTAACTTGCAAGGTGGCTAGTGGGGCCTGGGAGGAGGCCAGGACATTGTACCCACGTGCCTACTCCCCGTTCAACAGCTGGGTCATTGACCCAAGTCAGACAAATCCTGGTGTATGTGGTGAAAAATCCTGCACCTCCACGCGGATCTGCTGGGGACCTGTCACATCATCTTGAGCTGGCTCCTAATTTGACCAAGCATGAAGGAAGCAACCTGGAGGCTGGAGGCGAGGCCTCCAAATTCTCAGCCCATCACTGCCCACAGGAGCTACCTACGGCTCTCAGCAGAATAAAATAGAGAATGTGATTTGGATACTCACTATACAAATGCAAATAAATTATTTATTTATTTAAATTATTAAAATACAAATTATTGACATCCTTATTATTACTATTATGTGTAGATCACCTTTCCCTATCTCATGGAGTGCAGTTTGGTATAAAAAATAAGTGATACTGTAGTAATCTATTTACCGTGAAGCTGTATGCATTGATTAGTTTCCAGAATTAGTGAATAAGAGAAGATTAGGATTACTAAGTACTCTAGTTAATACTGAGTTACATATATTCCACTTATCTATTAGCAAATTTTAAATGATGACAATAAAATATGTTGCAGAATAAACTTATACTAAACATAACTGCACCATTCTTTGATGATTCGGAGAGCTGTTCAAGATTTAGTGGTAGAAGATTTCATAAAAGAAAGAAGAGCAATGTTGAAAAGGTTCAGGGGGAGGAAACCTTTCTGGAAAGCAATTAGGCAGCATGTACAAGGGACTCTGAAATATTCTTATCATGTGATCCAGTCATTTAATCCCTAAGAATCTTGCCCGGGGACTAGATTGCGCAAGGATGATTCTCACTGCATCTTTTATAATAGGGAAAAGTTACAGATAACTTATGTCCAGCAATTAGGGCGACTTTTGTTATTTCTATTAAGTGGAATATGGTATAGCCATTAACAACCTTGTTTTCAAAACCAATTTTATAATTATGTTTATAATATAATAGTAAGTTTTAAAATGTACCCCTTGGCTGTGCAGTGTAGTCCTGATTTTGATAGGTAGCAGACAACCATGCTAGGATTTGTGTGTGTGTCTGTATACACACATGAAGCGAGGATTAATATACATTTCTCTTCTTCATCACAATTTTCTGTTTTTCTCAAATTTTTATGAGGATCATGTATTATTTTGAAGATTATTTTATTTTTCCAAGGCATGTATTAATGTTTAACATGTTTGTATATTTTTAATTATGAAATAGTTCAAACATAAAAAGAGAACAGAAAATGGAATAAAGATGCCCACATACTCACTTCCCAGGTTTAACATATATTAACATATTTAATCATATTTAACGTATTTGTACTGGACATTGTTTGAAATCAATTGTTACAGGTACTGCTGCAACCACCCCAAAACATAAGCAATACTGTAAAGTGGGATTCATTTGCATATATATTTTGTTGCTTTTACTAAATATTCCTATTCCTATTCCCACAAATGATATGTACTCTTGAATTAATTATGTTTTAATTTACACACAAGTTATTTCTTCTGAAACTTGATTTTTTTTAACTCAGAGTTATGTTTTTTTTGTTTACCCACACAGAGGCATGTGAATCTAGTTCATTAATTTTTAACTAGCGTATGGTATTTCCTTGTATGAACAAACCACTATTTACAGACATACCTCAGAGATATTGCCTGTTCAGTTCCAGAGCACTGCAATAAAGCAAATATTGCAATAAAGTAAGTCACATGATTTTTTTTTGTTTTCCAGTGCATATAAAAGTTATGTTTACACTAAACTGTAGTCTATTAAGTGTGCAATAGCATTCTGTCTAAACCATCAATGTGCATACCTTAAGTTTAAAATACCTTATTGCTAAAAAATGCTAAGGAACAGCTGAGTCTTCAAGTTGTAACCTTTTTGCTGGTCCAGGGTCTTGCCTGGATGTTGATGACCGCTGACTGATGGGTGTGGTGGTTGCTGAAGGCTGGGGTGGCTGTGGCAATTTCTTAAAATAAAACAACAATGAAGTTTGCTGCATCTAATGATTCCTCCTTTCACAAAACATTTCTCTGTAGCGTGTGATACTGTCTGATAGCATTTTACTCACAATAGAACTTCTTTCAAAACTTGAGTCAATCTTCTCAAATCCTTCTGCTGCTTTATCAATTAAATTTATATAAAATTTACATAGATAAACGTGTGCCATGGTGGTTTGCCGCACCTACCAACCCATCACCTAGGTATTAAGCCCCACATGCATTAGCTATTTATCCTCACATGTATCCCGGAACTTAAAATAAAATAAAATAAAATAAAAAGTTTTTTAAAAAGAAAAAAACATGTAAAATTTGAAATTGCCTGTTATTATTTCAACAATGTTCCCAGTATCATTACCAGAAGTAGATGCTCTTTCACAAGAAGCAATTCCTTGGCCTGGCACGGTGACTCACGCCTGCAATCCCAGCACTTTGGGAGGCCGAGATGGGCAGATCACGATGTCCGGAGTTCGAGACCAGCGTGACCAATGTGGTGAAACCCTGTCTCTACTAAAAATAGAAAAATTAGCTGGGCATAGTGACATGCGCCTATAATCCCAGCTACTCAGGAGACTGAGGCAGGAGAATTGCTTGAATCCAGGAGGCGGTGGTGTCAGCACGCTCAGATCGTGCCATCGCACTCCAGCCAGGGTGACACAAGCAACTCCTCATCTGTTAAAGTTTTTTTTTTTTTTTTTTGAGTCTTACTCTGTGTCCCAGGCTGGTTTCACCACGTTGGCCAAGCTGGTCTCAAACTCCTGACCTCAGGTGATCCACCCGCCTTGGCCTCCCAAACTGCTGGGATTACAGGCGTGAGCCACCGCGCCCAGCCTGTTAAAGTTTTATTAGGAGATTGCAGCAGTTCATTGACATTGTCGGGCTCCACGTCTAGTTCTGGTTTTCCGTTGTATCCACCACATCTGCAGTTACTTCCTCCACCGAAATCTTGAGCCCCTCAAAGTCCTCCACGAAGGTTGGAATCCACTTCTTTCAAGCTCCTGTTAATGTTGATATTTTGACCTTCTCCCATGAGTTGCAAATGTTCTTAATGGCATCTAGAATGGTGAATCTTTTCCAGATTTTTAGTTTACTTCTCTCAGATCTTCCAGAGGAACCACTCTGATTTTATAGAAACTCTAGCCTTATAAAATGTATTTCTTAAATAATAAGACATAAAACTCAAAATTACCCCCCGATCCATGGGCTACAGAATGGATGTTGTGTTAGCAGGCTGAAAACAACATTCACCTCCTTGTGCATCTCCATCAGAGTTCATGGATGACCAGGTGCATTGTCAATGAGCAGTAAGATTTTGAATCTTTTTTTCTGAGCAGTAGGTCTCAAGAGGGGGCTTAAAATATTCAGTAAGCCATGCTGTAAACAGATGTGCTGTCATCCAGGTTTTGTTTTTCCATTTATAGAGCACAGGCAGAGTCAATTTAACACAATTTAACATAATTCTTAGGGCCCTAGGATTTTCAAAATAGTAAATAAGCATGGGCTTCAACTTAAAGTCACCAGCTGCATTATCCCCGAACAAGAGAGTCAGCCTGCCCTTTGAAACTTTGAAGCCAGGCATTGACTTCTCTGTAGCTATGGAGGTCCTAGATGGCATCTTCTAATATAAGGCTGTTATGTCTATATTGAAATTCTGTTGTTTAATGTAGCCACCTTTATCAATGGTCTTAGACATTCCGGATAACTTGCTGCAGCTGATAACCATCAGCACTTGCTACCCACCTTACACTTTAATGTTATGGAGATGGCTTCTCTTCTTAAACCTAATGAACTAACCTCTGCTACCTTCAAACTTTTCTTCTGCAGTGTCTGCACCTTTCTCAGTCTTCAGAGAATTGGAGAGAGTTAGGGCCTTCCTCTGGATTAGGCTTTAGTTTAAGTGAATGTTGTGGTTGGTTTGATCTTCTATCCAGACCACTAAAACTTTCTCCAAATCAGCAATAAGGATGTTTCACTTTCTTAGCATTCATGTGTTCACTGGAATAGCACTTTCACTTTCCTTCAGGAACTTTTCCTTTGCATTCACAACTTGCCTAACTGTTTGGTCTATGATGTCCAGCTTTCAGCCAATTTCTGCTTGCAGCCTGCTTTCTTTATTCAGCTTAATAATTTCTAGTTTTCATTTAAAGTGAGAGATCTGCAGCTCTTCTTTTAACTTGAACACTTAGAGGGTATTTTAGGGTTATTAATTGGCTGGATTTCAATACTGTGTCTCAGGGCATAGGGAGGCCTGAGGAGAGGGAGAGAATTGGGGAACAGTGTGTCAGTGGACCAGCCAGAGCACAGGCATTTATCAATTACATTTGCTGTCTAATATGGATGTGGTTCATGATACCCTAAAACATTTACAATGGGAAAATTAAAGATCACTAATCACAGATCACCATGAGAGATAGAAAAATAATGAAAAAGTTTTAAATGCCATGAGAATTACCAAAATGTGACACAGAGACATGAAGTGAGCACACACTGTTGGAAAAATGGCACCAACAGACTTGCTTGACGCAGGGTTGCCACAAACCTTTAATTTGCAAATAATACAATGTCTGCCAAGTGCAATAATACAAAATGCAATAAAATGAGGTATGCCTGCACGTATTTGAAAGCTGAAAGCTTGCATGAGTAAGGTACACATCACAAAGGGCTCAGCTCATGGTTGGGTCCCGGTACACAGAACAGCGCCAGCCTCAGGGCAGGTGGACGGTACCAACTTGTTATTGGAGAATCCAGTTCCGTCTGTGGATGGTGAGGCTGTTGGGATTGATTTGCTCATTGTCCACTGATGGACTTCCACCTCTAGGCAGGATAATGTACTTTGTATATTGAGGCACTTTTGCTTTCCATAATCCTACTTACTACTTAAAAAAAAAAGAATAGATCCATACCATATTGTTCTCAAAATACCAATGCAATTAACAGAGAGCTAAAAGATAAAAATCAAGCCAGGTGCGGCAGCTCTTGCCTGTAATCCCAGCACTCTTGAGAGGCCAAGGCAGGTGGATCACCTGAAGTCAGGAGTTCAAGACCAGCCTGGCCAACATGTTGAAACCCCAACCTACAAAAATTAGCCAGGCATGGTGGTGGGTGCCTGTAATCCCAGCTACTCAGGAGGCTGAGGCAGGAGAATCGCCTGAACCCAGGAGGTGAAGGTTGTAGTGAGACAAGATCTCTTTACACTGGGCAACAGAGCAAGACTCTGTCTCAAAAAAAAAAAAAAATCAGAACAAAAAGGGCAAAGTTGTTATTTCCTGAATTTCCTGATAATGATCACACAGCCAAAAAAAAAGCCAAGAAAAGCAGCTGTTAAAAAACAATAGAAACAATAAGAAAATTTAGTATGGTGGTTAGGAAAAATTTGATATCTATAATCAATAGCTTTCCTACAGTATATGTGAAAAATAACTAGTTAAAACATAAAATGATAGGGAAAACAATACTCTTTAATGTTAAGAAGAAAGTTAACAACAACAAAAAAGAAAATGAACTCCTACTGGGAGGCATAAAAGAAGTCTTAAATCCATTTAAACACACAATTTGTACATGGCTAAAAAGATCTAATATTGTGCAGATGCCAGTTCTCTCCAACTTTCTCTGTAAATGCATTCCAGTCCTAATCAAAACACCAATGAGATTTTTGAGAGAGAGAGAAATGATGAGCTCTTTTAAAATTCATAGAGAAAAATCAAAGCACAAAAAAGCCAGAGAAATTGCCAAAAAATAAACTACCACATGGTAGCCCTAGCAGATCTTAATATCCACTTGAAAACTGCAAAAACTAGAATAGTTGAGTATCGACCCAGAAATAGGCAGTGAAATCAGGGAGAGACATATTAAAAAGCCAAACATAAACCAAATACATCTGGCATCTCAAATCCATAAGGAAAAGATCGAAGATTAGACATTTGGAATTCTTACCTTTTTTCACCAAATTCATTTCCAAGTAAATCAAATATTTAAATGAAAAAAATGAAAGGATTAAACTATCAGAAGAAAAAAATCGACAGGATTTTTATCTTTAATATTATCTTGAAGTAGACAAGTACTTCTTAGCAAAACACAAAACCTAGAAGCAAAAGCAGCAAGTTTGATCAATGTAAGCACATATTTTATAACATAAAATTTGTGATATTGTATTATAAACAATAGAAAGGAACAAACAATCTGAGGAAAACACATTTAATAAAGAAACATTTTTGTAATGAGGGTGGTAAAGTGCTATACAAATCATTAGGAAAAAGAAGATAATACTTTAGAAAAATGAACATTGACTACAAATAGAAAAGTAAATAAATGGCAAATAAAATCTAAGACTCAACTTAATGTCTAATTAAAGATATGCAAATTGAAACAGTATTATCAAAGCAATTGTTACCTATAGGCACTCTCAAATGGGCAAACTGATAGGATTATAAGGATTATAAAAATGGGATTATTCTCTAATGAAATTAACTCATCAGTTCCACTTCAAGGAATTTATTCTACAGATAAAGTTCACAAAGACATACCCTGTATGGATGTTCACAGTAGCATTGTTTAAAATAGCAAAAAATCTAGGAAAAGCCTGAAAGCTGACTGCATTATGGTAATGTGTACATTCTCTTCTATAATGATGTTAGAAAGGGCAGAAGCTGTATGAATTGGAATTCAAAGATCTTCAGGATATGATGTTGAATAAAAACTCAAGTTTCAAATCATATTATGGTTATTTTATTATGCTTTTTTATTTCTCCATAAAGACCAAAAAGAATCTGTGTGTGGTGTGTGTGTGCGTGCCTATATGTAAGAAAATAAAATTTCTAGGAATTGTTTACACAAGAAGCAAAACAAGGAATAGTGATAAAATTCACAGAGTGAGACTGTACACCTCAAGACAAGGGTCTATATTTGTTGTTTTTCTTTTGGTTCAGGTTAACTTTTTAACCATGTTTACATATTACTTTTACAATATAAATTAGTAATGAAGCAATTCTAAAACTAGAAGACTTAGAACAAGAAAAGATAGATTTCTCAAAACCTTGAAAAAATAATCTTAGGGATGTCATTTCTTTAATTAAAAGCATACTTTTGTTCCTAACCTTTTAGCGTTTCCTGTTCAGGGCTGATTCTTATTTTTCAATGTCTTTCTTTATCTGTCTGTACCTTGAAGTGGACATTCTGCATGCTTCCTTCTAGGAACCCTGCAATAGATTATATTCCATTTCCTGATCCTCTCATGATAGAGCCCCTGTCCACAGAAGGCAGACAGCAAGGCAAGAAGGCCTCAGCCAGGACACTCCACTGCGGAATATCCTCTCCATGCCTCTGGGAGCTTATCAGTATTTCCAGATATGAACTGTTTCTGGGAAATGTCTGATCTCACCTTACCATTTCTGCCTTCAGTTTATTGACATTAACCTACAACTGATGTTGGGTCACCTAAAACTCAGACAAGTATGTGCTGAGGTGGAGGCGGTGGTGGGGGTTGGGGGACGCTTTAATGAATTCATCCAACAACTCTGCAATTAGAAAATGTAGAAAAGCTAAATAATTTACTCTGACATATATATATACATTTTGTCTTGTATGGCTTACTATTGTTTTTATCTTGAATTCATATTCTTGTCTTTTCAAAATTGAGCATGGAAGGTTTTAATTCAGGCTGGGCCACAGGTAGAAGAGGTTGTTATCTACGAAGACCACTTGGTCATGGGTGTTTCTGTTTGTTATAAAGTCTTTTTAAAAAAGACCACTCCAAATGTCTATTTTCATGTTTACTCTTCTGAAAGTGATGTTCCAGCTTCTTCCACAGCAATCTACCCTGTTTTATCTGCTGGGTCCCTACCTGTGGTCATGAACCTACAAATGGCCCAGGGCTCGTTTATCCAATATTCACAGTCATTAATTAGGTCCAAGTAACAGCACTTTGACAGGCACTGGAGGTCAAATAAAGCCCACTCTCCAGAAAATAAAATCATCAATGATTTTGTGACCATCTATGAGTACAATTATTTTTTTCCCAGATAAAGCAATCAAGTTTTTACACACCTTTATTAGAATGAAGGCAAACGTAAACATGGCTTAGTTTGGAATATGAGCAGACGATTTTGTTTTAATTTCATTATCAAAATTAAGGGAGCTGGCTTCTCTCTCCAGTGTTATCCCTATCGATCCCAAAAGGATTTTGCAGTTGCCAAAAAGTGCAATTCCCCTGCAACGAGCTATTCGAAAGCAGCTGTGAAGCTGACTTTTCTCCTCTTCACAACTACTGCAAGGACTTTATTGTTTTCCCCATTTAGTGAAAAAAAAAAAAAGGAACTAGAGTAGGAAAGATCAGACACTCTAAATTTTAGCATAAATGTCAAGGTGAAAAGAATGGCAAACCCTAAAAAACCCTCTAATAAAGCCTGGGAAGGCTCCTATTTTATTTCAATGACAACCCGTACTTCCAACCCAAGTTCCAAACCATAAATGGTGGATGTCATCTTAAAGACACATTCGCTTAAACACATTGCCAGAGTATAAACCGTTCAAAACATTTAATTGAGCCTCTGAACTTGAACAGCATTTCTAAAGCCCCAGGTTAAGCTCAGCATACGGTGTTGCCCTGCCAAGGACAGACACACAGTAAAAGGCATTTTTAATAGATTTTTTATTCCTTTTTTATTATTATTATTTCAGAGACTCCAGGAAGAACAAGAAATCAAGTGATGTGCAAGAGAGAAGAAAAAGAAAGAGTCGAAGAGATGCAATTAGGAATGCACCCTCTGTGTCTTCCCATTGAAAAGTGATGAATTCAGTTTATACTTCCTGAAATCTACACGTTTGACACCCCATAGTCAAAATGGGTGCTTCTCTGACTTGTAGGGTTTCCTTCAGATATTTGAAGTTGTGCTAACATGACAGCAAAGTGAAATACAAGAACATATGCTGGGCATAGGCAGTGCCCAGGACTTTGAGTGGCACATGGTAATTAAGGGAATATTTCTCATGTTTGCTGAGAACTGAACAACCCTGTATTTGATTGCATTATTTTATATTTGTAATTAAAAATATACACATATGCACCTATAATGCTGTATATTATACAATAAATAAGGAATCGAGTAATGACTATAAGTGCTAATAAATCGAGGAGAAAATACACCTTATATCCGTGAGATTTCAAATCATAAGGAAACAAAAAACAATTTAAAAAATGTATTTATTCTGTCACCCTACTCATATCCCCCAGAAGAAGCCACTTTTCATAGTTTCAGTTTTTTCGCTATTCTGGAAGTTACCACTGTAACTTTAAATAATGTTAAAGTCTTATTTCTAGATCTACCCATTTTATATAATAAGTGTTTGCTGACTTCACTTTATTATAAAATTAGGAATTGAGCTTATTTTCATTACCTCTACTTTCCCTTCCTTTCTATCTCCCACTGGCTATTCTAGAGGCTATGTTTATACCTTTAATAAGGTAATCTAAATCCTGAATGCTTAACTTTAAATAATATGTATTGAACTCTATTGCTGATAAAAATATGAGAAAATTCAAGTGGAATCACTTTTTTCCATTTATCTCTGTCCCCACCTCCTGAATTTGGTTAAATTATTTTGTACGTGTTGTCAATATTTTCAATAATTATATTCTTTCCTGTAACTCTAATTGCCTTTCATGATTTATTTATATTTTGCGAGCTTTATTGTGCATATATAATAACTTTAGAAAGTTGTTAAAATATACTGAAACCCATTTGCTGCTAGCCATATTAGACTACTTGGTACCAAACTAGCCCTGCAGCAGCCATAAGCAACCATAATGCTGAAGAGAATATTGAGACAGTTGTTTTCGGGTATTCAGCAACAGGCAGCATCCGACTAGGATCTCTTGGAGAAGGGAAACCCATGAAGTGATCTACACAATTGCCCTGGCTTCCTGCCAAAGGACAATTGCCCAGCTGTGAGGTAGA
The DNA here is from genome assembly GCF_000001405.40 of Homo sapiens. Lineage (NCBI taxonomy): Eukaryota > Metazoa > Chordata > Mammalia > Primates > Hominidae > Homo > Homo sapiens. Next base: position 128,597,078 of record NC_000010.11, on the reverse strand, counting down.
GCACACCAATTCCAATGAGCTTAGGGGACAAACATCCAAGTTCAGGGCAACTAAAGTGTCTCAAATCTGTGGGTCAGGGAATGGCACCAGATAAGAGGAAGATGTGCAAAAAGGAAGCCCCAGAATCCATGTATGGGATCGCTGTAAGTCTGTGGCTAACGGCTGGGCTGTGTATTTGCAAGATGAGACTACATGAGGCCTACAGGTAGCAAACAAAATAGGATTAATGTAGTGCAGAGACATTGAGGTCAAGCAATAATGGTGGAACACCTGTCCTAGAACACTGAAGTTTTTGCCTTGCCATAGTGGAGGGATCTGAGGAAAATATCTTTAACACTGTGGGCATACAACTGAGACACCACAAAGGCCGCACCTTATGAGTAAAGACTTCATCCCAGAGTAAGAGTTATTCTAGATCATCCTAACCAAGTATAGAGCCAAACTCAGGTACTACCTGCAGGGAGACAGTGTTATGATATTGAATTCCAACAGGCTAGACTGGCTTGGCTTGGGAAGTACCTTAAGTTTTCCACAGTTCTGTACAAAAAAAGCATAAAACCAAGCACAAGTCAATATGATCACAGAATAATTGCACTGCCCACTAGAACAAGAGTCAATTATCTTCAGATATATATAACAGAATCTTGAGTTGCTACAACAGATTATTTACGATGTCCAGTGTTCAATCAAAAATTAGTAAATGTATGAAAAAACAGGAAAATTTAAGTCCAGGCAATAGAAACTAAATTTCAGATGGTCTAAATCTTTATTTTAGGAAACAAAGTCCTTAAGGAAGCAAACATAAATATGTTCAAAGAATCAATGTTTAAAATGGTCAAATAATTTAAAAAAATGGTCCTCATAAATGAACAGATAAAAAATATAAGCAGATCAATGGAAACTATAAAATAGAATCAAATAGAAATTCTAGACCTGAAAAGTAAATAACTGAAATTAAAAATTCATAGGCCAGGACTCACAGCAGATTGGAGATAGCACAGAAAAGAGTCAGAGGATAGAGAGTTACATCACTGGAAACTGACCAATCTGAAGAATGCAAAAGGAGAGCATATCAGAGAAAACTAAACAGGTCCTTGGAAATCTGTGGCACAATATCAGATGATCTTGGAATCCAAGAAAAACAAAAGAGTAAACTTGAGGCAGAAAAATTATTTGAACAACTAATATCTGGAAATATCAGAAACTTGATGAAAAAACATTGATTTACAGATTTAAATAGTTCAAAGAACCTCAAGTATTATAAATAGGGAGATAACTATACCACAACAAATTACAGTCATAATGCTGAAAACTAAAGACAAAGAAAAAAGATCAAAAGTAACTAGAGGTTAAAAGAAAAATATTCTATACAGAAGAACAAGAATAAGATATATCACTGGTTTCTCATAAGAAATAATGGAGGCCAAAAGACAATGGGATAAGATAAAGTACTGAGAGGAAAACACTATGAACCTCTGTCTACATCTTTTGAAAATATCTTTTAAACATGAAAATAAAGTTGTTTTCAGATAACGAAAGCTGAGAAAAGTCACTACCAGTAATCTCTCCTACAGCATATCCTTTATAAAGGTCAAAATAAACCAGATGGAAACTTGGATCTACAGGAAGGAAGCAAGAGAAGCAAAAGTGGCAAATAGGTGGGTTAATGTTTTTAAATTGTGCTTTCTTGAGTATCGTAATTTACTTAAAAGCATTTATAGCCAAATAAAATTGTAAGATGGGGTTTATAATGTATGTATAAGTAAAAGATAACGATAGAAATTTTACAAAGTAAGGCAGTAGAATAGAATTTTACTATTGTGTGGCTATTACATTTTTAAAATGTTAAGTACAAGAGTAAAGTGGGAAGTGTCAAGTGTTTAATGGAAAGAAAGAAGTGTAAAGAAAAATGTAAAATATTAGATGTTAAGGGTAAAATGTGATGGAATAATGTACAATACATAGGCTCTAAATAGACTCTGATAATTGAGCATGTGTATTGTTAGCAAAAATAAAAAAATAATAAAAGAAGTATAGCTAAGGCAATAAAGAAAATAAAATAGAATAAAAATAGTTGATTAACACAAAAGAAGGCAGAAAGGAGCAGGAGAACAAAAAAATACATAAAAGAAAGCAAGATGGTTGACTTAAACCCAACCACATTAGTAATCATAATAAAACTAAATGAGCTAAATACTCTTAATTAAAAGGCAGAGGTTGTCCATCTGAGTGGATAAAAAAGAATGACCCAATTATATAGTCTTTAGAGGAGATCTATTAGGTTGGTGCAAAAGAAACTGCAGTTTTTGCATTGTTGAAATTTGCCATTTGATATTGGAATACAATCTTAAATAAATGCGGTCACATGATACATCATTTCCATGCACATTTCTCACTTTATGTTTTGCTAATGACTTATTACTTGCTGCTTAATTTACATTTATTTTAGACTATGAAAGTGATGTTAGATAAAAAGCAAATTTAAGCAATTTTCTTATTCCAGTTCAAAATGGGTCGCAAAGTAGCAGAGATAACTCACAACAACAACAACGCATTTGGCCCAGCAACTCTTAATGAAGGTACAGTGCACTGGTGGTTCAAGAAGTTTTGCTAAGGCAACAAGAGCCTTGAAAATGAGAAGCGTAATGGCCAGCCATCAGAAGTTGACAACAACCGAGAGCAATCATTGAAGCTGATCCTTTTACAACTACATGAGAAGTTGCCCAAGAACTCAACATCAACCATTCTATGGTCACTTGGCATTTAAAGCAAATTGGAAACATAAAAAAGCTCCATAAGTGGGTGCCTCATGAGCTGAGTAAAAATTTTTAAAAAATCATTTTGAAGTGTTGTCTTTTCTTATTCTACACATAACAATGAACCATTTCTCAATTGATTTGTGACGTGCAATGAAAAGTGGATTTTATAGGACGACCAGCGATGACCAGCTCAGTGGTTGGACCAAGAAGAAGCTCAAAAGTACTTCTCAAAGCCAAACTTGCACCAAAAAGGTCATGGTCACTGTTTGGTGGTCTGCTGCCTGTCTGATCCACTACAGCTTTCTGAATCCCAGTGAAACCACTACACCTGACAAGTATGCTCAGCAAATTGATGAGATGCATCAAAAACTGCAATGCCTGCAGCCAGCATTAGTTAACATAAACGGCCCATTTCTTCTCCACGACAACGCCCGACTGCACATCAATGCAACCAACCCTTCAAAAGTTGAACGAATTGGGCTACAGAGTATTGCATCCTCCTCCATATTCACCTGCCCTCTCACCAACTGACTACCACTTCGTCAAGCATCTCAGCAACTTTTTGGAGGGAAAAACGCTTCCACAACCAGCAGCATGCAGAAAATGCTTTCCAAGAGTTCATCAAATTCCGGAGCATGGATTTGTATGCTACAGGAATAAACAAACTTATTTCTCATTGGCAAAAATGTGTTGATTGTAATGGTTTCTATTTTGATTAATAAAGTTGTGTTTCAGCTTAGTTAAAATGATTTAAAATTCATGGTCTGAAATCGCAATTACTTTTGCACCAACCATTTATATTTTCAATATAAAGATATGGTCTTATAAAGAAAGGAAAGAGGTATTCTGTGTTAAAAGTAAGCATAAGGCAGCTGGTGTGACCGTGTTAAAATCAAAGTATATTTCAAGGCAAAGAGTACCACAAGGAATAAAGAAGGACGTTACACGATGAAAAAAAATGCCCCATCCTTTATCTGGAAGACACAAAAATCCCAAATAGGTTACACCTAATGACAAACTATCCAAATTCATTAGTAAAACTGACAGAACTAAAAGGAAAAACAGGCAAATGCCACTCATAGCCAGAGATTATATGTTACTACATCTCTATTATTCAAAGAAAATGAAGCACTAAAGACATAAATTATCTTTAACCACTTTTTATTTTTAAGGGGTCATCTTACTTATTTTCTCAAATACCAACTTCTAGTTCATTTTGCTGGAGTACTTTTTCAAGAAATGTCTTCAGATGGGACTATGGAATTAGGATGAAGGGGAACTTGATTCATGGACTCAGTCAGCAAATTATTTCATAATATTCATGTCTGGGCACATAAGATACTAATTCATATCATCACATCACTTGAAGGAGCTATTGTTTCAGCAGGTTGATGAAATTAAAATCTAAATTTGCTTATTAACAACGTTGTTTTTGATGTGTAATTTTTCTCTAAGCCTTGTTTGTTTTCATCTGGAAGTATCTGAAAAGAGTCAGGTGACACATTTAAGTGGTGAAGGCAGTACTCTGAATTATTTCCCATAACATAATGACTGATCATTTCTTGAAGTAGCTTAAATAGTGACTTTCTCAAGTATTTGCTCCTCCCACAATCAGAACCCAGCAGTTGAGATCTTCTGTAAGGTTCTATTCTCTGAAATACGAATGGTCATATATATTAAAATATGGTCTCTCACTTTCCAAATTCACATTTAATTCCTTACCTTCCAGTGTTTCCTAGGTTGTTTTAACTGATGAACTGGTCTCTAGAATGTGAGCAACTTTATTTATTACTATATCCTGTGCAATGAAAGATTCAACACAGGTGACCCAGACATTTTCATCTGCATAGCTTCAGCCATCTCTAAATCTTTCAGCACAACATACTGTTTCAACAGTGGAAATCACAGAGATCATTCTTTTCCCCCTCACCAAAGACTTCGTATTTTATGGTGGCTTTTATATGACCTTTACATCTATTTTTTAATTCTCTTCAAACTTCCTGGGATGTATTTGTAGATAGAACTATATAAAGAACTCTAAAAATGATTCTTCAACTTTCTTCCATCAACATTTAAACACTTCTTGGTTAGTTTATGTTATTTTATGGTATCAATTTTATCATACTTTGTCATAAAATCCCCTTGGTTGCCTGCATTTAAAGATGCAAAACAAATATAATGGAGGCTGACTTCCTAAGGAACGTAAAAGGCAAAACAATATTTGAATCATGCTAGGAAGAGACACACAGAGAAAGGTGCTGATTAAATTCACTCTTGGCTGAAAATTTCTAAGCATTATATTAATGACCTTGAAGATTGTCCAGCAGAAATATCTTGTGGGTATGAATTTCTTCAAAGGTTGAAATATAGGTTAGAACTCTCCGGAGGCTCCTGTGATATCAAATAAAAAGCTTAATCAATTTGTAGAAGCAAAAAGGTGGACATGCTTTAGAGCACCAGAAATTGATACTCTGAAATCTACAATTATTAGAACTGAAAGTAACTAACTTGTAGTCTGATAAGATTTCTTTCTACTAGTGTCTCTCTTGCTTGAGCAGACATGAAAGCAAAAACAAATTTCAGTGGATATGAAATCAACCAGACTTTGTAAATGTGTCAGAATTTGCATCTTATAAAGATGCTATCTTATCTGACCAAAGGTTAAGTCCTTTATCCTGATGAACACATTGACACAGAGATTCTTTCCTTCATCACCCACCATTAACTCTCTCAGTGTGACCTTAAAGCTTAAACCTAAGCAGAGTTTAGCCGGTGTTGGGTCCACATCCTGGCAACCTATCAACCTAAGGCCAGGCAACAGGTAAATGTCCATGCATCTGTCTGTATAAAATATAAGTACATCAGAACAGATGGAATTAACTGGATATTTTCAGGCATAGAAAGGAAGCTTCCCAAATTAAAGAAATACCTGCATATGTTTATATATTCCTCATTTTCACTGTAGCATAAAAGGGAATCACCAGCATACATCCGCCATGACCTCGGCCTCCTCTAGCTACCAGACAAGTAATGAAGGCATTTGCTGTATTTGTCTCCTTGGAACTCAATGACAAGGCTAATAAGAAAGCAGAAAACCGTTCCTGATGGACAGGAGAGAGGAAAGCAGATCAATGGACTCCCGATGATCTTGAAAGTTTAGAAAATCACTTGAGAATTTTCTACCCTGTCTCGTGATGACAAGCTAGGCTTTGTCCCTCCCAGGTTAAGCTCCAAGTTGAAATACTAGATTTGAGCTGATTTTAAATGCTTAACTGAAATGTGGTGTCAGTTTGCTTCCTTTTGTCCTCTCCAAAGCATTGTGAACAAGTTCTGACTGCCCAGACTCATGCTGATTTATTTCTAAGTGAGTATAGCCTAGGAGACTCCAGCAGATCTCTGATGAGACAGGGATTCCAGCGGTGGGGTTTAGAGATGTGGCCCATCCTCTGGAGGGGAAGTCATACTCATTACATTATCACTGTGCTCAAAAAAAGTCTCCCAGTAACGCTACATGGTCAAGCCTGAGGTGTGGCAAGACCATCCTTCAAGGAGACTGTCAGTCACACCCTCCTCCTACTGGAAAATGCCATGGCTGCCATGACCCCACCTGAAGTCACAGCATCCCTTTGGTATCAGCTCAGGTAAGCGGCTCAACGAACAGGAATTAGTATGAAGTAGGACATTCCCTTTTTTCTAATATTAGGGCATTAAAAAGTTTCAAGTCATCAACTACTAGTTGCCAAAAGGAAAACATCTAAACCCTACCTAAATATTTTGATGTCTTTACTCAGCCATTGGTATCCACTATCCTTTATATAATATATACCAATTATATCTGCTGGTTTTCATGTTTTTATGATTTTTAAAATTTTTAACATATTTTAAATTGTCTTAATAACTCTTATGCCCTGAGCTGGAATACCAAATGCACAGTTTGAAAAATATGAATAATCTGAGTTTGAAGAAAAATAGTTCAAATGGCTCCCTTGAAAGTTGCCAATTATACAAAGAATCTAAGCAGTAATAATGAGGATAAAATTTTTACTAAATTTTTCTTGATTAACAATTTAAGAAACTAATTTCTTTTAACTTATCACCTAAGAGAGCATGTCTTAGTTTTTGGAGATTAAAGCTATATGAAATATGGAATTTAGGCCAGGCTGCAGTGGCTTACACCTGTAATCCCAGGGCTTTGGGAGGCCAAGACAGGAGGATCACTTGAGGCCAGAAGTTTGAGACCAGCCTGGGCAACACAGTGAGATTTTGTCTCTACAAAAAATAAAAATACATAATTAGGCAAGTGTAGTGGCACAAGCCTGTAGTCCCAGTTACTCAGGAAGCTGAGGTGAGAGGATTGCTCGAACCTAGGAGTTCAAGGTTACAGTGAGCTATGATGGTACCACTGCACTCTAGCCTAGGCAACAGAGCAAGATCCTGTCTCTAAAAAAAAAAAAGAAAAGAAATATATAATATTATTTAGTCAAGACATATATGTATTACCAAGACATATATTTGTTGACTCTGTTTTATATAATACAAAGATTCAAGAAATGTATTATAGAAATGCGATCATATTGTTTGGATGAGGACATATTTGAGAAAAAATCAAGTGGTAAAGAATGTCGTTTGCTCCAGTGAAGCAAAGCTCCAGTTGGCTCACCCACCATCCCTCTGTGGAAGTGGAAATAGTCACTGTGTGAAGATGCTTTCATTCCTGGTGGTTTTCCGAACCATTCTTTCTTTTCAATTCAACTGGTGGCCAACTGGCCAATAGGATGCTGTATTAATAGAAACTGGTGTTTTCAAGTTTTGGTTATGCATTTATGCTGTAGATTCAGAAAGAGCTGACTGGAATTTGCTTTGCTCCCTCGATACTCCGGGAAACGAGACAGGTTTTGTGTTCTGCACACGGTCCTCAAACACCGTGGTGAAGGAACTTTGTAGAATACAATAAAGATGAATTCTGGCCAGGCGTGGTGGCTCATGCCTGTAATTCCAGCACTTTGGGAGGCTGAGGTGGGCAGATCACCTGAAGTCAGGAGTTCGAGACCAGCCCGGCCAACATGACAAAACCCCATCTCTACTAAAAATACAAAAATTAGCCAGGCATGGTGGCTGGTGCCTGTAATCCCTGCTACTCAGGAGGCTGAGATGGAAGAATCACTTGAACCAGGAAGACGGAAGTTGCAGTGAGCCGAGATTGCACCATTGCACTCCAGCCTGGGCAACAAGAGTGAAAAGAAAAAAATTGAACAATAAAGATGAATTCACTAGAAACACTAAAAAGACATAAAATATATAAAATACGCTTTAATTTTTAAATTCCACAGATATAAAATTACTCAGTCAAATATGCATAAAGTTTCCAAAATGCTGCTTTTCAGCCTGCACTCGCCTCTCTGTGAAGCAGAGGCAGGCATTTCACAAGGGGCCCCCATGCCCCCGCCCCTGTTCTTGGACCCTGGTCTGGAGGGCTGTCCCCCCTTCAGCCAAGGTGGCACCCTATCTTTATTCTGTATTTCAGGACAACACAGAAGATGACCTTCATCCTGGCTTTTATTTGTAAGGCTAAAGCCATTAGGGGAATAACCAAAGTCAGGCAACCTTAGAGAGAAAGAAAGGATGAATAAGACAGGCCCCACCCTAAATGTCTTTTTGAGGACTGCAAAGAGGAGAAGTGTCTGGAATATTTCACAGATGTTGGAGATAAGAGATAGTCTCTTTCATCTGCCAGAGAGCCAAAAAGCCCAGAAAGAGGCAAATGAAAAGGATGGGGGATGGGGGTAGGAGAAAGAAGTGCTCTGCATATCAGAAAGACTTCACAAATACCCACTCACAGCCCAGGAGATGGGAAAAGCCCCAATTTCAAGAGTATGTGGGCACCCAAAAGGACAAGCAATGGTGAGGACATAAGACTGACCGGCTGCATGGAGGCTTCTCTTGGTGGAAGGGATGACCAAAATGTGACCAGGTGATCCGTCATAGTCCATGGGTGAGATTTAGACAGGATTGACTATTTAGATTTAGAAAATCATTAACATGATAATATTTGCCCTGCAAGTTTTAGAACATTTCTTACTCACACGTTCATATTGAACCACCAGAGAGAATCCATTTCCATTTGCTATACCCTCTCCAAGAATTTAGAGAATCCAAATGAAGATGGCTATCTACATCTCTCTTACATTCTACTGTTTAAAGAATATCTGCCTGGTGACTGAACCGATTCCATGCATTTAATGTTCAGATGTTCAAAGGAATAGAAAAATGAGAGAAAGTCTGCCCAAGATAGAAAATAGGAAGGGGTGTCATTTAAACACTACCGACTTTGATGTGGAATGTATGTGAGGTGTGGTTCAGGCACTTGGGGAGTGGGTAGAGGGTGCCACTCATCCATCCAGCCTGAGCTTCCCACTATGGTCTGGGCTAGCTCGGGGCCCAGGGCCCAGGAAACTTGAGATAAAAGAGCAGCCAGGCTGCCACACAGTTCCTGGAGGTGACCGCAGGATGGTGCAGTCCACAGAAGCAGGATCTTAGAGGCCCTAACCCCAGTGTGGAACAGGGCCTCCATGCCCCTAATCAGAGAAGCTGTGCCTGTTAACTGAATGCATTGTCATTTTCTTTATTTCTTTATTTTTTTATTTTTTCATCTTTAAAAATTTATTTCAAAGTATTTCAGGGCATCTCTGAAGAAACTTTCCTGAATAATTCTTTTTTTTTTTTATTTTTTTATTATTATACTTTAAGTTTTAAGGTACATGTGCACATTGTGCAGATTAGTTACATACATATACATGTGCCATGCTGGTGTGCTGCACCCACTAACTCGTCATCTAGCATTAGGTATATCTCCCAATGCTATCCCTCCCCCCTCCCCCCACCCCACAACAGTCCCCAGAGTGTGATGTTCCCCTTCCTGTGTCCATGTGATCTCGTTGTTCAATTCCCACCTATGAGTGAGAATATACGGTGTTTGGTTTTTTGTTCTTGCGATAGTTTACTGAGAATGATGACTTCCAATTTCATCCATGTCCCTACAAAGGACATGAACTCATCATTTTTTATGGCTGCATAGTATTCCATGGTGTATATGTGCCACATTTTCTTAATCCAGTCTATCATTGTTGGACATTTGGGTTGGTTCCAAGTCTTTGCTATTGTGAATAATGCCGCAATAAACATACGTGTGCATGTGTCTTTATAGCAGCATGATTTATAGTCCTTTGGGTACATACCCAGTAATGGGATGGCTGGGTCAAATGGTATTTCCAGTTCTAGATCCCTGAGGAATCGCCACACTGACTTCCACAATGGTTGAACTAGTTTACAGTCCCACAAACAGTGTAAAAGTGTTCCAATTTCTCCACATCCTCTCCAGCACCTGTTGTTTCCTGACTTTTTAATGATTGCCATTCTAACTGGTGTGAGACGGTATCTCATTGTGGTTTGGATTTGCATTTCTCTGATGGCCAGTGATGGTGAGCATTTTTTCATGTGTTTTTTGGCTGCATAAATGTCTTCTTTTGGGAAGTGTCTGTTCATGTCCTTCGCCCACTTTTTGATGGGGTTGTTTTTTTCTTGTAAATTTGTTTGAGTTCATTGTAGATTCTGCATATTAGCCCTTTGTCAGATGAGTAGGTTGCGAAAATTTTCTCCCATTTTGTAGGTTGCCTGTTCACTCTGATGGTAGTTTCTTTTGCTGTGCTTTCTGATAAAACAAAAGGGGGTCTTGGGAATGGAAGAGGGGAGGGGAATAATTCTGAAATGAGAGCTTTCAGTTGCTCAACGATTTGGTTCTTCAATCTGGCAAGGCTGAACCACAATAAATCAAAGAAATTCTTATTATTTATTGGAACCTAGAATATTTTCATAGGGTCCATTACTTCCAGAATAGTCCATGTCACTGGGTATATGAAAAGATTTCTTATTTCAAAAAAATAGACTAACCTGAAAAATCAGAGTAAGTGTTCACCTAGGAAACTCAAGGGATAGCAGAGAAGTTTAGGGAGTATGTTAGTTTTCTGTTGCTGTGTAACAGTACCATGAACTCAAGAGCTTCAAACAACACACGCTTCATCACTTACCTTTTCTGTGGGTCATGGTCTGAGCGTGGCTTTCCTAGGTCCTCTGCTCAGCGTCTCACAAGGCAGCAGGCAGAGCACTGTCAAGGATGTGTTTTCATCCAGAGACTCAATCAGGGGAGAATCCACTTCCAAGCTCACTCATGTGTGGGCAGAAACAATTTCTTTGTGGTTGAATCGAGGACTTCAGCTCCTTACTGGCTGCTGGTCCAAGGCCACCCTCAGGTCCCAGAGGCCACCCACACTGCCCTAGTGTGTAGCCCTCCCATAGGATGTTCACACATAGCTGTCTGCCTCTGCAGAACCAGCAATGAGAATCTCTCTAGTGCATGCTAACAAAGCCAGGATGCACACATGCATGTGTGTGCACAAACACACACACACATGCAGGATTGGAGAAATGCTGTCTCCTTACCTTTACCAAATAGTGTAACTGAATCACGGACATGACACCCCAACACCTTTGCCATACTCTATGGGATAAAAGCAAGATAGGGTTCCTGTCCTCACACAAGGGGAGGGGATTATACAGGCAGGGACAGGGGACCACTCTAGGGTCTGTCCACCACAGAGGGTGTCTGCGTTCCCCTCTCAATGCTACAAAAGACATTCATCTATGCAAAGGGAATTTAAAGGATGGCAACAGAATGTGTGTGTTGTCTTTCAATAAACAAACTAGCAAAGAGTATATTGGAAAATCCATAGACTGGAAATAGTCTATGATTTTTTTCCCCAGATTTTAAAGCTAAAGAGTAAAAAGATAAATGTGATAAAAGGAAGTGAACATGTATGGAAGTAGTTTCAGGAAATTCAACATGTGCACCACAGGAATCCCACAAGCACGCAGAGAAAGAGTATTGGCAAAAGAAGTTTTCTAAGCTAAAGAATTTGTCTTCCCCTTAAAGGTAAGTTTATATGGGGAATGAACTCCCCAGCTGCCAAATTATAATAATTATAATAATAATACATATTTCACATAGACATACTAGTGTGAAAATGTTAAATATTCCTGTCATCTAGACTGGGAGAACAAAAGTAAATTACTTATACTACTATTACTAATAATAGTAAATCAATTTGCCCTCAAATATACTAAATGCTGAGACATAATGGAGCATCATCTACAAAGTTTTGAGGGAAATTATATTGGCACCAAGCTAACATTTTTGTTATTTAAAATTATACCAACCTATATTCATTCTAAAGGAAAATCACTCAAAGATGACCTTGAATAAGCTGAAAAGGGGATTAATCATGTAAAATACGGATGGTAGGGAACTACAAAAATTCAAGAGTTAATCTCTAAGTAGTTTTAACATGATAATGGAACTGATTACAACTTCCAAAAAACCTTAAAAGTTAAAAAACAAGGCAAGACAATCTAATAATACAATAATAGAAATAATTATCTGAATGCAAAAGTTCAATACTGAAAAGTGGGTAGAAAAAAGGAAAAAAGGAAAGTGTGGTAATTTGTTTTTATTTTATGAGTTAAAAGAGAAGTATCATTATCACTGTTAACAAAGTTGTAAAATAACTGAGAGTCAATAATACATTCGTAAAACCCGTGCTAACTATGAACTTGCATGAAAGACCCAGAATACTAAAGAAGCCAGTTCTCTTCCTCCAAATTCATCTTCAAATTCAAGATAATTACAACAAAATTTCCAACATAAATTTTTATATGTGATAAAATAATCCTAGAGTTTATTTTTAAAAATAATCAAATTAGAATAAAAAGCAGGAATGATGGAGGGCTTGCCTAAACAAAATCGGGACAAATTAAACAACAGCGTTTTACTGCTACAGGGATAGGCAGATTCATAAAACAGAGTAGGACATCTTGAAACAGATCCAAGAATATCATAGTGGTTTTAATCCAGATGAAACAAATGTATTGAGGCAAATAACTACTTATTTTGAAAAAAAAAAAAGTTAGGTCCATGCCTTTAATAAGTTCCAGAGGGATCCAAATTTATCATAAAAGCATGAAATAGAAGGAAATACATTATAAAAATATCTGCAAAAATCTGAGGATGGGAGACCTATCTGAAGATGACAACAAAAGCAAAACTATAAAGGCAAAGACAGACACATTTAACTGCATAAAGACATTACACTCCTGGAGGTCAAAAATAATATAGAAAAACAAAAATGCAAATGATAAATAAGAAAATTTAGATGTTAAAATGTAAAAGCAGAGAGCTTTACAAATTGGTAAGAAACAGAAGCCTCAATGGAGACATGGGGAAGGAATACAAACAGGGCATTCACCAAGATGAACCACAGATCGTTAATACACCCGTAATATTCAAACATGCAAATTTAAACAGATTACAACACTCATCACTGTCATCTATTAGACTGACAAATGTTCAAGATTGTTGGTTGGGTGGTTGGACGGATGGTTAGTTGTTAGGTAGATAGGCAGACAATAGAGTAGTAGATAGGTAGATTGAGAGATATATAGAAGATAAGTAGATAGATGATGGATACATAGATGAGTGAATTGTAAATAGGTAGGTAGGTAGAAGATAGATAGATAGATAGATAGATAGAAGATACATGCATAAACAGATTGTGGATTGTAGATAGGTAGATAGAAGGTAGACAGATGATAGATAGATAGATAGACAGACAGACAGACAGAGACAGACAGACAGACAGACAGACAGACAGATAGATAGATAGATAGATAGATAGATAGATAGATAGATATAGATAGGTAATAGATGGATAGATAGATAGTGGAGGTAGATGTTAGATAGATAGATAGATAGATAGATAGATAGATAGATAGATAGATAGATAATACACAGATGAATGGTCTGTAGACAAGTATATAGAAGACAGACCGATAGACAGATAGATAGATAGATGATAGATAGATAGATAGATAGATAGATAGATAGATAGATAGATAGATATAGATAGATAGATAGATAGATAGATAAATGATAGACAGACATGTAGTTCCTGGTAAGGCTAAGAGCACAGGGAAGGAACATTCTTACGTACTGCATTGGCAGGGTAAGTTGACATGACTATCTAGAAGGCATTTTGGCAAGAAAGATCAAATGCAATTTCACTTCTGGCAATGTACCTCAAGCAAATAATCACAGTCATACACACAGGTTCATTTAAAGTGATGTTCCTCAAAGGAATGTGTAAGAACAAAGTGCACTGGTTAAGAAAAAGCCTAGATGATCAACAACATAGGTATTGCTTAAATAATCTTGGCATTTAAAGAGATTCACAATATATTATGAGACAAATGTTACAAGGCAGCTATGGAATAGATCTCATATTTGTAAAATCAAAAAGTATTTTTCATAGAAAAATGCAGTATAAGTTTATTTTGTTTCAGTGAGCACCAAATATTTTCTTCTTAAAATGGTTACAAGTGTCCAAGCCTTACAATATGTTAAAGAAAATAGCTTTGGGATGTAAAGAAAACATCACTCGGTTTTTCTTTATAACTCAGAGGTGGATTTAAGAAGTTCTTGTCTTCTGTGAATATTGCCTACTTTTGGACTCAACATTCTGAACATTTGGGTGAATTTGCAACTAGCAGGAAGATGGATGTGCTTGGAGAATCCTACCAGAGTGACCTATCCCTGTAATTTATGGGAGCGCTACCTGGACAGGAGTCCAACTCCACTCTGACTTTTCAGCATAAGGCCCAACTATTACAAAGACATTGTGACCAAGAAAATGTACAGTTTGTGAATGTTGCACGAAGGGGTCATGCTTGGCTGATAACACCAACTGGCAGAATGAGTGCAATTTTTAAAATATGAAATACAAATTTTTACCAAAGGAGAAGTAAAACATTATAGCTTGAGGTTCATTAAACCCGGCTCACATTCAGGGATTCCAAAAATACAGCACTGGCTATTTAATATTGCAGCTTGACGAAATTGCTCTGGTTCCAGCCCTGGAGACTGGGGGAGCTGTGCCTGCAGGGTTGTTCCCTTCCCTCCGCTGTGCTTGGGTGGGCTGGGAATGGCTCCTTCCTTCTCTCCCACCTTCAGGAAACAGATGTCAGCAGCCAAGCCTGCACAGGTCCATCCCAGGGAGCACGGGCCGGCTTCCCCTACCTTCTCAGGGAGCTCCAAGCCCACCCACAGGATGGTGCCTGGTGTCCCATCGATGAATGAGTAATTGGGGTGTCCTTGGGCACAGCCTTTGTGACCTTCGGTGTTGGTGTGCCACTTGCTATAGCCCACACTCCCTCTTGGAGACAGGCAGTTAGGGCTGCTCGGCCTAAGGAGTGGGCCTGAACACCGGTCAGGGGCCTGCAGGGGCCTGTGGTACTGTCCGAGCCTTCCCATCCTCAGTAGTAAGCAGCCATCCAGACAGTCCACACCTCACAGGGCGGCTCTGAGGATTCTGTCACAGGGCACACGCACTTGGCCAGGGACAAGGGAATCACAAATGTGGGCCATGATTGTTACAAGCTTCTTTAGGTCCTGAAAGTGGAAGGCTGTGGGGCATAAACGCCCAGTATTCAGGGAGATATCCCTATTTCATTCTTTCTCCCTCAATGTCTTAGAATTTTTTTTTTTGTTGTTTTTTCTTTTTTTTTTTTTTTTGGACAGAGTCTCGCTCTGTCGCCCAGGCTGGGGTGTATGGAGTGTAGTGGTGTGATCTCAGCTCACTGCAACCTCTGCCTCCTAGGTTCAAGTGATTCTCCTGCCTTAACCCCCCGGGCAGTTGGGATTATAGGTATGCACCACCACACCTAGCTAATTTTTGTATTTTTAATAGAGATGGGGGTTTTGCCATGTTGGCCAGGCTGGTCTTGAACTCCTGACCTCAGGTGATCCACCTGCCTCAGCCTCCCAAAGTGCTGGGATTACAGGCGTGAGCCACTGCCCCCGGCCATGTCTTAGAATCTTTTTTGAAGAGGCATGTCTTCCCTTGCTCCATCAGCTGCCAGTTTCTTCTCCTTTCTCTTCCTATAAACCCTTCAGGTCTCTTCCAGCCTCTTTCCCATGGGCCACTTTTCCATGGCCCAAGTGAACCTTAGGCTATTATCCTGGCTCCTGACTTTCCTTCACCTCCACTCTCCTTGACCAGGGCCTCTTGCCCCCAGCTTTCTACAACCCCTCCTCTAGATGCCCCCAAATTACCCATGGGCACTGCTCTCTGAAGTCTCCACCAAGTGCTTTTTGAATGTTTGTCTTTTCTGCTGAATGAATACAGGAAAATAAAGTCCATTTTCAGATTCACTTTTTAAAAAAGACATGTTTTTTCCTCAAGTATGGAGTTTAGCTATAGATATCAATCAAATGCATTGGTCAAATGAACATTATAGTTTTCCTACTCACAACAACATATTCATTATTTTTTATTGATCAACAGAATTCAGGTTTCTATGAGATAGAAAATTATATCACCAATAAAATCAGAATAGCAGCACTTAAAATTAGCCTTGTGAAAAAATAGAAACATGCTGCCAAATAATGAAAATGATTATTACTATTCGGCTCTCCTTTGGGGTGGACGCTGGTAGCCATGAATGGCATCAGCCTTCTTTTCCACTTGCCAGGCTGCAAATGCTTGTATCTCGCTTTGTTTAAAATCAGGCAACTGGCTATGTTTATACCAAGTTTCTTCTATTTTTGAGGGGGGAGTGGAGGAGGTGATGGCAGTTATAATGAAATAAAATTAGCTGTGATGGTACAAGGCAAGGTTTGCAATGAAAGCTTTCTCCACTGATAACAAGTTCCTATTCACCAGAACTGATCTTATAATTCAAACACAGCCTGCTTGTGAAATTTCTACAACGAAGTCCTTAGGAGCTATATCATGTTAAATGCAGGCAGTGAAAACTGGGGAGATGTTGCTAATAACAGTGCCACATTAATTAATTGCTATAAAATTTGCAAAATAAGAAGAACATTGGGAACAAAGCAATATAATATTTACCAGTGCTGAAAATTAGAAATAAATATTCAACATGCCCTTTTTGAGTCATACAAGCAAGCAGTTTTGAATAATAAGGCAGGACAAAGTCTTTTACACAGGAAGAGCTAATGATTTCTGCATTTTGCTGCTGGTGAGGAATTGAAGGATGGCTGATTTGAATCTTCCTTCAATCTCCCATCAATAAAACAGAGACAAGGCAGAGGCGAAAGCTGATCTGGGAGAGTCATGTTTTTATAATTGCTTTTTACCCGCAGGCATTTGAAATCCAGAGGGTCAGAAGTACTTGTGAGAAAGGAGGGAGCCGAGAGGCCCAGTCAAAACCCTGAGACATAAATTAATTTGTTTGTGGGGCTCAGGTCTAATTTGTGGGAAGGGAGTGCTGCTTGGCACTTTCTAATATTATAACCTAATTAAAGATGGATCCATGTAAAATATTTATGCAAACTTTACCAAACCCAAAGATTTTAATCTCATTTGAGAGGTTAGCTGACTTATGGGACTAAAAACAATTCCTAAAACAAGCTTCTGCACCAGGAATCCGGAAGGCAAACTATTTTTAAAAAAATTTTTTTAAGGTGTCACAAAATTTTAAGTGATTTTGGTACCTATTAATCATTTTAATTAGGGAGATCTAATCTCAGGCCAGTGGTTACTGGTTAAGTCCAAATTTCTTTGTTCAAATATACTGTAACTTCCTCTTTTTTTCTTTCCTACTTTACTCTAAGATGGGAAATAGAAGTAAAAATTTGCATTTCTTAGGATTTTGCAATCTGCCACTGATAAGCCTACCTGGGACAGACTCAGCCCCGAGCCTGACTGTGACAGCCTTTAATAAGTTCACAGCAGGGTACGCTGGAAGGAAGCCACACGGCCCGAAGAAAGGAATGAACAAAGCGTAGACGGCCAGAGCCCTCTTGATGTGGGACTGCTCCTAACCTCTGTGTTGCCCGTCATATTGCAAAGGAACATTTCCCTCCAACTCCAGATCAGGCTATTCAGATAAAGCCTTTCCAGGGCCACATTAATTCTCATTATTTTGTCTATTAGGAATAATGAGATCAAACTTAAAGTAAACATCATGACAACACAAATGGGCTTTTCCGTTCCTGTTATTTGCTGAACTCATCCTCACAAAGGCATCATGCTCCTGATTCAGGGCAAGGACTGACTCATCTGATCTTCTTTTTGAGGATGGCACCCACTAACACCTTCATGAGCCAGATCCACAGCAGCCCAGGGCCCACCCTCCCTGCCAGACCAGCTCATAGAGAAGACCCCACGGTGTCTTCCAAAGCTGGCTTCAGAGACCCCTGCGGGACTGCCCTGCCTGCCTGGCCTAGGGGCTGGACAAAGAACTCAGGGTGGGTTGACTGGTTGACAGAGGCCCTGGGATCTTGAGTGGAGTGGCTGGAATCCCAGCAGGTACTTCCCCTAGGACAAAAGGCCCTACAGGCCTGACGCATTTTCACAAAATCAGGGACTTCGTGGGCCAGGACCGCAGCATTCACTCTGGGCACCCTTTTTGTTTTATTTTTAATTTGGTAAAATATACATAATAGATGACATAGATTTTCGTTTTTTAAGTGTACAATCCAGTTTCATTAATTAGAGTCATAATGTTGCGCAGCCATTCCCCTATTTCCAAAAGTTTCTCATTGCCCAAAAGAAAAACTGAAACCTCCTCCGCTCCCCCAGTCCTGAGTGCTCTCCAGTCAAAGATCTGTGTCTGTGAATTCCAGGCACACTCTCCATGCCTCACATTTCTCTTGCAGAATTAGATTGTCAGAGAGAGGGAGGGAGGCAATTGAGAGGGTGCCTTTACCTTGTGAAGGGAGAGGAGGAAAAGAAGGGTGAAGTGTGAGGGATGTCCAAGGCCCAGAAGCTCTTGAGGCTGCTGGACGAAGGGGCTACCCAGGGCCAACATGGGGCAAAGAGATGGAGGAAGCTTTGCAGCCTGAAAACCAAGTTGGGAAGGGTGTGACTAAGAGCCTAAGGCGCTGGAGGAAGAGTCAATGCTAAGATAGTTCCATCTTGCCAGGTCCCTAGAAGTAGAAACTTCCAGGAATGCATGATCCAAGCATCCAGCCTAAGCCAACAAAGCGCAGTCACCTGGCCGGCGAGATGGCAAAGTCTGGACTTGGTGATTTGGTAAGAGGCCATCCCCAACAAGGTCTTTCCGAAGCCAGACTTCCAGCTCGTGGCTGAAGAATGTTTTTGCTGGCTACGTGGCAACAGGTCTGTGCACTGAGTCTTCCCGTCAGTGTCATGGAGATTCAATTTACCTCTGCTTAGGAGACTACAGGTTCTGAAAGCAAATGAGGAACGTCTCCAAATAAAGATGGAATAAATGAATTAATTTCCATTAAGTTCACATTTAGAATCTCTGCAGGCAAGTACCAAAGGCCACTGGGTCTGTGTCCAGCCCAGCACCTGCGTGACCTCTTTCAGTTTTAGAAACACCTGACCCCTTCCTGCTTGGGAAGTGCCACCCACGTAATTAGGTGACAAGTTCCAAGCAAAGTAGACTTCTCTGTTGACCCGGTATCCTAAGGCTGATGTGTGAGAAAACGGCTACAATATGTCTTGTTTTAGAGCTACATCTGACCCATTCTAAGGGTCCCCAATGTTCCATAAAATGCTCGCCTCCTAAGGAAGAACTTAATGAAATTCAGTCGTAAATCACCATATTTAACATTGACATTTGTTTACTCTGCACCTGACTTGAAACTGTTGGTTGACCTTGTCTGACACGTGTTGAGATGGCCTTGGCCCAGGCCACCAGCCAATTGCCCCACCTCTGAAGACCCTACCCCAGGCACCCCAGTCTGATTTGGGAGGCAGGAATGGAGCCTCCTGGTGAACATCTCACCAGATATTATGTCTGACTCTCCCCCAGGACAAATGGGGTGAAACCCAAGGAGCCCGAGCCATATCACTGCTTTCTTGCGCTACTTTATTTTCTCTAAGAGCAACCCAAAGCCAGAAACCTGAGAGAGGCAAATGAGAATACACACTCTAGGCTTTCCCACATATGCTTCTGAAAAGAAAAAAAATGAAACACCCTGTGAGTTTTCACTCTCCTGGGTGGTTTTTCTGAAGACGATCCTTGCATGTAAAAACACAGGGAGATTGCATCAGAAAAGAAGGAATGCTGGAGGCAGTGACGAAGCCATTGGATTTGTTCCTAATTTCGCTCTGGCAGGAGAGCTCCACCTAGCATCTCCTAGGGCTGGATCATGGGGACCGGCAGTCTCCCTGCCAATGGAGGGAAAATCCACCAATCAGCACCCATACATTTCCCTTGTGTCTTGGATAATGCAGTCCTTGAATGACAAAACAAAAACGAACGTCCTGGTTCTAAAAGGAGATATTTTTATTCATCTTTTCAGGCCTACATTTCATTCATATCATAAAGATTATGTTCTGAATCCTGTTGTGAAGGGTTAAAAAAAAAAAAAAAAACAAACAAAAAAAAAAACAGGATGTCCTATAGCCGAGAGGTATTGTGGAAGGAAGAAGGCAGGGTCCGTCTTCCAGAGGAGGGTCCACAGATCACAGTGGCAGATTACAGAGTTGACATCCTCTCAGGTAAAGATGAGGCCATTTGGGGGAGAATTTTTATTTTTCATAATTACAGCAGGCCTTTCATTGAAAATGATCATTGACTCTCTACACTGACAACAGCTGTGTGAATAGACGGAGAAATGTTCGGAGCCTCCCTGAGCTGTAGTTTTCCTCTTTGAGCAGCGGAGATCAACGCCCTCCCCTTTCCAAAACTGCCAAAGTAGCAGCTGATCTGTGAAGGAAAAGGCCCGTTGGCTAATGAATTCGGAAAATGCAGGATTAAAGAAAAGTGTCCAGTCCCTTCCTAGGTCTTTACAGGGCTTTCCCAGGTTCCACGGGCCCCGTGGGTGGCTGAGAGCGAGCAGGGGTAGACGACTGCCACGCAGACTTCCTCAGACCACACCCTGAACTGGATGGAGCCTAGGTGAGAAGACTGCTTCTATGTGTCTAAAATTGGGGTGTCCGCTTGGAAAGATGTCAGAGGGCACTTCTCTGACCAGTGAAGTGGCGCCATTTTTATTGCCAGAAAGTGTTAAACAACCATCTCTCTACTGAGCCCTCTAGTAAATTTGCACTTGGTTTCTATCTGCTCCGAGCCTTCTGCTTCTCACGCTTCCCAGCTATGAAAGATGTGCTTTGGGGCAGAAGCTAAGATGTGATATGGATACTCAAAAATGTAACATCAGCAGCTGATAAAGCTTTCTGTGTTCTTCAGTGTGGCTGGTTAAGAAGAGATTCTGTTGGAAAGGAAGGAGTATTCATGATTCTGGAATAAATTATTCCAAAGCTGTGCTTATACTCAACTTAGTGACTCACCCTTATGCTAACTATGTGAGCAGAGGAGAAGGCATAGTCAAAATGCAGAGAAGAAGCCAAAGGGTGGGGGGAGAAATCAATGGAAAAAATACATAAACAAGAGAGTGGGGTGCCCCAGGAAAAGAACTCTAAGCTGTCTTGAAGAAAAGCTTTTTAAGTTACAAGTCATGTTATTTATACAAACATCATTTCCAAATGAGGAGTCCAATGTAGGTATCAAGGATTTTTTTATTTTTTTTGGTGGCTGTGTCCACTTGGGAGAATATTATCAAGAGCACCATGTCTAAGGTTCTATTTTAAAAATATAAATGTGCAATCCAAATGACACCCTGCTGTTCATTACAAAATAAATCACAGCCAGCTGCTGATTGGTACCCATATCAGGTCTGGCAAAACTTTACTCGAGACCTCGGGAAAAAAAAAAAAAGTTACTTATGCATTGATACAATTCTGTAGATAACGGTCACTTAAAGCCATTTCACGCCAACCTGAAAATTTCACTCTCTAGGAAAGGAGTTAATGAATGCTGGCATGAACATTCGAATTGGATGTAGGATGTATAGATTAATCCTCTAAAAATATAATCAAAACTAAACAGAAACTCCTAGAAGAGAGATGCATATTTCCTGACTATTCTTGACACAAAGAGATTTTGGAAAAATAGAACCTTTCACAAAGCAATTATTAGGCCAGGGCCATAACATTTTACTAACACGAATCCACAAGGTGACCCTGGAGATCGACAATAAAACAAAATTTTATAATGGGCTTAAATAGCCAGAAAGGTTTGGCATCCACGTTGCCTGGCCAAATAGATTGCTTTTTGTTGCTATGTCATCGTTTCAGGGAACTTGCCCTGCAGCATCTCAGCCCAAAACCTCCTTAAAGACCAAGCGGGTCTGAGTCTCCTCATCTAGAATTACATTCTTGATGGAGGAGATAACATGTGTATCTTTTCACGACTTTCTTGGTTTTCTCCTGGCTCCCTCAGGCCCCCTCCCGGTCTGTAAAATGGAGGTAAATTAAATAAATTATGAACTACCCAGGAACTGAAACGCTTTGCCAAATTGCTGTGCCAGCGTTCGGAGCCTGTGCCGTCCCGCCTCCCCGAGGTGGGCTGCCAGCCGCCTCTGTCTCTTACAGTTGCCCTTGCCACTTCAAAATGTGTCTGGAAACGGCTTTGCAGATGGCCTCGTATGTTTTACAGGAAATATTACTTAAACATTGAAAAGGATCATATTTCTCCTGTTAGGAATTACAAATCTGGATTTCATTTTCTTTCTTGCTTTTTTTTTTTCCTCCTCCAAACCCTGGGAAAAAAATGTAACTGTTATATATGACATGCAGGAAGCATTTGGGAATTTTTTTAATACACCCTAGCACTTGCTCATTGGCATGCTTTTCATGTATATTTACACACATGCATGTAAAATATATTTACATTTCATATATAAATACACACATACCCACAATCATGTTATTTCGTTTATAAGTAAACATAATTGCACAGGGGGAAGAAACTCATTTCGAAAATTTAGAGGACTGTTGCTTCTTTTTTTCTTCTTTTTTTTAAATCTTCTATAGCATAAGAAAAAAAATTATCATTCAGCTCACTTGGATAACTAAAACATGAACTGCTTCTCGTTCACTGACTTCCCTTTCTGCGTTTTATGTAGATTCATGAAGACCAGGGGCATTCCTATTGTTGGGAAAATGATTAGCATCAATAAACAAAATAGTAGTGATGATGTAAGTCTGACAGAAGCGGTCCTGCTCCCGGGCTCTTTCCACACTCTTGTGATCTTCAGATGGGAAGATGGTGAAATGAGCATTCCGCACAGAAGATCAGCCCCGCAGTCTTTCTTAAACGCCCACTTCCCAACATTTTAGAAAACACTCCTCCAGAAAGGAGGCCCGCTGAGTTCCAGTTCCGGCAACCGAGCCGCAGGAGCAAGGGAAGGCTGTGTGGCCTCCTGGAGGTGACAGAGGGGCCTCCAGAGGTCCCCAGCACCACCAGCTACTGCGGTAGACTCAGAGGGACCCAGACCAGGCTCCAGTTTGCATTTTAATATTTCTCACATGAACCCAGACTGGAAGAAAATGACCCAGCCAGACAGGGACATTGTCCCCCTTGTCACAGGGTCTGGAGGCTTCTCTAAATGCTGCTACACTCAATACGGCTGGGTCCTCTATGCCCAGCTGTAAATACTGTGCTACAGGAAGCCAGGGTCAATGTCAGATTTTTATTAGACTTGCAGCCATTCCCTGAAACTTCAAGTGCACAGGCTCCAACAATGCAGGCACCACACCGGGCTGAAGTCTGCAGTGTGTTCGCACCGCCTGGCTGCAGGGTTTTTTCCCTCCAGGTGGAAACACAGTAAACACGGCCCCATGCAGCAAGCCAGGGACGTTCTGGGCGTCCTAAGCTCCAGCC
Organism: Homo sapiens; assembly: GCF_000001405.40. Taxonomy (NCBI): domain Eukaryota; kingdom Metazoa; phylum Chordata; class Mammalia; order Primates; family Hominidae; genus Homo; species Homo sapiens. The sequence continues at coordinate 128,573,490 of NC_000010.11, read as the reverse complement.
TCTTCTCCTGAGGGAGTCGGAAGCTCTTCTCTGGCCATAGCAGAGCCCTGCCTGGCCACTGTCCGCACCGCTGCCAGGCTCCACCGCTGCTCACCTCCAAGGCGCAGACGCCTCTCCAGCCATCTGGAACCGCCTCCCTATGTCTCCACCTCATTAATTCCCCATCTCATTTCATACTTCCTCGGAAAATGTCTCTTTTCTCCTCAGTCTCTCGTGCACCCTGGCCTGAAGTATCTGCTTCCCTTAGCAAGACCACCATCCTGGGAGGCCCCAGGGGATCCAAGGCCCCAGATACATGGGAGGCCAGAGCCTAGGAGCTGGCTTCCTAGGAGGGGAGAGCCTGGGCACCCCCGGTGCTGCTGCCCTGCCTGTCCCCTGCTCCCCTGGGCTTATTCGTGCCGAGAAGGGCAGGTAGTAGGAAGTGCGGGCCCCAGCACAGTATGGGCAGGGGCTGCAGCTCAGACCAGGGACTGTACGGGGAGGTAAGCAGCCCTGGGGCATGGGCTCAGCACTGGGGCAGCCCCTCGGAGCCCCTGACTCCATGCCCTGGTGAGAGACAGATGGCAATCCCAGTGACATTGCAGGGAAAGCTCCCCGAGGGCTGAGGCCACTCCAGTGCCAGCCCAGCTCTTTGTCTAGATGCCCTGACAACCGTCAGAAGGACCTGGGGGGCCAGGAAGGATGGGGTGCTGGGGGCAGGTGCAGTCATGGAGGGCCGGGGAAACTCCAGGAACTCAGCCCACTGGCAGGGTCCTTGCCTTGTCCTCCCCTGGCCAGTGGGCCACCTCTGTGGATGCCCATTTCATACCCCTCCCAGAGGGAAGCAGCACAGACGCTGAACTGGAAAGATGCTGTGGGGCCTGGGATATTCACTAGGGTTCTGCACGGGACAGACCAGCACTGTACTCAAACTGCAACGAGCTTTGCAACATCTAGAAGTGAGTCATTATCAGGGTTGAGATATTTGGGACTTCTTAAAATGAATCTAAAAGTATGGCAATGAACCCAAACCCTCAAGCACTCAATACTTTCAACATGCTGTTCGCACACAATAATGATAGATTTAAGGAAATGAGCCACGTCTGCAAAGTAACATGACCTATGCTAATTCAACCAACTCCTGGATAGGCAGCAATTGCAATTACATATATTTGTATATATCGATACATATATTTGGCACGTGCTGGACCCTAAATAGCTATTTCTTGAATGAATGAATAAAAGGACGGATGAATCCGTACCTGTGGCACTGCCAGGCTGGATTTCATGAGATGGTTTCACTGCTATATGTTACTTTTCTTCTTTGCATGACAAAGGCAAAGAGTCATTTGCTCCTTTTTCTTCTTCTGTTTTCTTGAACTTCTCTTTGAAACTTGCTTAGATGCTTTATTATAAGCTCATGACATTTTCATGAGATGAAAGTGGGGCCAGGCCAGGTTTATCCCAGAGTGATGCTCCGTTGGTTTGGGGGTATGGAGGAGTCTGGAAGTGAGGAAGTGCTCCGCTTGGTGGCCAGTGGCAGCCTGCACTTTATCAGCGGCCTCCTTGCTTGAGTGTGAAATTCCCCTCTAAGTGTTTATCTTGGGAAGAGAGAGCTGCAGCCCAGGGCAAGCTGGCCAGGAATGAGCCTTGCCCCAACTTCAGATCCCCTTGCTTTTTTCTGTACCATGACCTAAACTAATGCTGCTTCTGGAACTTAATTGTAAATCCAGAAAAGGGCAGCTGAGAAGGCAGGATGAGAATTACAGCCCAATCAGCAGTCAGGAGGCAGGGAGGGGTGTGGGCATCCTTTTAGGAAAGAGGCTTCTGATCTCAGAGAACCACACCCCTGTCATTAACTGTCCAGCCCCTAAGGGCCATTGCCATACAAATTTAGCGTCAACGCAGAGGATCTTCATAGCTGGAGTAGAATATTTCTATCCTTACAGCAGAATTTCCCCCAAATGGTGAAAACATCCCTGAGTGTTATTAAAAGTGAATACTTCCCAAGATCAGGAGAAAGAATCACCCGCAGCAACACTGACTCCACTAAACTGAACCCCACAGCATTCTCCCCAGAGAAGAGGAGCTTCCTGAGGCCTCTGAGTCTTTTCCTGGTAGTGCCCAGACTGTCATGTTAGTCTCTCATTATGTGAAGGGCACAAATTTTACACAAACCCGTAAAACTACCTTAGTCCTGTGTGGACATGGCCAGCAGGTGAGGTGGAGACAGAGATCAGAATAAGTGGAAACTCAGAATCAGAACCATCTAGAGGAAATGCAGCATGTGTTGCTGAGTGCCCGTGAAAGACCCGAGCCGAGTGCCAACCTTCAGGACCATTCCATGTGGCTCATTCTAGCAGGCACAACATCCTAGCTCCAAGGCCTGTGTCTGTAAGCACATGCTACCTCTACAGTTTCTAGCTGCAATTCTTCTTCATGGATCATGTCAGTGCATGCTGTGCCTCGTTCCAGGAATGGCAGGTGCCAGATATGGCAGGAGGACTTGTCTTTCCAGCATCCCTGAAATGTGCCCCATCTCCCAACCCCCCATGCCATCTTCACGAAGCATGACATAGCAAGCTCTTTGTTCAGTGGAGGCTCGGAGAGAAACCTGGCTGGGCCCCTCCCATGCTCCCGCATTTGGCAATAGGTGTTCCCCTGAGCAGGACTGCTCTGAGGAAGCTGGCTTTTCTCCCTGGGGCTCTCGTGTGTCCTCCCAATGGCACCGGCTTCGAGATTGCAGCTCTGTTCGGCTTTGGGCCCTTCGCCTCCAGTAGGTCTGAAGCTGTAAGCTATGAAGAAGAAATTCCTCCATCAGGACCGAAAACACATTGAGAGCATGGGCCAGTTCTGGGTCTTTTGCAAGTGACACATTCATGGGGTTTATCTAGACTCCTGGCTAACAGCACCCAAACTGGCAGTAGGGAAACTGTCAGCTGCCTGAAGACATTTCTGGCGGGTGCTGGCATGGGCATGTGCAGCTCTGGCCCAGCCCCCCAAAAGTCCAGGGAAAATGGCCCGTGGCAGCCAAAGCCACAGGATTATTTCCAGGAAAAACTCAGCGGGCTCCCAAGGCAGCATCAGGTTAGAATGTAGATAAAATTGGTCTGGGATGTTCACATTAAATGAAAACAGAACTTAAAAAAAAAATTAAAAATGGTATCATTCCATTTTACAAAAGCTTCCCTCCCCCAAAATGAACACAATTCATGGGCAATTTGGTCAACAACAGTGTTTCTCTGCCGTTGTTTGGATGGGAAAATTCCAAGATATAAGATAATTTATTGAAAAGAATGCAAACACTATCATTCACTGTAGAATGTTTATCTTTTGGAGAAAATCTATTTAAGCTTTATCATTTTTAGATCCTTCCCAAGCTCCCCAAATTCTTTTACATATGAAAAAATGCTCATCTTCCTCATTAATAATAACAGGATACAACTGCAGAATATTCTCTAATAATGATCATTAACTCCTCTGTGGTTTTTATCACTCTGATATTAATGTGACATTGGAATTAGCAGGGTTTTCAATTTTTAAATAAGCCAAACAAATTTGGGGAAATTTTTTTAAATCTAAGCAAGCATATTCAACATTGCAGGGGCAGAGGGGATGGGCAGGAGGGGAGGTGGCAGTCAGGTCAGGCAGGCGTCTTTGTCAGGCTTGTCTTTGTGCCTGCAACATGCTCCTGGCACCGGCTCCAGCAGGCCCGGCTGACTGCCTTGTGCCATGCCTACCTGAGGGACAGCGAGATGGCACAACCGTGGACATCTCACAAAAGGGGCACTGCCCCCCGCTCCTCCCCGACAGCCTGCCTCCTCTGTGCCCTGAAATTTTATTGTTCCTCCACAGAGCCCCCTCCTCCGGGCGTCCTGTGGAAGAATGCAGCCTGCACGGCCCCTCCCGCACTCAGCTATCTGCTTGGCACAGGCCACACTCAGCTGGGACTTCGCTAAGGATCTCGCTTTCCTGGGCAAACACAGCTTCACCTGCCCTCCAAATCCCTCTCTCCTCCTCCTTCCCCAGCCCTCCCAGCTGAGCTATGTTAATCAGGTGGGGGACACAAGGTAACATTGAAGTAATTCAGCCAATTAGGCCCTGAATTGTTTGCATCCAACAGCATTTTGTATTTCTGCAAATGTGTGAAATGCAAAATGTGCCCTCCAGCAAAAACGACAGCAGCCATGTACTGGCGGCGTGTCAACAGATCCTGGGAGCGGGCGGCCCTGACGGCTAATAGCGACGCATGCATATGCTTGGGAAGGCCAGCCTTCTTTATGTGTGCGCCTTTCTGCGAGGGAGGCAGAGCTGGGGGTCTTGGTGGCAGATGGGCAAGGGTAACAGGGATTGGCTAATCCCAGATCTGCATTCTCTTCTTCACGTAGCAACTGGGGAAAGATGGGGCCAGCTGTCAAATGGAAGACTTTCATGGTCCCCTGCACACAACAGCTGCACAGGCCCTGCCTGCTTGGTTCTAAATTATTAAACATCTTTTTAGTTTGTTCCAGCTGCAGGCATCAGTGTGTTTATGCAGCCTTTGTGCATTTTACATATGATTCCTTCTCCCCTCCTCTCATCAAAATGCTGTTTGTAAAAGTCATTATCCCATCTGTGCCCCAGTTTGGCCAAACAGCCTAAGACAAATCCGATGCCACTCTCCTTCCAGGACAATTTGGGAGTTGAAGATGATTGCTGTGACTTGAGACTTCAGGGGTTTGCCGCATTCTCTCTGCCACCTGTAAGAGGTGGTGTCATCTCAGCAGCTTCAGGGGACCGATGCATAATGGGGATCTCTGCAAGTAAGATTTCATTGTTGCGCACTTATGGCTTTAGAGAAAACACACACACAGAGAAAACCAAACACGGCCTCCACATCCGCGGAGATTTTCCAGCGCATTGTCATGGAGGAAGGGCAGCGGGCGAGTCTTCTTTCAATCGTGGCTCCCCGGCAGCTCCTGTCCCCGAACAGTTCAACCACAATCACACTGTTATGATTTGCCATTGACATGAATATTCACGAACAGGTATCAAGTGCGCTGCTCAAAGGGCTACCTTGGCAAGGAAGTCACTGTCGCCGGTCTCCTGGATGGGCCTAAGCTGTCTGGGAAGCGATAATGTCATAAACACGCCCCTGGCAGGACGGAGCCTGACCTGATGTGTTAATTATATTCCCGAACCCAAAAATGATTTGTTGGACCTGGTTGCTTCCTGCAGGATATTGCGGTGGCAGCCAGATTCCAGCACAAAATGAAAGTCACCAGCAACAGTTGCTTTGTTTGTAGCCAACATTAACTCTTTCATCCAAAGCACACGGTGCTCTCAGGGTAGAGGCAGGAAGCTCCGGGCAGACCTGCCCGCTCTGTCCCACCTCTCCCGAGCTGTCCAGGAGCCCAGAGCTACAGACACCAGTGTGCAGGTCTCCTAGCCCCTGGCCAAGGGCCACTCCTCCTTCTCTGGCTGGGTCTGGGTCCTCCCTGGCCCCTACCACGGCCGCCCTGTGGCTCCCTGGCACTGCTAGGTTGCCACTGGTTTATTTTTAATGTAACGGCACACGCTTCGAATGGGTTTTGTAATGGCATCTGAATAGTGTATTTCCCAGGGAGTTTCTATCAGTGATCACCCATCGCCCTTCCTCTCCTGCTAGATCCGGGTACAATTAGACAAGGGCTAAGTGTGGCTCTTCTGCCGGGCCAGTAGGTGGCTGTCCCAGAGCCTCGGAATTGCTGTCAGACACACTTCCAAACTGAGGAGAAGAGAGAGACCAGCCAGGCCCTGGAACCCTCCCAAATCCAGGCGATGCTTGCTTAAAAGGTGCCAGGAATGCTAGAGAAAGGCCAGATCGAAGGCCCTGTCTGCTCAGGGCCTGGAGGCAGCATGGTGGGGGCAAGGCTGACCACCAGCAAGGCAGGTGTTAAAGGCTACGTGATACCCACGGACATCAAACCAGAAGAATCTCAATTGCCAAGAGTCCCTTGCAATGCCATCTCTCCCTGTCTCCAGAAAACAACCAAACGGCCAAGGCCAATCAGACAAGACTGTGCTCATAGTCCCTTGGCAAAATCACTCTTTCCCTGGAAGAGAAGAAATGAATGCTTCATCAGGACACAACCTTTTAAAGTTTTCAGCTTTGTTTTTCTTATCCCAAAAGGCAGGGCTGCCCCTTTGGCCATTTTGAGGGACAGGGCTGTGCTTTCAAAGCAGTACCATGCAACCTTCACCAGTGGCTGTAAAATATCACTTAATGGGAATGAGTTTGCTCACAAATGTCTTAATGAAGTACTAAGCATTTATCGAACTTCGCTTACTTTAACTGCAGCCAGTAAAAGTCTCCAAGGACAATGAGGAAACCAAAATTTCCAGGGAATGTAAATTCCAGCTTCGGCTAATTTTGAGGACAATGATTTCTCTCCTTTATGAGGTGCATAATGAGGTAGCCCATAGCTTCAGCAGAGCAGGCTCTGAGCAGGCAGGGGCAGGGAGGGAGGCAGAGAGCAGGGGTGCTCCATCCCCAGGGCTGAGGAGCGCAGGAAGAGCCAGCTTCCCACCAGACAAATGACTCTTTTGTTTCACTCATTTTTAATTAGCCTCCTTTTTAATGACCTAAGTTAATAAGTGTCAAAAGGTGCAAAACACAGCTTGTCTTTATTTTTAAAGTAGGAATTTGTCTTTAATCTTGAAGGAAAGCCCTGCCCTGGGTGAGTCTCGCCTGCGGAGGAGGCAGTGACCGCTCTGGCCAGCGGTCCCCGGGCACCACACCTGCCGGGCACAGTGGGTCCCGAGGAGCTACTGGGATGGACCCGGGATCCCACCTCTTCCGGAAGCCACAAGGCACCCCAGCACAATCTCAGACAAGCTCCCACTGGGCCCAACCTCCCAGGAGCTCACTCTGCATTCCTCCTACTGCTCTGAATAGCATCCCTTGAAGCTGCCTGTCTTGTAATGGACAGCAGGTGAGGGCCAAGCGGGTGACAGGCTGTTTCACCCCAGGGGTCTGGGGAAGATGACACATGTGATTCACAGGTCACCAGGCAATAGGCAAGGTCCCACCCACAGGGCCAGCATCCAAGGCAGCTTTTCTTCCCTCTGCCGTTACCATCACTGCAGGCTCAGTGCTCGGTGCCTGCCGCTCATCTTCCTCTTCTTCCTCTGCTAGCCCCAACATGCAGGAGGAACCCAGAACCACGCAGAGTGAGGGAAGGGAAGGCAGAGGCTCTTCAGGCTTGGAGACTTTTCCTAGGGTGTGCTCCTGGAGGGAACTGTGGAGTGTGTGTGTGTCCACCTGTGTGTGAGTGCACACACAGGCATGTCCAGCTCTGGTTTCTGGTGGGCTCCTAAAGACACATGCTACTTGGCATACATTTAAACCCCACTCCACTGGGCTTCCGTGGCAGAAAGCTACAGAGAGGATGAGAAACCTCTCCTGTGAGTGACGGAGCCAGGATTCACTTTGCGGTTTCCTGGACTCGGATGCCACAGGTGTGGGAGAGGCAGGAGCTATTTCAGGCCGCCCAGAGCATCTTGGGCCAGATGGCTCACTGGGGAGGCAGCAGTATTACTTTTGTGGCATTTTATGGTGTAGATAAATATTCCCGCCAGGCCAGGCTCCAACCACAGCGCTCACATTTGTTTAGGATCAAACAGGGTGAATGAACAGGAGGTGAAGTGCTGATTCAAGGGTCTGTACCACCAAAGCCTTTGACTGAAAATGTAGCTCCCATCGACAAGCCCATATCCAGCACTGTGTCCCTTAATAAGATGAGCCAAACACTCATGGTGGACATGAGTCTCCGCAGCAGTTGTCCATCCCTCAGAGAGGTTCATGTGGAAACCTCCCGCTCACCAAGGCACCTGTCTGCGGAGCCCGGACAGAGTGGGTGAGCTGGCTCTGGGGATTGTTTGCAAAGACAGAACACAGGAGCAAGATTCTACCTCGCAAGACTCTCATAGAAACTCCCAAATTTTAAGATGTGTTGGACTCCACTCTATTTTACACTTGAAGGGTAAAAATGGGCAGAAGTTTTGAACGGCCCATGGGAACCCATTGTGATGGGTGTGTGGGTAGATATATTACCATACATTTATAAATACATTTACATAAATAAAACCAGGTTTGTGGCTTAGGTTTGTTGGTACAAGTAATTTCCATAAAAATTAATATTCCTAACTTTACTGGAACTAAATAATTAAGGAAGAAAGTATGTTACAATAATAAAATTATCAACAGACTTTTGACAAGCAGTCATGTGCTTGTAAATGAAATTTATTTAGGTGCCACTCAAAACATTGTAATTAAGAGGTACAGAATGCATTACCAGATGGTTCCTGTTTAGTGGCTATTTCCTTTAGAGAACACGGAGATTAGAATGAGCACTAACTAGCACCTAAAATACTCATCACCCCAAGCCCTTAAAACAGCACCCTGATCATGATGCTTCTGTGTATAGCATAACTGTCATGAAAAATTGGTTGCTAAACATGTGTATAATATAAATTTAAGTGACCACTAGTTAAAAATAAAAATGGGGAGCAAGAACCGTTGTGAGACTACCAGGGTTTTAGAGCTAGGATGTAGGAAATACATTAGGAAAATGAATTCTTTTATAGTAGTTGCTAAATTCTTTGACTACACCATGGTGTCACTGGACAGTTCAACTTAGTAAATCAGAGAGCAGGTGGCTAGTCAAGGCACTCTGTCAAGTCTTGGTGCCTTCATCCTAAGGACAGTTACTGTCTTATTTTCCAGGGATTACTCTTATAAAAGTGGTTATGTGCTCTTTGGGGTAGATCCTCAGAGGCATAAGATATTGGAGCTAGAAGGATCCAAACTCCTCATTGTACAGATAATGTCTCCAAGGCTCAGAGATGTTGAGTTAGCCAAGATCACACGGGGGTTGGGTGGTGTATGAGTCCGCTCCAACGTCACAGCAAAGCACCACAATCTGGGAGGCTTAAGCAACAGAATGTAAGTCTGTAGAGTCCTAGAGGCTAGAAAGCCAAGAGCAAGGTATTGGCAGTGTTGTTGGTTTCTTCTGAGGCCTCTCTCTTTGGCTTGTAGACAGCCATCTTGTCCCTGTGTCTTCACCTGGTGTCTCCTGTGTGGGTGTCCTAATCCCTCTTCTTATAAGGACACCAGTCAGATTGGATTAGTGTCCACCCTAATGACCTCCTTCAACCTCCATTACCTCTTTAAAGGCCCTATGTCTCCAAATACAGACAGTCCCCAACTTACAATGGTTTGCCTTTATGCTGGTGCAAAAGCGACATGCGTTCAGTAGCAACTATACCTCCGGTTTTGAATTTTGATCCTTTTCTGGGCTAGGGGTATGCAGTGAGATACTCTATCTCAATGCTGGGCAGCACCAGTGAGTCTCAGCTCCAGGGCAGCCATGCTGTCAGGAGCAGATGCAGCTGAAACTCTACAGTGGACTCTGTTGCCAGACAACCTGGCTCAACTGTAGCTGATGTACGTGTTCTATCACGTTGAAGGTGGCCCAGGCCAAGCTGTGATGCTCCATAGATTGGGTGGATTAATGCATTTTCCATTTATGATGTGTTTACTGGGATATGACCCTATCATAAGTTGAGGGGCATCTGCGCAGTCACATTCTGAGGTATTGAAGGTTTGAGCTTCAATGTATAAATTTTGGGGGAGAAACAGTTCGGCCCGTAATAGGTGACAATATTAGGCTCTTTGGGGCCACCTGATCTTTTGCTTTGTCTCCTACATCCTATAATTTAAGGACATCCAGAAGGCCCCCACCTCGAAAGATCTCTGTCAAACATTAGTTGCTCTTCCCTTGCAGCCAGGTCTTTGTAAACACACGTGTCTTTCGGAACAGAGCCCCAGGAGCCACTCATGACTAAATGAAGGCTTTCCCTGCACTGTGGTGAATGGGGTGGGATTTGGAGGCAGTAATCCAGAGGGAGTTTAGTGCTGCTGGGGGAGGGCACCAGCCTTACTGTCTGAGCAGTTGGAGGGCAGCCTGCTGAGTCCTGGAACAGCAGGTGTTAAGGGCTGGTGGTTGGGAGAGCAGCTCCCCTGGCGAGGCAGGAGGTGGCATCATATGCAGAGGAAGCCAACCTTTCCTACCCGCAACCACACTGCCCTTGAGCCCTTGTCTAGACTAAGCCTGGTTTGCTGTTGACTGGGAGTGATAATTCATGCATCTTCAATATCACCAAGAATAATCACCTAAAGCTAACATGTATTGAGTGCTTACTACATGCTAGATGTTATTCTAAGTCTTCATCTGTAGTAACTAATTTCATATTCACAATAACTTAGTGGGATAGGTAGGATTATTATTCCCATCTGACAGATGAAGAAATGGTGGCACAGAGAGATGAAGTGACTTGCCCAGATTCACGCAGCTTGGAAGCAGCAGTTCAGGAGTTTGAAACTAGATGACTGGCTTTCAAGACACACACTGTCCACCACCATGCTTGCCACTTTTCTGCAGCAGTAAAGATAGGAGGTGAATAAATTTTCAGCCACATGCTCTTAAAGATAGATTTATCTTGGTATCAAATGTCTTTGACACTCCTAATGATATGCTTGCAAAGCACATATGTGAAGACCTTGAAGCAGCTTACAGAGCAAAAAGCAACCTAACATTTGAGTCAAGAGCAGCAATGCAGGCACCTGGTTGGCACATTTAAAACTCACTACATTCTGCCTTCCTCTCTTCCCTCCCTCTTTCTTTCCTTTGCTCTTTCCTTCCTTCCTCTCTTCCTCCTCCTCTCTCTTTCCTCCCTCCCTCCTTCCCTCCCTTCCTTCCTTCCTTCTTTCCTTCCTTTCTTCTTTCCACCCTTCTCTCCTAGTTGTAAGGCAGCCAATACCAGCTGGGACCAATCTAGGAAGGAGTCCAAGTGGGGCAGCAGTCTTGCAAGGTCACGAAATTAACTGCAAAAAACCAGAATGGATCAAATAAGAAAATATACTAAGAATGATGGGAGCTAGGTTTTTTTTTTAAAAGAGACAATTATAAAAAGGAGGAAGTTAGAGTAAACCTTGAAGCTGGTTAAAACTGGAGGTATTTGATCTCGTAGATAGGTACAGCCATAAATACATTACCTGTGTGTGCTCATGTGCACACACTCATGTTTTCTAGTTCTGTTCACTGAGAGGGCTGGGAGCACCAACACTCCAGGAGCACTGAGCACACCTAGAACCAGATCTTGGTTTCTAAACACCATCCTCTGCTAAAAGGAACCTGGCCTTCTTGGGAAAATGGAGGATTGTGTTGAGAAAACAACAGGTTATTCTGGACCATCTATTAATGCCAGAAAATAAAAAACTTGCAGAATGAAGAAGGGTTAGGGGGTTACCAGATGGTTAGGGTTAGGTCAAAGGGGTAACTTTAAGTGCTCCTAAGGGCTAAATTTGAGACAATTTGAGCAGCAAAATAATTGTAATGGATTATAACCTATGGTATAGAATAGATACATAGAATTATAACTTATGGAATAAAAGAAGGACTCACTTACATAAATAAATAACTAAGAAGAAAAAAACTGCTCCTTACAGTTGAATACCAACAGATAAATATAGAAGAGATTATGGAAGTAGAAAATCACCATTTGGCAAACATCATAGTAATAATTCATGTAGGCAAGGGACATCAATGGATGCCAAAGCTAGTGGGTAAGAGGGCTAAGGAATCCTGTCTTACGTAGTGCCAAAATGTCAAAATGTCACCTCTCACCGTGCTCCTCCATGAGAAAGGCAGGGAGCGTAACTTTAGAAAGGAGAAACCAAGCAGGCACAACCTCAATCAAGTCACCCAAGGGGCCACCTTCGGAAACAGCACAAATTAATATCATGCACTACAGTGACAAGAACATAGCACCACTCCTGTGATATTCTGGCAGAATTATAAACTGCGGCTCTGTAAAACACTGATGAAACACACATTGAAGAAGACAGAATGACTGGACTGTAATCTCTGGAACTGTCAAGGTCACAGAGGACAAAGACCAAGCAACTGTTCAAGATTGACGGAGCCTAGGCAGGCATGAGCCTTGATCCTTTGGCACTAAAGAGTTCACTCAAGGAGAAACCTGAATGGGGTCTCTGGAAGGTGAATATGGGGAGTTCTTTGGGCTATTCTTGTAAACTTACTGTGTTTGAATTTATTTTTAACTAAAAGTTAAAAAAAAATCCTCCAAAATGTAGTTCTCTGGCATCTAGATCAGAGGTCCCCAGCCCCTGGGTACCAGTCAGTGGCCTGTTAGGAGCCAGGCCACACCACAGGAGGTGAGTGGCAGGTAAGCCAACAAAGCTTCCTCTGTATTTACCGCTGCTCCCTATTGCTCACATTACCACCTGAGCCCCACCTCCTGTGAGATCAGCAGCATGGTTCAATTCTCATAGGAGCAGGAGCCCTATTGTGAACTGCGCACGCAAGGGAGCTAGGCTGCCCACTCCTTATGAGAATCTAATGCCTGATGATCTGCCACTGTCTCCCATCATCCCCAGATGGGACTGTCTATTTGCAGGAAAACAAGCTCAGGGCTCCCTCTGATTCTACATGATGGTGAGTTGTATAATTATTTCATTGTATATTACAATGTAATAATAATAGAAAGAAAGCGCACAATAAATGCAATGCGCTGGAATCCTCCTGAAACCATCCCCTCCCTCCGCCATCTGGGGAAAAATTTGTCTTCCACGAAACTGGTCCCTGGTTCCAAAAAGGTTGGGGACCACTGATCTAGATGATGGAAATAAAGCATTAGCTAACCTCTCAAGAAGGGGTGGAAATGAGAAAGAAACATGTCTAATCACAAGGACCCAGGGGCTTAGGGAAAATAAACTTTTCAGATACAAAAGGAAGTGAAGTCATATTCTTTCTTACAGGGCTAATGGGAATACATATATCCTTTTTCAAAAGCATTTTGGTTGGATGTATTTTTAGACTTGGATTATTTTTCCCTTTGGCCCTACAGTTCCATTTCTGGGACACAGTCCTATGGAAATAATCTGAAATTTGGAAAACGGTGTATGTCCAAATAGATTCATTGCAAAGTTATTAATAAAAACAAAAGTTTGAAATCAGTCCAACTGTTCAACCTAGGAGAACAGACTCATAAACTTGGTATATCTACCCAGTAGATATACCGCAAACACAATGGCTATCTTTGCACTACCGCCGCAAACACAATGATGTTTCCTAGAATGATGCCTGGCCACTATAAACAATGTTTATAAAGAGTTTATGATGTGACAAAATTCTAGTATTTGTTTAAAAAGAAAAGTAACATAATCTTTTATTTAAATGATTCAATGCATACTGTGTATAAAAACGTGTCTTCTTTTTTAAAAATTCTAACCTTTACAAATTAATAAAAATGTAACGAGGAGCTCACCTATGAGTAAAACTATTAGTGACTTTTTTCTTTTCTGCCTATTTTTTGTACTTAAAAAAATGATAACATACATGTTTTACCTTTATAATGGGAAAACAAGATAAATTTTATTTTTGTAAAGCAATTGAGCTGTTAAATTGTTTAAATGCTATGAAGCACAGAAAACAAAAAGTCAAATTGAGGCAGCTTCAGAGAGGGATGGCAGCCCTCTCTGCCCCACTCCAAAAAAACCCATACATCCCTAAACTGATTTCTGTCCACAGCCCCCCAGGAGGCTTCTACAGCAAACACAGTTCCTTATCACAAGACTGTATGGCTAAAACATGCATATTTGTGAATCATCTATTTCTTTAGTAATGTGTAAAGCAAGAGGTTCACTCTGAAAAGTAGAGTTCACCTTACTTGCCATAAAATGAGAGTTTCAAACTTTTGGGTTAAGCCTGAGAACAACTGGGGAGGACGGGAGCAAGTGTGACGCGGATGAAAGAATAGTGCATTTCACAGAGCCATGGTGGACATTGGGATGGAGGTCTGTCAGTACCGCAAAGAAGGCAGGTTAGGCTGAGGAGAGGACAGAGAAACATCCTTACCCTGCCTTGAGGTCTCCAGCAGTCTGGCCCTTCCCAAAAGTCTTTGCAAAAGCTTGCAGAAGCTCCCACTTGCCTGGCACATGAAATGAAATTAAAGAAATTATTGGGGGTGATTAATCTGACCGTCACTCTGAGAATGGGTGGTAGGGAGAGACAGGGATGTAGGCCTGGGGCACTGATGGACACCGATGGAGAAGGAGCCCAGAGGCTACAGAAGTGAAGAAACCAGCAGGGGATGGGGGAGAGGATACCAGGGAGAGATCCTCGGGGAACCAGCACGCTCAGGCACAGGAGGAGCCAGGCAGGCCAGAGAAAGAGATCCTGGGACAGGAGAACTGAGGACAGCACCCCAAAATTCAGGAGGAACTGAACTCTAAGAACTTAGGAGCAACATCAAACCTGAGAGAGGATAAGGGACCCATGGATTTGACATTTTTCTAAGGTATTGAGTCTTCTTTAAGGGAATTATTTCAGATGTCAAATTTCAGGGTTTATTTTAGCATAAATTAACAAAATTATGTGATGGGAATGTAAGCCTCACCTACTGCAATGAGGAAACAGACATAGCTCTTAATCAAATACTGTACCTTTTATCTCACTCTTAAAAGTGGGTTCTTAAATGACAATCATCTGATGTACTATAGGGTAAAACATCAGTCATGTCTATGAAATGTTCTAGTAGAAACAGGTAACTGAAAATAAAGAACTGGAAACTACTAATCATGCCAGAGCAGTGGACATTCATACGAAATGTGATTTTAATGTTATGCATTCAGCATACCTACAGTGACTTTTTTGCAGATATTTCCTGTCATCAAGCATAGCAACCATTGTTACATAGGAAATAAGGCCAGCACAAAGTGTGGTGTTTATCGTAGAAACTACTTCCTGTATATCTGATTGTCAACTACATTTTCTGTTCTTAAAGAAAGTGCAATGATTTGGGAATCAGGGATGGGAAAATGACAATGAGGCTCTTTGAAGCCATTTTTCTGGGAAAAATCTATGCTGATTGGGCTACATGGTGTTTCAGTAATTCTAGAGATAGGAAGGATGTGGTCTTATTTCATGTCTAGGCAGCTTTTGAAAAACTTCCAAGCTCTTTAAGGTTAATTTACAAATAAGTTGTCTCTCCATTCTTCCAGCTTTAAGTGCAAGAAATTTACTTCTTGTCACACATTTACAAAATGATTCTTAGCGTTCACTGCTAGCGTATTCTAAAGCCTTAAATGACACAGGTGCTTATGTCAAAATGTGATCCCAGGCCGGGCATGGTGGCTCATGTGTGTAATCCCAGGACTTTGGGAGGCAGAGGAGGGCGGATCATGAGGTCAGGAGTTCAAGACCAGCCTGGCCAATGTAGTGAAACTCTGTCTCTACTAAAAACACAAAAAATTAGCTGGGCGTGGTAGCAGGCACCTGTAATCCCAGCTGCTTGGGAGGCTGAGGCAGGAGAATTGCTTGAACCCAGGAGGTGGAGGTTGCAGTGAGCAGAGATCGCACCATTGCACTTCAGCTTGGGCGACAGTGTGAGACTCCGTCTAAAAAAAAAAAAACCATGATCCTAGAACTAGCAAATTAACTTCATGTTCCATTTCCAGATCCTGTGCCATTAACTCTGATGCTCTTTGTGTGTATGTGGTAAGTCCTTGCCTTCATTACTCTGCTCATAGAACGTCTTACATGGGTGCCTTTGTGTTCTGCATTGTAGGTAGCAATGCAGCTGCAATCCCTCAGCATCCACAGCCCAGCCCATGTTTATCCCCAGGCCCATCAAGACCAGCAGCATCTCATCCCCTTTGCCAGCCCGTCCACTGTGCATGTCTGAAGCTCGGCGTGTTTTTAGAACCACTTCTCTGTCCCTGTTTAAGTTTCAGCAAATTCTAATTTGTTGTCCTCATTCCATCAAATTATATCCAGTACAAGCGTGTCAGCAGGATGTCATAACTTTCTCCTCTCCACACTTAACATAATTTACTCACAGCTTCATTTGAGACCAATTATTCACATATTAATTTTTCGCCACAAAGAATGCAGCAGTACCAGGCAGCCAGGGGCCTCCTGCGACGAGTCTTTGCAAATGGTGTCCTGGCGCACACACCCAGGGTGACCACAGGCTGGGATCTGCCTTTCTGAAGACATTGCCTGTGTTGCGGGGGTGGGGTGGGAGGAAGGAGCATCCTGAGGGGTGCATGTTTGAAGCCGTAGCTGCCGCAGGAAAGTAGAGATCCCCTAGAGGGGGCAAAAACCCGAAGGTACCAAGTGATCTGATGGGCAGAAGGCCACTCCCTGAAACTGACTGAGTCCACCGCATTACCGAGGGCCCCCTGTATTTCAAGCACCTGCCATCCCCAACGTGTTTTAATGGCAATTGTTCTGTAATTGTCAATCTACAATCCTATGTGTCCACATCCCCTCCCCAGTCGGCACCTCCAGCTTGTATTAATTAAACAGCCCAGCCCATGCGGCTTCATCTTGGTAAACAAGCGAAGAAAGATTTTTCTAGAAGCTACAGTGTGAACTCCTTTCTGGAGATCGGTTATTAGCTGCAGGCTTCTGTTTCATTTGCCCGCCTTTCACTTTAAAGCCAGCCACCACCACCGCCACAAACACAATGATGAGAGAGGTCATAGAACAGCAGTTGTGCATGAAAGATGTGAAAATTTACTGCAAATGAGACAAGAGCAGTAAATTCATTTTTATTCAAATTACTGTCATCATACATTACCACGTCTCCTGTAAACATTGTGCTTCAGACAGGGTGACAGCATATTATTATTGGTGAGATTATACTATTATTAAGCTGTTAACATGTCACCCCTGCTTGAAACACTGACTCAGCTTGGTTCTGCAAAACAGGACAAGGGAGGAGACACGCAGAGGTGACAGAAAGGTTAGTTTTAAGACGGCAGGTGGGTGGAGAATGACAGCTGGCACTTAGGGACCCGCATCACGAGGGGCCTGTGCATTTTTATTTGGGAACCTTCATCATATCCTTGCACCAAAGACTGTGTTTGGTCTCCTTCACAAAACACTTTGCTCAAACATTACTAAGTAGTAAAAATGCTTCCTTCAAAACCAAAAGCAAAAGGAAGTCGGGCTGAAAGAGGTCCATCCTTGCCTTAGGTCATCCTGTGACTGAGGAGGCTGCCTTCTCCAGGGACGCTTCCCTCACTGTGAGCATCCAATTGTGTGTGCCAAGCAGGTGTGTATAAAGCAGAGGGAGGCACCCGGTGCTGAGCTCTGACAATGCAATTGCACAAAATGCCAGACAGAAGCCTCTCTGACAACCCAATGCTGCCTCTAATTCCTCCTGCAGGACAGCGGTCTTCTAGTTCTGGGCTCCCGGTCTCCAGGGGTTGAGAAGAATGAGCGTGTTCGACTCCACAGGCTTCAGAGACCTCTGGTGTGGTGTTGCTGCCCACCATTACTGAGACGTACAGATCACAATGCATCCAGACATCCCTTTCTATCTGCAGAAGGTCACATTTCCCGTGGCCAGAACCAACATATTAGCATTCTTAAGAATGTTTGTTTTGCTTATGGGACTGTTCCTGTCGCCACTGCAGCCACTTCAGAGTCAGTGGACTCAGAGCAATCCCACCTGATCACCCACAGTCGCTCTGGCTGGATACCTTTTCTTGTGGTTCCAGGATGTCACCATTTTCTCCAGCTGAGGGTCTGTCTACACTGAGGATGAGGACGGGAAGAAGCCCCTAGCAGCCTCACTGGGGGACAGGGCAGCTCCTCCTGACTTAAGACAGCCCCATTCCCATAGCTCCATTGGCCGTTCTAGGGTCTTGGACTCAACCACTACTCCACCAGCCCTGCTCTGGGCGGTAGCTGTTTATCAAGTCTGAAGATATTTGTGTAAATAGAGTTTGTTTCAGTGTTTTGTGGGCTCCTTTGGACAAAAATGACATTTGTGAACCCAAGTACAGAGCAAATGTCGAACAAGTTTTGTTCTAAATTAGTTGGGAAGGAGCCTTGTGAAGTAGAACAAATTTAGGGATACATCAGTGTCTTACTAATGATCACATTTTAGGCTCGACGAAAAAAAAAATTAAAATGACGGCGCAGCTCAGAAGGTGTTCCAGCCTCAAAAGCTGTGTCTGTGTGTGGAACTCGCTGCATGCCCCCATGCTGGCTCAGCCTTCTCAGGCTGTTAGAAGTTCCTTTTTAAAGATGGTATCTTAGGCAGTAAGAATATAACTGATATCTTGAAAGCTCTGAGTTGCACGTAATATTTTGTAAAGTTGTCCTTACACAATCAAGAAGCTGAGAAATTGGCAAATGTAAACCACCCACAGGTTCTGAGCTTGATCTTTTACCACTTGTATAACCATTTTGTTCTCCCTAAACTTCTCTTAGAAATCTGAATAGCAAGGCATCCCTTACTCTTCCATTGATAATGGACATTTCTCTCTCCTCTCTAACATCCTCCCGCTCATCTCTTCTTTAAGAAAGTGGGTCTCACCTCTCATGGCCAAGGATCACCTCGGCTCAGGGTCCCACTCCCCCAAGTGGTCTTCTCTCCTGGTTGATGCAATGCTTCCAAAATAAAAATCCATCAGTCTGGGGTTTCTGGATAGCAGGTGCAGGTGTGTGCCCCCACCCCACCAGCCACACATACAATGGCTTCCCTCTTTTGTCAAAATGAGCAACTTAACCCTTGGTCATGAACCTCCCCCATCTCTCCCAGGCACGAATCCACAATGCCCCAAATTCTTTTCCTCAGGATTAGCTCTCAGCTTTCTCTGGCATCAGTGGAGCTCTGTACAAGGGACTGACCATGACGTTTTTCTTCCATGCCTGTTTTGTGTCACAAGGATAACCATAATTTTGAAAGTGAGGTAGGAGACCACCAGGACTTATTTCCCAGTCCAGACAGGATAAAGTAAAAAAACTAGCAGGAACCAGCAGATGGCCAGGAAAGTGATCCCTGGCTACCCTCATTGCTCATTAGCATAAGACACTCCCACCAGCATCATGACAGTCCACAGGTGCCATGGCAACAACCCAGAAGCTACTGTCCCAATGACCCAAAAGTTACCACCCCTTTCCTAGAAAGTTCTCAATAACCTGCCCCTCAGTTTACATTAACCCACCCCTTAACTTGCATGTAACTGAAAGTAGGTATAAGTACAGTTGCCAATAGCCCAGAAGTGTGGGTCTGGGTGCACCACCTATGAGTTAGCTCTGCTCTGCAAGGAGCAGCTCCCATTTAATAAAAGATTGCTGTCTAACACCGCTGGTTTGCCCTTGAATCTCTTTCTGGGTGAAGCTAAGAACCCTCCAGGGCTAAGCCCTTGTTCTGGGGTTCACCTGCCCTGCAACAAAAGGAGAAAGTTGAAAGAATTCACTAGATGTAATTAAGGGAGGGTCTGGCAAGATGTCATCCATGCATCTTTTTGGAGAATCACATGCCAGAGAAAGTTTTCCAAGGATCTTCTAGTCCAGTTCCTGGCCCTCACACAGTGAGAATTTTCTAGGGCTTGGGAGATATGACCAAGGCCCAGAGAGAGGAAATGTGATAAATTTATTGTTTAGTAATTCACCACGCCCAAGTTTGCTTGGCTGGTTAATGGCAGAGAATAAACGGAACCAGGTCTGATGCAAGCCTCACACCCTCCCCTCTGCCACCTTGAGAAGAGCCAGCTCAGCTCCAGTTCCAAGCACCACCTCAAGCCAACACACTTTTTATTTTCTGTTTTTTTTTTAAGGAAACAAACCACTTTTATTGACCATATTATGCTACAGAAAAAAAACCTAATAATAATAGATGTGTAGACAAGGAACAAATAAATAGTAACCAGGAGCATCACAGAGATCATTTAAATTTAAAAATATTTTCCATGATTAGGAAGAGAACCATTTCAAAGTCTGTATGTCTGGTAGAGGAAGTTCGGAGAAAGTATTATTATTCCTAGCCAAAACCTGTTTTACTTGCTCTTGACAAAAGGCTAAGATCTACAAGAAAAGGAACATAGCCCTCATGCTCCAGAGCTCAACTGTGCTCCACCAATGTGTCCACAAACGTGTTGACTACCGATCTGTCCACAACGAAGCTTTTAGGTGGTTGTTCCAGGTGGGTTCTGCAGTAAAGGAGGGGAGGGGTGGATAAAATGGGTGCCGTGATGCAGCTGCTGGCTCTGGCCACACCACCTGAATCTTTCCCCGGTAATATAACCATGGCCAGTTCTGAATGGAGAACCTCCAATCCACCAACTCTGTACCACTTCTGGCCTGGGTAGAAAGTCAGAGCGCTGGGATCTTTCCAGGGGTGGCTCTCACACTCCTGAGTGTGGAAGTCTGGCCACAGCTCCAAAACACGCTATGCTCAACCTATTGGAAAGACGCTTTTGAGAAAAGTTTTGTCTTCCCATAAGCGAAGGTAGTACTGTGAGCAAAGTCAGTAACATCCCCATGGTGCTCCTGCAAACATTCAGTGCAGCAGTTACGAGGGTAAGTTCTGAAGTAAGGAACTGGGGTCAGCCACATGTGACTTGGGGCAAGGGATGTGACCTTCTTTTGCCTCAGTTCCCATTTCTGAAAACGGGAGATAACACGAGCATCAGCTGCATGAAGTCAGGCCTGGTTGTGAGCCTCAGACAACCACACACACCAAGCAACAATTGACCCATCAAGAGCAATAACTAAGTCCCTGTACCAGGGCCTCTCCATAACAAGGCCTTCAGCAAATGCAGGCTTCTTGTGGTCAGCTTCCCAAGGCAGGCACCTCATTCGTCAGATGCCATGCCAAATGCCCATTTTCTGGCACAAGGGGATGTCCAGTGAATGCTGGCTGAATAGATGGTGTGTTAGTCCGTGTTCATGCTGCTGATAAAGACATACCTGAGACTGGGCAATTTACAAAAGAGAGAAGTTTAATGGACTCACAGTTCCACGTGTCTGGGGAGGCCTCACAATCATGGCAGGAGGTGAAAGGCATGTTTCACATGGTGGCAGACAAGAGAAGAGAGCCTGTGCAAGGGAACTCTCCCTTATAAAACCATCAGATCTCATGAGACTTATTCGCTATCACAAGAACAGCACAGGCAGCACAGGAAACACCTGCCCCCATGATTCAATCACCTCCCACCAGGTCCCTCCCACGACATGTGGGAATTCAAGATGAGATTTGGGTGGGGACACAGCCATGTCTCACCTGCCCTCCTGGGAGTCTGCCAGGCACAGCAGGTGCAAAGATGGAGTTTATCCCAGCAGAGATGGTAAACCCATGACACCTGGGCAGCGGCAAAGCCATCCTCAGCCACAAAGACACTTCCAATGACCTAGGATACTCATGCCAGCAAAAGGGGAATGCAGACCCCCATCCCTCACACATGAGATCCATCAGCCTGAGCCCACACAGGGAAGACACTTTCTATCTTTGACCAAGTGATGCATTGTCACACTCTCTGCAGGAGGAGGGAAGACAGGGTGTTGCCTGGAGCACAGCAGACACTGCATCCTCATTTGCCAAACGAGTGCCCCTTAAGGATATAAAAGCCTTGGCCGAGGGGGAGGAGGGAACTACCAGAATCTCAGGGCAAACCAGAGCCCCGGGCTTCAGTGCCCTTAATTCAGGGTAATGTTGGTCCTTCTGACTGTGGTCTTTCTACAAAGGGAACTGAGAGAAACCAAGTGAATTCCACCAGAGTTCCAGGGCCTTAGGGAGACTGGCTGCATGGGGACAGGCCTGGGCCACACTAGAAAGAAGTGTCGACAGGAGTTGAGGAGAGGGTGCCTGCATTGCGTTTCCCGAGACACCCCTCCAGCATGAAACCTTCAGCAAATGTCTTAATATACTAGGATGGGTAAGAGAAGAAAGGAAGAGGGAGAGGTGGCTAAATTCCAGTGAGGCAGGAGAAACAGGTTCTACTGCGCCACAGCACTGCAGGGTGACCTCAGTTAACATGGCATTGTATATTTTCAAATAGCCACAAGAGAGGACTTCTGAATGTTTCCAACACAAACAAGTGATAAATGTTTGGGTGACGGATATACTCATTACCCTATTTGATTATTACCCATTATATACGTGTACTGAAAAATCACACTGTGCCCCCGAATATGTGCAATTATTCTATGTCAATTAAAAATAATAGTAATAAAGTCTACATACACAAGGGCCTCCTGTGAGGGGCACTTTGGGAAAGTAAAGGACTCTCCAGAGCCCAGAGCAATGGGCTGCAAGCACAGTCAGTGACCAAGGCCAACCCCAGAGCCCAGCATGATGGGCCAGAGTGGAGGCCCCACACTCTGCCAAAACCACAGGGACACGAGCCCCCAGACCCCAGCCCAGAGAGCAGGGGCCTCCCAGCTCTATGAGGGATGGAGGCCTGAGCTGTCTTTAATCAAAGAGTGGAGCCCAGAGTCTGCAGGTGTCAGAACAGGGAGTGCATGGATCCCTGCAGAGGATGGGCCCTTCCACTAGCAGACAAGAGCTGGGAGGGCAGGAATCACACTTGCGATTCACAGCTGGATTCCCAGTGCCCACCAAGCCCCTGGCCCATAATAGGTGCTCCATAAAAATTTGTTGACTAAATAAGTCACCGAACATTTCTTTCCCACTAGACTGTGAACCCCTTGAGGCCAGGGTCCATATTCCAATTCTGTATCTTCCAGGAGGAGCACATGCCCAGCTCATAACAATTGACTTAATAAATGATTATTGAATGATTGAATGAGGGTAGCCCCGTGGAGATCAGAAAGACACGTGCAGGTGTCAGGCGCCATCATGGGAGCATGCTGGTTTCCTAGGCTGCCCTCTAGCTCCCTTCTTCCCAGAGCACTGGCTCGGTCCAGCCACTCAGCTGTGGCCAGGTCCCCTTGCCCTGCCATCCACCATTCTAGCCTGGACAGCCATCACTCCCAATAGAAAGCTCAGTTCCATTGCTGTCACATTTATCTCAGTCTGTCCTGCCCCGCACTGCCCCTGTACATTGCGTCCTCCATACTTGTGATTTTCTGCACACACCATAATGCAACAATTTTCCATTGCTCTGCGGAAGCCATTTCTTCAACCCTGTGCTCATCATCCCTTCTGGAAAGAATCACACCAGGGAAACTGTTTCCCCTTATCCAGACTCTTTCTCTGTGTAAAGACGCTGAAAGGGGCACTGCAGGGGGCAGGACTAGGGCACCCCGGTGTTCCCCAATCTCCATCAGCCCCTCTGTCACCACGGCCACTCCAGAAAACAAGTGGGGCTGAAGAAAGCCGTGCGTGTCTCCTATGCAGATCTCCATCAAGAGTCCACTCCTCTTCCAATCGGATTGCTCCCTCTGGGGTCCCTCCCTAGGACCCTGGAGCTCCCCATATGGCCGCCCTGTCTTACTGCATGGTCCTTCCCTGAGGACATTTGATCCTGTTTCACACTCAGTGCCTCAATGACTTACTGTTGACCTGAACACAGGTATTGACCATCTCACATCCATTCACCATCCGGCGCTAGGGCTGGGACATGTTGTTGTGTTTCCTTAAAAATAAAGCAACCGCAAGTTAGCTCACTGAAAAACTCATGAGAAAATATCTATACAATGACGCTTCAATTTAATTGAAGAACCAAGATTCGCTTAGTGCCTATCAATTCGATTTTTGAAGGAACACAGATTACTACAGTAAGAGTATTTTTAAAAAACAAAATATCTGATAGTTCTGTTAGACAGATCATATTCCTAGAATGACCTGAAAATTGTCTGCTATTTCAATTCTTCCTCCAATCATGACTTTTTCCTTCATTGTGCTCATGACAAGCAAAGGTTCAAAAAGGACTGAAATGAGACACAGGTGAAGAGCCCGGACTAGCTCTGTGAATGGCAGCAACATTACTGTATCACGAACAATATCATGAATAGTGACAAAGCTTTTTCCTTTCACAATGGTGCATGTAAAACTGAATTGAGTTAGATACAAAATGGAATGTCTTCAGATTAATGGGACCTTGATCTCTGCGAACAGTTAAAATGCCCCAGGCAGCAGGATTTATGCTGACCAAGACTAGCCCAGGGCCCCTGGCAAAACAGTTTCCAAACTGGTATCTAGGAGGTGGGGGTGGTACTAGTAGGAATAACGTACTAAATCAGGAGTTAGCAAATGACAGTGTGCACATCGAATCTGGCCCTCTGTCTTTGTAAATAAAGTTTTATTGGCACACAGCCACACCCAGTCATTTGCATATTATTTATGGCTGCTTTCACACCACAATGGCATAGTTGAGTAGTTGCAACAGAGACCATATGGCCTGCAAAGCTGAAGATATTTACCATCTGGTCCTTTTCAGAAAAAGTTTGCCGACCCTGGTGCTAAATGAATAAACTGAGAATTATATTTATAGCGCACTGCCAATGCACAGGATGTGCACTGAGTCCTTTCCATTCCTCAGCTCAACTCATCTTTTCAATAACCCCGATGGTAGGAGCTACTATTGTCCACATCTCACACATGAGGAAACTGAGGTTCTGAGGAAGTGACTGGCCTAGGTTCCAATGGCAAATGGGCAGGAGAGCTGGGATGGGGTCCAAGCTAAGTGCAACTTCAGCCCTGTGCACGCTTTTGGTCCAGGTCCATTGTGGACACAGATCCTCCCTCCTGGAACAGCCTCCATCATCTCAGCTGCATTTGCAGAGTGGCAACTCCTCTGCTATGTTCAGCCCTCCTCCACCAAGCCACCCTTCAGAATTCAACGTGATTCCTCGGCACTACAGTCAAATCACCGCATGGTACCCTCTCAGGGTTTCCGTGAGAGCAAAGCAAGACTGAAAGTATCCTTCCTGATGCCCTGAACATCTAGGAGCTTCTGCTGACTTACGCATCATTCACTTAACACATATTTGCTGAGTGCCTTGGTCCCTGCCCTGAATGTGCTCACAGTGAAATGGGGAAGGTGTTTGTCACGTGTCTAATAGAAGAGTGTGCAGGAAGGGGAGTCAGGAGGAGAGACCAAGTCTAAAAGGCTTCACAAGGTGGTCAAGATGGCAGGGCATGAGCTGGCCTTGGGCTGGCCCTTCTCTCTGAAGGACAGGCATTTCTAGATGTGCAGTCTTCACACCATTGCAGATGCTGTCACAAGCTCAGTGATCTTAATTAGCAAGGGAGATAATAGGAAGGGAGGGAACGTACCAGGGGTAGATAACCTTCTAGTCCTAGCACTCTCAGATTTTTCAAGTCTACATGCAGCTCATAGGATGTTTCTGCCTGAAGAAATATGTTGAGTTCAAATAAGGTATTTCCTGCCTTTGCCTACTAAAAGAAAATGCAGAACTTTTCTTTTTAATTAAACACTTGATTTCTACTCTGTATTGCAAACTCTCGTTAAGAAAATAATAGTCTGGAACAGAGCTGTCATTTCCACAACACAGAAATAATTGCAGACAATCTGCGAAAATAAAACTTCAGTATGGAGTTATGTTGTTGAAACACCTAATGCAATTTAGCTTATATGCTGTTCCTTCCCTCTCCCCTTCCCTCCGTCCCTCCCTCCTCCCTTCTTCCCTTTTTTCCTTCTTTCCTTCTATGGAGAAGTTAGCAGTCAGGAAGTCTACATGCTCTGCATAGGAACAGAGGCAGTCTGTTGGCCTGAGAGCAGCGCGGGCCCCAGGTAAAAGAAGAACAAGGAATAATAAAAGGGTACGTATGGTAGACACGGACATTGAACACGGGATTCATGTCAGCACGGACACCTTCCTAGTTATACCAGGCTCAGACTGTTTCTCAGATCTGCTCTCTCCCCTAGTACAGAGGCCAGGGCTGAATATGAAAGGGGAACCAGAGAGGGAATGAATGCTGTTTCTGTGAATAATCTACAAAGTGTCCAAGTCATGCCTCAGTGGTCCTTATGCTGACCACGGAGAAGATGATCAACACAGCAGACACACAGGCCCGGGAATCATGCCCATTCTCAAAACCCCCTCCAGAACCCCTGGGCTGTGACCTCACAGCCAGGCCAGCAAGGCTGACAGAGGAGCAACACTCCAGCCCCACCGAGGTGGGGCCACACGGGCCGTGAGCTGGCCCTGCCCTGACTGCCTGCTGGTCCCTGTTGGGAGGTGAGAGGGAGAGGCCTCCCTCGGAGAGCTCTTCCGGCCCCCTGAGCCTCTCCTCTGCTTTCCCTACTGGCCTGGTGTCTGCTATTAAGTCTGGAGAGGGGCTGGGAAAGGCTGCCTCTGAGTGTAGCCTGCTGGGGGGCTCCTGCCTCCAGTCCTATCGTAGGCCAGTGTGTCCACACTGAAGCCTGCCCAGGGGACGCCTATCCTGGTGGAGCCTGGCTGTGATTGTTTTCTCCTCTGTAACCACAAAAAAAGTCTCTCTGTTGCAGGCATTGCGCTCCTCAGGCTGGGGGTGGCTGCTGAGGCCTAGGTGCTCTGGGCAGAGCCGGGGGACAAGCCTTGGCCCAGCACAGGTGTGGCCCAGGTGACTACCGCAGCTGAAGAAGGGGAGCTGGGACCAACAGGCTCCAAATGCACTTCTTGGTAAGTGGGTACGTCTCAGGGCCAGACGCCCCCGTGTCAACACTGGGTGGCCCTGTACTTAGGCATGGTGGTGCTTGTCAGCCAGCTTCCATCCAGGTGGGTGGCCAGATGTGGCAACGGACACTGAAGCCCCCAGGCTGACACATTGTCCCTGAGGACAGGCACTGAGCCAGGAGGTAGTAGACGGCATGAGCCGGGGCTCCGCCCGGTGAGGTGCTGAGTGGACAGGTGATGTCGGGCTGCCAGCACTGGGAAGAATTGGCCTGCATCTGCTCCTCTAAATTCTGTCAAGCCCCTCAGGTGGCTTGGGCAGTGCCATCCAGGCCGCCTCAGACACAATTCCATTCCTGTGCAGAGCTAACAGCCGCCGCTTGAAGTCACCATCATCACTGGCGATGGCATAACCTGCACCAGAATGCGACCCACAGCGCCTCGTGTTGTTCAGACTTGCCCAGGAAATGTAACTTCCCACAAACATCCGAATAAGGAAGGAGCCCCTCCCACCATGGCCCGAGAGGGTTTCAGAGCGAGTGGGGCATCCAGTCCCTCATGGGGACCTTGTGTCCTCAGGTCTCGCCTCCTGCCACCCTAGTGCCTGTGTGTTCCCGGGCTTCTGGAACTTGTGAAAATGCTGAACGGCAACTCCACCAAATTCTCTCCAGCCCGTTATGAATGTGGGATCTCAAGTGCTTGCCACTGATTAGGCAACATTATTTCTATTATCCTACTGGGCTTCACATGAGGAGTGGAGGCTCTCGCCTTGATTGGAAACTAGCAGACACCAGGAGAATCTGCTGATTGCTAATGAGAAGCTGAGATTTTGTTGATACCATCTGGGACCCTCTTGCTGTGGGTTGAGATTAGGATGAGGAGCTCTACATAACACACCATATTAAGCAGGCAGTGACTCTGTTACGGGCTCAGTATAACTTTTCATGTCTGCTGTACGCCAAGAGCTTAGCCCGAAACACCTTTTTCCAGAATATGAAACATAATATCTCCGTGCTCATTGCATTATTTAAAAAGGGGCAATGTGGTTCATAACTTTACATTTATTGCATACTTTTAAGCCACTTGACCCATATAAATATTGCTATAGAGTTGCCCTCAGTTATTAAATTCTTATTGCTTATAAAAGGGGCAACAGGAAGTATATCACCTACAGTGTAAGGAGTGGGGAGGGCTGTGGAGGCCTGGGGAGGCCAGGCAGGGGTGTGTCTGCGGTGTGTGGAGAGCAAATGGGCTTCAACTCTGCTCTCTGCTTTCAAGCATGGGTTTTTTTTTTTAATTATTATTATATTTTATTTTTCTTCCTAGTTGTAGGCAGCAGCCTGTTTTACTTTAGCTCAAAGAAAATTATGCGTTGACATGGCAAGGGACATTTTGCCTTTCTACTAATTAAAATGGAACCCCACTCTTAGAAGACATTGGTTGAAAGAATTTTTTTTTTTATTTCAGCAGCACAGCTGAGACCAGATAAAAGCAGGGCATCAACATTTATCAGGGTTCAAAGTCGAGTCTCCTCACTGTGAAAGGGAAGCAAACTGTGTCTTCACTGTCAGTCTTGTATTCTCATTAGCGCTGCCTCCCTTGTTCTCCTGATCCTCCCAGGACACTCGGGGGCTCAGGCCACGCCGGGCACACCTGCCCCAGTCCGGAGGCGTGCACCGCTCACAGGTGCCTTTGGAGCTTCTCTCCTGCTGTGCACTTTTGGGAAATGACAGAATGACCATAAGCACTTTAAGACACCTCAAAGCCTCTCTACAGCACTTTCCAAAAAGCAAGTTCCCTTGAATGCCAGTGTGTGGCCCTTTTGGGCTAGCTCCCCATCTGGAGGACATGGCGTAGCGAGAGTGCATTTGATCATCTCCAGCACACAGAGTAGAGGTGGAGAGACATGGGGTCCGAAGCTGTTATGAAACAGGAATTTTTTTTTATCCGTAGTAAGAATCCCTTCTGCCCTGATCTACAGTAGAACTCCCAGGGGCAGGGGGAGGAGGATGCTTTGCACACTAACGTTAGCCCTTCCCATACACAGGACAGCCCTGGCAATGCATTCACATGGGCAATTTTACTTACCTTGCTTAGGGCAGAGTCTTTAAACCTAGAGGTTACTGCTGTCAACATAGGACCTTTTTCCTCCTGTCACTGTTTTCCAAGATGAAGGGGAAGATTTCCCTTAGCCTACAGCATTCAGCGTGCAAACCCCTCCACCTCCACATTGTGAAACCACAGAAATCATGAAGCCAGTCTGCGACCTTCCAGTTCAGTGACAGGACAGCAATCCCTTGAGCGGTGGACGCCTCCTCTGATATTTGGAAAAGTGTCATGTTTTCTTTACAGAGAAAACTGTCAGGTTGTTGTTGGCATAAAATACAACACTTCCTGGGTTGTGATGTCCTTGTTTGCTACAAAATGTCACCTGGGCACATGACATGTTTTCATTTTGCTCACAGCAACTCTCTACTTAAGATATTCAAATGTTGCAAAGAGAAAGGCTGGCTCTACACTTGGGTCGGCCCTCTTCACAGTTACAGGCATTTGACTTCCTGGACAAGGAGCACTGTTTGCCGGCCAAGAGGGCTCGTGTGATGGTGCAGCCCACTTGTTTTGAGTGGATGAAAAACACTCTGCAAATACATGCTTACCCTATTGATGAGCTCTTTAGAAAGCCCCTAGAACAAAGACACGCAATTACTGGCCACAGCTGGCCGTGCTGTTTTAAAAGAAAAAAGGGATGTAATGTGAATAGCATGAAAAAGGCCACCACCAGCCACACCTAGCATTGGCTGTGGTTCTTGAAAGCGGACAGACTGCTCAAGTTCGCTGGTTACCTGTGCGTGCTACCTACAACACATCCATGTATCCAGCCGCTGCACTGCGGTCAACCTTAAGCTCCCATCCTGGATAACACTTATTTGTAAATTCCTCTCTGTTTTTTTTGTTGTTGTTGTTCCATTTCTGGGTACTCTTCTTGGAAGCACACTGCAGGATTTATACTTAATAAATGGTGAGTGATTTAAGAGACATTAGAAGAAAGCTTGAAGAAATACAGTATCCATGTTATTTTTTTCTTTTTGCTCCTTTGAAGACCTAAAATAGGAAAAATCTGTCCCCCTTTAAGTCTTATGTCCTGACAGAAGTGCAGACATCTAAATAATGTCTTTTTTTCTGTTGTAAATTTGGCACATAAAATAAAAGCAAAATATAAGCAGTCTCAAGAAGGGATCTGCAAAATTCCGTTGAATACCTAAACGTGGTGCTGATCAGTAGAATCCCCTGCGAGGAGATCCTGTCCAGCCCTGCTGTGGCTCTCAAGCGTTTGGTTAAAGGAGCAGGTAGGAATCCTATCCTCAGGATGACAAATGCAAGAAAAATCGAGCTCCAGTGACCCTCTGGTTGCTCTGGTACTTTTGCACTAGGGGTTGGAGTCAAGTGAAAAATAGAAATAAAACAATTGCCCAACCATCAGGGAGTGTTTTCAGTCACGGTGAAAAATACAATCTCATCTTGAGCTGACAATGCCGGTCACCGAGCTCCTAGCGTGCAGACGGACGGATAGAGGCCAGAACCGAACGACAAACGACGCTGGCTCAGAAAGGTGTTCTGCTTCCTTTTTAACAGTTTGGATGCTTTGAAAACTATGTCATGCAAACCAAAGAGCAGATTCCTTAACTGCCTTCAAGTATGCCCCTGTGTGCTGGGAACGCAGCTGGAAGACCGTGGCTCTGTGGTTAGGGCAGAATTTGAGACATTGTCTCCTTTTCTTGAATTCTTTGTGCCAAAGAATGAAAAAATACAGAACCTGTTATCACTGCTTTCCTAGGAATCGGAAATTAATTTCTCGCATTTATATGCATACAGTTGTAACTCTGGACACCAGCCCTTTAAGACCCTGACTCTGGATTCTGATAACTAGACACTTCTGGCATATTTCCATCAAACAGAAATTAGGGAGCACACAGAAATACGGCCTGTTTATCAGGACTTGAGTTAAGTTTTTGTTTGTTGGTTGTTCTTTTTGTTTTGTGTTGCCTTTTCTCCTTTGGTGCCCAAATAAAACTACTTCACCTGCAACCACACAGCCAGTCAGGCCAGATGCTGGCTGCCTCCTTACAAGACCACGCTCCAGAAATGGTACAGAGAATTGTACCTCTGACCTGCAGAGTGGCTGCGGCGACACTGCATATTTCAATGTCATTACAACAGTGATAAGACAGCAGAGAGCACTGCTCAGCTCCGGGCCCAGTCAGAGGTAATTCCGGGCATTTGCTGATGGCCTACACAATTTAAGGAGCGCTTTTTACTGTGATTGCCAGGAAGGTGCCGAGGATTACAAAATCCACTGCAGACACCTGACATAGCACAGGGCATTTGCCACTGCACACAGATACCATTTCCAGAGTGGATTCCACATTTAATCTATTTTTTAAAGTCAGAGGTGATTTGAATAGGAAAACTCAAAAGGAACTGTATGAATACACACCTCTCAAAAAATGGAGAAATTTTTCTGGGGGAAAAAAATCCTCCCCTTTCCATCTCACTTGGAATTGAACTTTGGACAGCCTTTGGCAGCCTTGCATAAAAAGATTCATGTTCTGTCCTGGTGGACATTATCAATGGTCAATAATGCTTATAGCAAAAAATACACCTGGCTCTGAATCTTGCCCAGAAGATATTCTTCAGAAGGACAACAATGCACATTATCCAAAGTAGGTGTTTTCACTTAAAACTATGAGCGATCTTCCCCTATTGCATTACAGCAATCTGACAATTTCTAACGCAGAGCAAGGACAGATGCTTCCCAGCTATGTTGATATTACACTTAGCTGGCTGTTCTACCCATGTAACTCACTCCATACTTAAGAAAAAGATTGCAGGGAAAAATTAACATCTTTTTTCCTTGAACATTTAAGGCAAGCCCTTCTAATGGTAGAACTTTATTTTCTTCCTCATAGTAATATATAGTACTGAAATTCCAAAGGTTTCTGGTGCATTTCAACTGTCACCTCAAGTCAAAACCATACAGTTCAGCTATAAAAGAATATAATAAATTTAACCTGACCTAACTGGGGATTTTTAAGCAGCCAATTTTTGTTTAATTGTGTATCTATGAGCTCCCTATTCCCACATATAAGTGTGTGTGTGTGTGTGTGTGTGTGTGTGTGTTTCTGTGTCTTGCCTGGTTCTTTCTTGTGTTCAAACTTGTGTACATACATGAAATTATCTCTGCCTAAGTACTTTCAAAGATGTTAACGTGACATGCCACTATGGAAGAAAACGCAATTCCAGGGAAACTTTATTTTAACCTAGCCTCTTATCTCCTGAATTTTCGCTGCCATCCTGTCTTGGGTGACTACTGTAGGAGCCGGCCACAGGGAATCTTCCTCTCCAGGAAATGTCTATGGAATGCGCCTGGGCACTCTGGCCCCAGCCCAGCCCTCTCGCTATTTAGCGCTTAAGGGGCTGATATTTTATACCCCCGAAGCAAACTTCCGCACTCCAATTCAGATGTAATCAATGTTTTTGTTTTGCAGCCTTTGTAGATTGAGTCTTTGTTAGGCGAGCACGTCTTGTTTCCCCAACACCCGAGGAAATCCCCGGCATCAGAGTGCCCCCAAAAGGCAGCCCGGGAAATGAGCAGGGGCGCGCTGACCTTTAGCGAGACAGCGAAGGTTATGCACATAACATTTGCTTGTTTACTTTGCAAAATAAGCAACGAGTTGGAAACTCCGAGTTTCGCCTGCGCCTCCGCGCACTTAAAAAACAACAACAGGAACCAGAGGCTGCCGGTCTTTCCAGCTCCCGCGCGCGGAGCCTGTTATCTGCTTTGCTCTGTATCTATCCTGATGCAACTTTAATAACGTTAGCCAAGACTGCTCAGAAAATCACAGCTGTAGCTGGAGGCAAAAGAAAAAAAAAAAAAGGAAAAAATCCGCTAAAACGAGGTCCTTCTCTCCAGCCTCACCTAGGAGCCGGGTCACGCCGGCCTGCACGGGGGCAGGGGCCACCCGATCGATGGCCGCAGCGGGCTGATGGCCACTGGTCGTTTTGATGGATATGACTGTAAAAAAAAGTCCAGATTGGTTCACAGTGGACCTCAAACCATGTCAGCTAAAACCAAAGAGACAAAAAAGTGACAGCTGTGGAGAGCGCACTGCAGGCAGTCAACGGCGCCTGTGATTTATTGTTCCATCTGCCTCGCCGCTGTGAGGACAAGTTCCCCCTGATTTGGTTAAAATGAAAAGGACCTTAGAGAGCGCAACGTGGGTTTTGAAAATGTGCAGAAACTATTTTTTTTTAATTTCCTGATTTATGTCCCTTTCCCCTTTCAGAAAGTCTGTCCCGCTCGGGAGCTCGGCAGGAGTGAGGGTTTCCGCGCCTCCAGCCCTAGGCCTGCCGGATTTGGGGGGGTTCAGGGGTGCAGCGTCCCCATCCCACCAGGGCGCACTGCGCAGCGCTGCGGGGGGAGGCAGCCTTGGGGCGCCCCGGCGCCGGCTCCTAGCGGGCATCGTGAGCTGGGGGCCCAGGGAGCCGACCCCCAAAGTTACGGCAGGGCGCAGGCTCCACGGATGGGGGCCGGCTGGGGGACCGAGCGCCCCGGTCTGGGTCCTGGCTGCGCCCTCCCCAGCCCGCCCAGACCCGTCATTCCCTGGAAGTTCAGCCTCCTGCTCTCGGATTCTAATAAAAGTTTTATGCCGGTCAGCACATTTTCAGCCAATTTCCCATGAAGAGGCCTGTTGGTTGCGGTGGCGCGTGGAAAGTTCTGCGCTCTCCTGCCTTGGCCGGGGCCTCTGGAGCCCTGACCAGGGGCAAGCACTTCCTGGCTGGACGTTTTAGGCCTCGCAGCTCCAACCTGGTGTCAAAAGCTGGCCTGTCTTCTGTCTCAGGATGTTGGTTTTACCTCTCAAGTGTTTCCTGAATTTGTGAAAATTCTTTTTCTAGCCGCTTGTCCATAGTGGCTTAATGCTCAAAAAAAATATTTACTTTTTTTTTTTTTGAGACAGATAAAAGGGGGGAGAATGGAGGTGGGGGGTACTGAGAAAGGCAGAGAGGCGGAGAAAGAGCAGGGCTTGGCGCTACTGTGGAGCTGGGGCGGTCCCTGGGGACCAGTTCTGCTTTTGAGCGTGTTCCTGTCAGGCAGGGGTCAACATCTTTTACCTCTTTTTTCCATTATTCAAAATAAGTATTGATGTTATGTTTTAGCTATTTAAAAGCCAGCTGCCTTGCTCATTTCAGATACTTTTCCTGGTATGATTGTATGTGGTAATAGCTGGTCTGTGTATCGTCTTTCACAAAATCTAGCCTTTCAGAGCCTCAGTCTTCAAATGATATCAATCAAAATTTATGCAATTCAAAATCCATATGTATAGAGTCCCAGTTCACCTCATTTAATGATAATAGTAAACCACATGTTGTGTACATGTCTAAAACACTTTTCTCGCTCTTGACTGTGGTAACCCTAGGGGCACCCTCCTCTGCACAGCTTGCCCAAGTGAACCGCATAATACATTGATTAATACCTGGCAACAGCGGAAATCTCGAATAATAAAATGGTGAACGATGTAAATGCAAACTAATAAAACATGGGGAGCGTCGATAATATTTGAAGATGTGTGTTAATATAAACGACCCAGGAAAACCTGAGAGGTGGTGGAGGCCAGTTAATCTGGATATACGGAATTGGCTCTTATTAACCGTCTTAACGTCTATTTTCGCTCAAAATAGGCATAATGAAGTGGGGAAAAGAAGCGATTTGGCCGAGCCTGGCTGCTCTTTTCAGGAGGAGTTAAGGGGAGGAGACCTCTGCCCCTCACCCCAGCCAGGCCAGCTTCAGAGGCAGGGTTGTTGCATCTGCCCTTGTTCTTGAGCAGAGGGTTGGGGTAGGGGGAGGGGGAAGGAAGAAGAGGACCACCATGGAATCAGTTCATCATTGTAATACCTTAATCCTAGGTGGGAAAAATTAAAGTGGGATTTTAGAGAGTTCATTTGCATTAGCTTTGAGACCTGGTCAACATAATGCTCGGGGTTTTTTCAAGAAATGGCTGATAAGTAGGTGGTTCAATAAGACATGAATGAGTTCACTGGGCTTGGGGTTACCTTCTGATAGGCGTGTTAGACTCATGCGCAGACTTTATCACCAGGCAGATGAGGGTGCTCTTAGAATGATGAAATCCTTCCTATGATCTGTTTTTATCAAAAGCAAAATTGGTAGCCGTTCCTCCTTGCACAATAGCATTTGCCTCTGACAGGATGCATTATTTACTTCGGGTTTAATATACATTACAAGTAAGATTTGCTTTCATAGAAAAGCATTAAACATTTGGCAAAGGGAGAGCTGAACATTTTCCTTAATTTGTTTTGGCAAATCTGAAAAATAGAGGTCATTACACACATTTCTCCATTCCAGAAGCATAACTAGAAACAAAATATTTTAAGAACATCAAGATTATAATTAAAATTACCACAACAGTTTTAGGACCAAGAAGGCATGAGGCAGTGAGTGTCACTCTCTGCTGCAGCTCCCATGGAGTGGCTTCTAGAAGAAGCAGAAAATTAGAGGTGCAGGCTCTGCAAGCATTTTTTTTTTGAAATTCTTAAAAACACAAACTAACACCAATTATTCAACATCAGACTAAATTAGTTTATTTTTTTCCCCCAAAAACAAGCCTTTGTGAAGCACCTATGTGTATGTTCACATTTCTGTCATATGATATTTCGCGTTTACATGAACATTCATACTGAAAAATTAAGCATGCTTTTGTTTTGATTAACTGCAATCGGTTCCTAAAACCACAAGGTGAAAATGCAGCTTGCGCCAGCCACATCTGTGTCTTCCTCTTCTGCCCTCCAAATGAGCCACGCCGAGGCAGGGAAGCTGTTGACAAATTAATACTTTAAGAAAATAAACTATGGTCATGTTCAACATAGAGCAACTTTATCCTGATTAATTTGTGTTGGAGGCTCTCCAGCCCCCATTGACAAAGCCCCGCAGTTTGTACAAATGTAATTTCCTAATATTTACATGAGGAAAGCCTCAGCAGTTAAGCTTTGCCTCCAGTGTGAGTTTGTGGTTTGTAAAAAGACAATAAAAATACAGAGAGGTAATTGTAAGCACATTTGAAAAAGAAAGGAAAAAAGAAAGGATTTTTTTTTTCTATCCTGCTCTTTGCATAGCCCTGTAAAAATGGGCTGTGTGTGCACACTCAGGAAGGGAAGCCAGCGTTCAGCTGGCGAAGTTTTAAGTAATGTAACACCTAATACTTAATAATGTATCCCTGCAACTGAATACAGCTAACGAGCCCGCAGAACACCCACGGTTGCTCCTAACATGTATCTTTTGCATCCTGGCATAATTCATCTTTGTCCATCTACATGGTCTTGTCATTTTATGCCTTTATTTATATCGAATGTGAGGCACTTGTATGACTATCTGATTGAATAAATATGAAAAAAGAAAAATGCAGTTGGAATGTGTTGCTTTGTTCTGAGAATATTAAAAAAAATAACCTTTAGTTTTAATGAGATTTTCTCCATCAGTTTACACAATTTTCCAGATGCAAAATGAGCTTTTGGCTGTAAAATATTTTATCACATTGTCTTACACAATAAAGATTAGATGTTTTCTCTCTCTCAACTGCGCTGCAATTATTTTTTAGTGTTTGCAAATCATAATATCATTTAAAAACCATATTTTATACCTCATCTAAAATACTTTTATAGCAGTATGGTGAAAAAAATAACATCTATTTAACTACTCTTTTTAAGTGGCTGTTATGTGCTTTAGTATAATTTCCCAGGAAAAGGCATAGCTAAAAAGCTTAGCCTTCCTTGAAAACAAATCTCCCAAGCAACATCTTTGCAAAAATCCCCAGAATTTAATTCCCCGGACTAGAAAGCCCAGAGTGCCAGAATGTAAAAATAGTAGCCCTGTCATTTCACATTCATTAAGTGTGAAACTCAGAAATTAATAATGTAAAAATATGCTTTTTAATTAGTCTTACATTCTGCCCAATGTACTTAAATGGGATCAGAGGCTCCCTAATGATTTTTTTCTTAATAAAGTATTAGCCAGTGATGCACTGAGGTTGACAGGTATGATAAACTGGAAAGTACTTTTGGAGGCGTATGAATGATACCAAAATAGTACTCGCCCATTTAAATGTAATTAACATCAGGGAGCAATATTGCAAGAGAAGCCTGCAAGATTTTTATTTCAGGGTTTTTTTTTTCATTTCTTATTTTATGAGTAGTTTGATGATTGCAGCAGTGATTTTATAATTTAATTACCTTTGCTGAAAGCTAAGCTTCGACTAATAGCAGGTCAACAGGATCATAAAGCAGCCTTCAAAAATATTAAAAAGAAAGTAAATCCCTTTCAGTGGGCTCTGCAAGAATTCTGTGTGTGTTTACATATAGAGAGATACAGATCTGCAGAGAGAGGGATACAGTAGTTCCCCTGTATCCAGGGTTTCACTTTGCACAATTTCAGTTACCTAAGGTCAACCGCAGTCTAAAAATGCAAATGGAAAATTCCAGAAATAAACAATTCGTAAGTTTAAATTGTGCCCCATCCTGAGTAGCGTGATAAAGTCTCTTGCCATCCTGCTCCGTCCCTCTCTGGACATGAATCATTCTTTGGTCCAGCGTACTAAGCTTATTTATGCTCCCTGCCCACTTGTCACTTAGTAGCTGTCTGGGTTATCAGATTGAAAAAAAACATAGCATGTATGGAGTTCGGTACTGTCCACAGTTTTAGGCACCCACTGGGGGTCTTGGAAGCAAACCCTCCAGATAAGGGGGAAGACTCCTGTGTGTAGATCTAGATAGACGAGGATGTGTAGATGCATAGACGCAGCCTTCCTGAGCATGTGTTATTTCACGAAAGGTTCCACGTGGGGTGAAGGACCATCGGGAAGGAAGCCTGGTCACTTGTCCTCTGGAAAGACTTGATGGCAGGAAATCTTAAACATTCAAATTTGGGAAAAGGCAAAAGAAGCCCTGAAAAGGGCATTTGATCAGGGCATAAATATGAAAAATCATTGCTGAGTAAGAGACTCGAGTCAACTGTCATCTGATTACCCTCTAATGCAGTCTCCTGAAGACAGCAGCAACTTCAAATGGCTTTACTATTCTAAGTCACCAATAATAAATGGAAAATAGATTTCTTAACACGTTAGCATGCTGACTGTCAGCATTGTTTATTCAAGGACTTCCCCTCGGATCTCTGAGTAGCAGAGTCCCAAATGACGGTCCCTTTCAACTCAGTCAACAAGAAAAGAGTGACAGGACATATAATATATGACAAAACCCTAGGGAGTCTTGAGTTTGTCCCTTACCAAGAGGGTGGGCTACATGGCCAGGTTCTGTAGCCCTTTTGGGAGAACTCCTGGAAGCCAGCAGGAGGCTGGAAGCTCATGAGGCACCTGTCTGATAGACATTCCTGGGTGGCCATAGACTCATCCCAGCAGCTGAAGGACCAGCCTGAAGACCACCCCACTCATGCTCCTGATGCCTGGTCCATCTGCCCATGGAGCTAATACAGCCCCAGGACTTTCTTTTTTAACTAGCCTCAAGAACAAAGAGGTAGCAGAGCCATGACTTATTATTTATTGGGAATGTTAACAGCCTTTGTTGAGATCTCATAATACCTGTGTGTTCATGTGGTCAGGAAGCAACTTGGAACCTGAGGTCCATCAGTTGTCCACCTCTGTGTAGAGTTCAGCTCCTGTCCCTACCTGCTAACAAGGTAGCAAGCCTGATTTATTCTGAATTTGCAACTCCCCTCATTTAACTGTTTCTTCCCGTGCACTGATATATTTTCACCAGTTTGCAACACTGACGGAAATCCCTTAAAGAGAAGATGCACGACCTACGTTAGGAAAATGTTTGATTGCTTGATCATGAGATGTGCTTTCTGTATTTTACACAATGTTTACCTATTATCAATCATTTCTTTATTAGAAAGAAAAAGGGAAAGATTGTATCCAGAATACAAATTTTCATACTTTCTTAAAATTCAGCTGAACAAAATCCCAACTAGAAGCTCCCTAAGAGAAGGGTGGTGTTTTCCTTGCTCGGGGGGGCATCCCCAGCTGCTAGAATCCTGCCCAGGGCACATGCGCAAAATGAATGTGAATGAGTGAAAGAATGTCAGATATGACGTTTCCTCTGCGTGCCAGAGCCTCAGTGTCAGCTCAGATCCAGTCAAAACCTTGAGAGCTGCGTTTTTCTTAGTTCTTTTCTGACATAAAATGGAAATGCATTCTTCAGCTTTTCAGCCTATTGCACAAAATACCTGAAAAGTCATTACCACAATAAAGCTGCAAAAAA
Source organism: Homo sapiens (assembly GCF_000001405.40). Taxonomy (NCBI): domain Eukaryota; kingdom Metazoa; phylum Chordata; class Mammalia; order Primates; family Hominidae; genus Homo; species Homo sapiens. The sequence goes on along the minus strand of NC_000010.11, from coordinate 128,534,743 downwards.
GCCAAGCACTGGAGGCATCATGGGAGTGGAACCAGTCTTTATCACCTTTAACCACACAAGACATCTTCTGTTCCTCAACCCATGGGTGGAAACCCAGCCTTCGCCTCTGATGCTGCCAGGCTGGGTGTTTCATTGTTGGCTTGTTTCTGATGATTGGCAATCCATTTACCTAAAAGCATAGCTAATAACCATAGATTTGTCTACTGCAGAACAGATTATTTTTCTGTTACTATGTTACAGAATTTATCCTTGCTGGCGATTCATTCTACTTTTGTTGGAGAGACATACCAAAATGTTAACTAACTTCTTGACCAGTGATAATTTTAATTACATTCATTTTTACGAAGAATTATGCCAAAATAAACATATACACTTGTTTATATGTTCTTAAATAAAATAGATTTAAAAAAACTGATTTTTTTTTTTTGAGACAGAGTCTCACTCTGTCGCCCAGGCTGGGGTGCAGTGGAGCAATCTCAGCTCACTGCAAGCTCCGCTTCCCAGGTTCATGCCATTCTCCCGCCTCAGCCTCCCAAGTAGCTAGGACTACAGGCGCCCACCACCACGCCCGGCTAATTTTTTTGTATTTTTAGTAGAGACGGGGTTTCACCGTGTTAGCCAGGATGGTCTCGATCTCCTGACCTCATGATCCGCCCACCTCAGCCTCCCAAAGTGTTGGGGGATTACAGGCGTGAGCCACCGTGCCTGGCCTAAAAGTGATTTTAATAACCTGGGACTTTAATAAAATCTCACTGAACTCGAACATTTTTTGAGATTTCTAGGGGTGCTACACAATTAAAATAGACTTCTTGTATGAAATTGCATTCTACACAAAAACAAAACCAATTAAAACTAAGTGAAAACCGCTTCTGAACAAGCTAGCATAATATTCAAGAGCCAGTCTTCAAGATATGATCACGCCCAGCCCGATAGATTCTATTTATTGAATGCTGTTCATGACATCATTTGCAAATGAGGAAGATGAGGCCCAGAGAGTCCCAGGTGGGGACTTACCCGAAGCTATGCCCCATCTAAAGAATGCTCAGGGAGGCAACACTTGACACAGACCAGGGAGTTTTCAGAGGTCATGGGGCTTCACTCCACTGCCCTGAATCCTCCCTGAGGATGATGGTGTGGCCTACTGACATCACACCTGTGGTGTTCCTACCTCTCTGGGTCCCGACATGCAGATACCTTTGAATGTTATGGTTTGGGAAACACATGTAGTCACCCCCACCTGTCAAGCATATTTGGGGATCATCACATGTCACATGAGGACTGTATGGGCCATCATTCAGACAATGAAAGTTATAAACTATGTCAAGGTCAACCCAGGTTGTTTCTATTGACTTAATTGCACATTTGATTAAGACATGCTTACAAATAAATAGTAGCTATTACCAAAAAGTTTCACATAAAAATAATATAAGATTGTATCTCAGTTCCAACGAGTCCCCTTAGTTTCTTTGCCCTCCCTCATTTTCTTCCTTCTTTCCTTTACTCATTCCTTTCTCTCTTTACTGTCTTCCTTCCTTTTTTTCTTCCTTTCCTCCTTTCTTCTTGTCCTTTCTTTCTAAGTCCCAAACCCAGATGTGAAATCAAGTTGTCTTTCTGTCTGTCTTACTTCATTCTTCCTCTTGGAAAATATGACTTAGGCCATTCCCTTCAGGGGAGTTTAATTTATTTCCTGAATGAAGGGAACTTACAGGTGGAGTGTCACCTATGGAGAGACAACCAGCGTCTCTCATACCACCAGGAAGATCCTGGCAGCCAGCCTACCGTTTTCTGGAAACTTTAGGTTCAAACTGTGGTCAACCCAGGTCCTTGCAGGGCTGAACAGTCCATGAGTCACAGAGGGCTGTTGACATGCCCATCTCCTCCCATGACAGACCTAGTGGGCTTTGGGGTGCCCTGATCCCAGACCCACCAAGAGAGCAGCTCCAGGCAGACAGGAGGTCCCCACTGCTAGCCTGGCCTCCCCTCCAAGGCCACTCCACTTACCAAGGGGTGACAGTCCCAGAGCACCCCTCCTCTGTTTGTGGATCCACAAAGGGTTCCAGTTTGCTTAAGTGTGAAATGAAATCAGAGACATTAATGGAGAGTTACAGACAAATCACTGAACACTAAAGGAAGCAGCAGTAGCACACACCAGGAAAGTCAAAAGACCTGGTTCTAAGGGACACGCGAGTCCCAACCCTGGGACAAGGGAGCAGAGGACATCATACTGGGGATGTGCTTCCTTCCCGGAAGGACGGGCAACAGCTCCCACAACAGGCTTTCTTAATGGCCAATCCATGCACTGGCATTTGTGCAGGAGCCGGAGGGACTACTTGTTTACCGATTGGATGAAAGAACACGCTGCAGGGTTAGGAACACAGGACCAAGAGAGACCTGGGAAATCCAAGGGACATGAGTGAAATACAAACTGTGGCAAATGGGCCAGGTGCAGGAATTCCAAGGATCCAATTACTCCGAAGTTTTCTGCAGTCCCAAGAAAACTGGAGAGCACAGGACAAAGACACGGCCTGGCGATGGAGGATCCTTGTCCAGAGCCTCCCTTGGCTCCAGCCAAAGTGAGTGCCCGCAGCCCTACTGCCGGCCCTGGAACCTGCCTCGTCCCGTTCCAGTCTACCCTCAACAAGGAAAGGAGAAGCTCTCCCTGGCACCATATTTAGGAACAGATCTGAATTTCCAATGGAAACACAATTTGGATATGCATGATGACATTCAATTGAGGAAAGAACAAACTTGTCCATCATTAGGTTTTGTAAACGTCCAAACAGTGAAGTGATGGGTGGAAGATGTGCAATTGGTTCATTTAGGAATTTAGGAAGCCTTAATGTTTATCATAGATTAATACACAGATCATGTGTGTGTGTGTGTGTTTGTGTGTGTGGTGTGTAGACTATGTTTACTCTCTTTAGTAATCAGCTGAAACTGCTATGAAAAAAATTTCCTCCCACAGCTATGTTTCGGCAGTGAACATTCTTAGTCCTGAATCTCACCCCCTCCACATTGTTTCCAAAGTATATTCCTCCATCTAGCATGAAGAGTATAGTTTCAAGAACCCCTCTTCAAACATGAGACTCAGGGGAGGCAGGGTTTGAGCTAAGGTCTTCTCTGAGCTGTCATTAGGACTGCGATAATGGTATATAGTGAAGAGAAAAATAACAAAATGAGTGCTGGCTATTTCCTTCATTAGGCAGACCAAATATTTATGTATATATTGTAGGATAGATCCACTGTGTTTCAGCTCAGAAATTGCTACTGGGCTGCCAGCTGATTTAAAAAAGGAGTATCACAGCTCTGTAGTAAGAATAAAACATTAGCAAGGTCTATCATGTGCAGGGAACATTGTCTGCTTGGTGGAGCTCAACTCTATCCTGAGAGCAAGATGAGATGTGCTGGGACACGAGGGCCAGGAGGAGGCTGTCCAAGGGATGTCAATCAAAACTGAAGTCCATTTAAATATTGCCAGAGAAAGAGACACTTGGCAATTCAGGATGAATAATCCTGACTCAGTTGTTGGCCAAATTGGGATGCCATATTCTTTGATCAGAGGCATGATGGGCCTGGCAATTCATCACACTCTTGGAAAAACTCCTGAATGACAACAGCAGGTGGTGATGAAGGGTGCCAAAGGATGGGGTTTGGGAAGCTTCGTGGGGTTCACCTCTGGAGAACTCCCCACTCTGGGGAGGGGTCCAAAGACTGAACCTAAAGCCTGATTCCTTCTTGTGGGGGCCACTAAGTCAAGCTTGCCAAAGTCTGTCTTTGCATGGAGGAGGCAAGAATTGATTTCTACCCAAATGACCTCTAAGTTTAACCTGGAATAAGGACATCTTTGTAGGCTCAGAATTCAATCTGCTGTTGTAGCCTCAGAGTTAAAGAACTGTCTGCTACAGAAGCCAGAGCCTGAAACTGAGAAGGGTTCAAATTCTTGTTGAGTGATACCACGTATTTGGCAGACTTGGGTGACCTCTAAGTTCATTCTTTTAAAAAGCCATTCTCCTATCATATTTGATTTTTTAAAACTAGTAGTGTAAATTTGATAGTTTGTACTAGATAGTCTAAATTTGATGGTTTGGTCATCAGAAAGCGTGATGACTCATTTCTCTAGGTGCCTCTTAGCAGTTAAAATCCAAAATGCTACTAGGAGTAAGAAAAAACAAAAAACATTTCAGACCTTTCATAATCCTTAACTAGGCACTTCCACTAATGAACAGCAGATGGGGCTACAAAAATCACCAGATTAAAAACATGGGGTGGAAAAGAACCTTTTAACATAAAAACCAGTTCATTCGGAACCATTTCAAAACATAAACAGGGCTCTTGTTTGTGGTTTAAGATGTTGGTGTGTCTGTTTCCCGCCAGAGCTTTTGCATCATATTCCTGACGTGCTCATGAGTCCAAACTGACTTAATTTCTTAACACGGCAGATTTTTAAATAGTTTTCATCCTGCGTTCCTCTAATAATGTTACAATACAATTTCCTAAAAGACAAAATAATTATCTATGGTTAATTTAATCACAGAGACCCCACCCACCAATGTCTCAGAATCAGGATAAAACATGCTATGTATAGCCCTGTTACTATGTTCATGCACGTCTCATGCACACACACAGGTATTCGTGCACTCAAATTCTTTAAGTAATTATTTTTCGTTAGATTTAATAGCCTGCACCAACCACAGTCAGGAGAAATTCATGTATCAAGCTGCAGGCTTGCTTGTACGCTGCAAGCGTACAAACTTGTGTGAAAATGAGGCACAAATACAAGGGACAGAGCACGTCGGTCAAGAAGTGTCGAGTTGAAAAAGTGCACAAATCAAACCAGGAAATCAATTTCTCCCACTAGACTTTCAAGTCAAGAAAACAGTCCCTGTGATTTCCTTGAGAAAATAGGAGTGAGCCAGCCCAGAGTGGCCACTGCACTGGGCAAGCGCCTTCCGAGGCTCACCTGCTTCCAAGGCGTTTTCTTAGCCGCCAGCGAGGTCCATCTGGGGAGAGAGCTGAGCAAGTGGCAGATGGACAGATGCCACTTCTGGACAAATCCAGTCCACAAATGTATCAGTAACTTGAAAGCCACCAGATCTGGCTGTGCATTTGGGTCCACTGTTAACCAGATAAAGAAGGAGAAAGCTCCTGCCTCTGGCGAGGAGATGGGCTGCCCAAGGAGAGCTGTGATTTTCTGCCTGTGATATAGACTGGAGCAATTAACAAGTATAAATTGTTTCAAAATAAGCTTAAATCTGCATTTTATGTGTGCAGGTTTCCAGCTGTAATGGGATTATGATGTCAGCAAAGGGAGAGAAGTCCGCAGCTGCGGAGGGCCATGAGGGTAGCAGGCAGCTGTTAAAATAGAGAACTAATGGCGATTAATTCTTATTATGTGTTTGAAGATTTCACAAGGAGTTCAAGACCCAACGCTTCCCACGAGGCATGAAGGAGGCAAGTGCCTGGACTGTCACATTCCCCAACCCAGCCTTTTTGTCATTCAGGTTTCAATTGGATTCAGCGTTTTTACCAGCCCAGACACTCTGAGTATCTGCTGGGTCACACTTACGGAAAATAGCCAAGAGTGATGGCTTGCACTGGTGCCCAGCATCATCACGACCAGATGTTCATTGGCTTCCCCCTCCAGGAAACTTTGCTCTCAGGCCAGGGCAGGTGGCACACATTTCCAGGGACTTGGTGTCCCCAGGCAGGGCTCACCGGCAGCCTGGAGCTCCATGGCCCTCTGAGGTGGCCGCGCATCCTGGACGGGTCCTGCTATGTATGCAGAAACCATGAGCTCAGACCAGCCCTCGGAAACGTCACAAACAAATCGTTTTATCTTTTTTCTCCAACCATGTGCATACACGGGGCCAGGTACCAACTTTGGTAAGAAGCTGATTCATTTCTGAGGTTTTACGTCACTTGGATCTCTGTAAAATGTGGGTGTTTCCTTGTATAGATTTGTGTATAAAATTGGGTATTGTGTTCTGGAAAGGGAAAATTAAAGTAAAAACTATCATGTCACACAATATGAAAATTACATAAAATGTAGCTAAAATAATGTATAAATAGGATAATTTTACAATAAAAACAATCAAAATAAGAGGAAAAAAAATCTTGCAAACCTTTATGCAAAATACCTCTGGTAAAAGCATTCCAAGATATAAACTGAAGTTCAGAAGTAAGTAGCCCCAAAGTCAGAACACTTGAACTTCTAGGTCTGCAGTTACCAGCAAGAGAGCACTGGAAAAGTCAGCTTCATTATTTGTAAACTCTCTATCACAGAGGATACATCCAGCATGAAAGTCCAGTGACCTTAAAGGGAGAATAATAATCTGGCAATGATCTCACTAAATACTGGACTCAGAGCTCCAGGATCCAACCAAAAGGCTCTTCATCTTAAACAGCAGGATTTTGTATTCTTGCGTTAGCTTTTCAGGCCCCATTTCCTGCACTTGGGAGAAGTTCGCATTTTTTGAATGTGTATGTTGACCTAATTTAAGAAACTAGGAAGAGACTGAATTAGGAAAAGAAAGAAACACAACAAAGGCAGTGACTCAAATTGCAAGAGACCATGAGCAGAGGCTCAGAATTTGCTTGAATGGAGCCCGAAATCATGACCATTCCATTAAAGGAGTGATCAGGCATCACACATTGCATCTGTTCTCCAATAGCATGTCTTTTTTCTATTTTTCTGCATGTGCATTTTCCACATAAGGATGCATTCCTCTGCACAAGTCAGAAGGCAGGCGGGCTGAAATGTAAATGAGGCAGAATCGGGCCTGCATCGTTTTCAGAGTGGCCTTCTGGCTTTGACATCAGTCCTGGGGCTTCAGGGATGGAAACAAAGAGCCTCGTATTCCTGCTTCCTATCTCTGGGAAGATCATATTGCTCACTCCTCGCTCCCCCTTTTCTTTATTTTAGAAAAAATTGAAGGAGAAGAATTACAGAGTTCAAACCAGGGGGAAAAAAAAAATTTGAAGCGCCGTAAGAACACTTATGGTCTGCAGGGGAGGGAGCGGGAGCTGGGGCCCCGGACTGAATTTCAGGGCAGTTGATGCAGCTGATCCTGAATCCATCAGATGCTACACAGGATTCACAAGGTTCTGTGACCTTGGGTCCACGCCTTCCTAGCTACCCTGTAAAAATGTTTTGAGCTCACCTAATTTTCCATACAGCCCTACCTTGATAACTTGATTCTTATATCGGTCGTGGTTTGCTTTCGGTTCTTTTATTTTTAAATGAAACTGGAGCAACAATTATTGTTCTATGTTTTCCATTTTCCTTCCCTCAATAAGGAGTTTAAAGATGATGAAAAGTGCATCTGAACTGCGTCTGAACGCGTCCATCCCACCGTGAGTCTGTTGGTGTGCCTTGTACTTGAAGGTTACAACTTGGCAAAAGTTGATCAGAGGCAAAAATAACAAACCAAGATACATTTAACCCGCAGCTTAACATGTGCGGGAACTTGGTCTTTGGAGAAGGTTGGGCCTTGGCGGGTGGCACCGAGGCTGCCTCCGAGGATGTCCTCTTCAGGACAGCTTCCCAGGGGCTGCCCGAGGGCCCCGGAGCCCTTGCACAGGCCGGAAAGCTCCTGCAGGCTGCATGTGAAGGCTTTCCCGTGCATTGCAAAGTGGAGTCTAGGAGGGTTCCATTTCGCCCAGTGTCAGGGCCCAGCTGAGCAGCGGTCACAGCTGCTGTGCTCCGCAACTCTAACAGCCAAAGGTAGGGGGTCTTGGAGGTGTGCCAGGAACTGCCTGAGAGGTCAGAGGAAGGGGGAGGCTGTGGAGCTGGAGAGGGGGAGTGCGGAAGAAGGCTGTAATGGGATGGCAGGATGCCCAGGATTCATGGGGCATAAAGACGGGGAGGCGGGGTAGGGGCAGTGAAGGATTGTGGGGAGGCAGCAACCAGGCTGCAGAAACGAGGAGAAAACTGGGATTCGTCACAGAGAGTGGCCCAGAAAGACAGGTCAAATGGAATGGATTCAGCACAGAAATGTACTTTCTAATCTGGGTGTAGAGTGTCAACAAACATCTAGCAACACATCCTAAATAACAAACTGCCAAGCGCTGATCGGATCCCAAGAAAATGGACATTTCTTTGCACAAAGGCAAGTGTTTCCATAATTTTCACACTTAGTCTATGACAATCTACACAGGGAGGCAAGACTCTATTGACTAAAATGAAGATATTCACAACATGATATGCAAGAGGTTTTCACAAAAACTGTTCAAATTAGAACCAGTGATTTCTGATTTTTCCCAATGTTTTATTCCATTCTCCATTCCCCTGCTTCTGTGAAAATAAACTTTCCTCACCCTAAAGGTAAAGCAGTACAGTGCCGTTGGGCTGGTTCAGAAGATGGCTGAAATGCATTCTGCTTGATGGACAAAGGAGAGACTAAAATTCCAGAGTCCACACTAGCAAAGGACAGTCACCGAAGGAAGCTCAGTGGGCATCTGTAGGCCAGAGAACAAAAGAGAACAGAGCCAGGCAGAGCCATGGCAGTAAGGGGAAAGGGGAAAGTGCTCAGAGGGAGAGAAAAAGCAGTGAGCGCAGCCCCGCTGAAGACACAGGAGAGGGTGGCTTAGGACGGGTGTCACACAGAGGGGTGCCCGGGTACTGGTGCTCTTTGCCAAGGCTAAGTGACAGCTCGTGAAGACTTGCAGTCCCACTTCAGAAAACCGGCAAGGCACCCATCCAAAGGCCACTATCTTCTCCTATTCTTGTTTCCACCCATGCTTACCACCTTCCAACAAGCCCTATGCATCACTTATTGGTCATGTGTATCCTGCTTTGTCTGCCCCGTTCCACCAGAGTATGCCCGTGAGAGCAGGAACCGCTGTCTATCTTGTCCATTGATGGAGACCATGTGCCTAGAACAGTGCCTGACCAATGGGAGTACTCCTTGAATACAAACAATGAAAAACCCAAGTAATGCATGAAAGAGGTAAAACACATGGTCCTCTTAACTTTCTAAAGCACCAGTGTTTTTGTTTTACAAGAAAAACAGCACACGTAAACTTGAGGGAGTTCAGAAATGGTTATATCCACCAAGAAACACTGAGTGACAATGCAAGATCACTTATGAAATTTGAGCCCGTCAAGTTTATTGCATGTCACCAGCAAGTACCTTTGGGGAGTGAGGGAATTAGCAAACAAATTCCACAAACCACTGGCAGTTATTTTTAGCGAGGTACTGGGAAATGAGAGCCTAGAGGAGAAATGGCAAGAATGGATGTGAGAGTGATTTTTAACTCGAAAAAAGATTGATCCTGATTTTTACCATCTGGGAGCTAACCTAAATCCCTAGGAAAATAAGGCTCCCTCAAGCCAAGGTAAAATTAAAGAGACATAGCAATCCATACTCATTCATCGTTCCATGAAGCATCAGGAAGGGCTCCCTCTTATCCCGCTTTCTTGGCTGGTTGTGGAGCTTGTCTTGTGAAGAATGTAGTAAATATATTTACATTGTTTATGAACATGTCTTGATTGCAGTTAAACAATTGATGGAAGTTAATCCCATTTGGTTTATATAAAAAATGGTTGTTCAGAGCCTGAAAATGTATCTGAGTGATGACAAATTGGATTTACTAATTTGGGGGAGATAGCCTGTAGGGATGGGGATGGATGGAAAATAACGTGGGTGGTTGGGATATTGAAGCAGGTAAATGATTTAAAGCAGCTTTGGAAGTAGTTTGTTAAAAGTGAGTTGCCACGAAAAGTTCCCACCTCTAGTTTTGGGAGCTTCCCCCCACTTCAGTCCTTAGCCAGGCCACAGCAGGTGCATCACCTCCCTCTTCCCATGGTATCTCCACCTCTATCCCCATCTCTGCCCCTGACAGTCATTTCTGGTCCTAGACCTGGGGATTGTATGCTACCAAGTTGCAAATGACTGTGTCTTTGGCTCTGCCACCAGGTGCCTGGAGGACCACTGTGGCTAAACAGCTGTACCACGAGAGCCTCCCGATTGCTGGCCTTTAAATGCAGGGAAGCTTGGCACTTTGGAGAGAGGAGCGCTCTTGGCATTCAGATCGTGGGCCAACCCTCTCCAATGACAGGCAAGAATAAAGTCCCGCCCTACGTGCCCTGACTCCTGACCCATGGAGCCAAACCCAAAACCTGGTTTCCCTGACAACAGCTGCTTCTCTCTCCACTCAACATGTCTCTTTCCTTCAAAGAGAAGGAAACGTTTTTGACCCAATCCAGTTCTCACCGACATGTGAAGAGAAAGGTCTCACCCATCACTTATTTTTAGCCCCACCTTGGAAAGCGTCCAGTTGTCAAAGGCACAGAGGTGACCTGTTACTTTGTTTCTACTGTTGTAGAACATTCTGGGAAAAGAGCAAAAAAAGCCTTCTTCATACCTGTAGGTGGACCCTAAGAACAATACAGCTTTTCAACCATTTCAAGTATTTAAGAGAGATATATGTATATATATATATATATTTCTAACTCCATGTCATGACCAGAATGGTCTGAAGATATATAGGCCAAGTCCCACTGCTGCTTGTTGATGACAATCCTGGTTGACCAGTTGGACCCTGAAACGCATGGTATGGGGAAGAGGAGGGGGTCCTGGGATCTGTCACTGAGACTCTCTGACTCTCCAGCCTGAGCAAGTGCTCTACCTCCTCAAGTCTCTTTCCCTACTTATAAACCAGGGTTTAATAAGTTTAATAAGGCTGAGCACAGGGGATAATGAAAATAATGATGCTGACCATCATGCTAATGATAGCCACAATGGTCTTTTAAATCACATGTTGAGTCTCCATGATGCCCTCTTCTCAGTTGTACCAAGGATCCCTGTGGGATTTCATCACATCTGTCCTATCGGGGGTGTAAAGCCCGTACTGCACATTAACCACTGGCCATCAGATCAGGGAGCAGGGCTCAGAGTGCTGGGTCCTCAAGAGGCAAACGAATTCCTACACGTCCTCAAATAACTTTAACTTGGGAAGAGGGCCACAATTTGGCCGTGATTGGAGTACCGTTAAGGGCCACCTTCAGCACTGTCCAGACCCATCTGGATTCTCAAATCTACTTAGCCTTTAACATTGAGCTCCAAAAGTCAACCTTTCTTTGAGGTTAGGAATCACGACACGCAATGGAGGACTTCATGCTTGCCTGTCATTGAAGCAAGTGGGCCCACAGTCTGAATGCTTTCTCTAGAATAAGTACTTTTTCAGTTTCTTCCTTTGTGTCCAGTACCAGGCCCTGTGTTTATTTTCATTATCACATTTTATTCTTTCACTGACTCTGCACAACTTTTCCTTTTATCTTTTACTTTGCTTTTTTTTTAAAAAACAGAGCAACAGTGAAGTCTGGGACTCACCAAGTGCCCTACAGCCAATACAGTACTTGACACCGTGTGGATAAGATTTGTGAAATGGTTGAAGGAAAGACCTGGGGTTTGAGCCCAGAGCCCAGTGCAAGTCAATGACAGCAGGGACAAGCTTGAGGAGGAAGGTGAATCTGAAACAGGGTGACATCAGCAATGGCAGGGCCTGGTGACTGGAGTCCCTTTGCCTGGAGGGGATGGAAGAGGCTTCCAGGCTTGCTGGTTGCTACAAATGGAAATGATATGTCGGGGAAGCAGTGCGGTTTCTCAACGTTGTAAGCTCTGCCTGTGTGGGGGCGGGGGTGGCGCTTGAAAACAGTGCACATTTTCCCAGTCTTTATGGTTTTTTTTCACACTTCCCTTTTTGAGCTTTGTCTGCCTTCATTTTGTCTCTCCTCCACTTTCAAAGCTAGTTGTTTCACTGATTGAAAGCCACCTTTCAGTGACCCTCCTCCTCTGGGACTGTAACACAGGAAAGCTCTAGAATCCTAAGACTTGCATCTGGAGAAACATTCCTGCATACTCTGGATTGTGTGGACTTTATGTGATAAATGCTTGTTCTGGGAACCCCCACTTCCCATCCACGGCCTCTCTGGATTCTTCAAGAACCCAAGAGCCATGTCTACCTGGCTGGGCCGTGCTGCAGCTAAGAAGGAGGAGCAGCTGGACTGCGCTCTTAGCCACGGGGAGGATCTGGTGCTCTGGCTGTGGCCCCAGAGAATAAGGAAGACCCAGTTTCCTTGGAGAGGGGTCTAGGGTCAAGGCCTGGGATATTTACTTCTTCCTGCTCAGAGCCCATAATTAAAGGAGTCCTGGGATGAGTAGAAGGTAATTACTTCTTTTTCATACTCTGAGAGCCCTGCCTTGCTTCTTGTTCACCTCCCCGTCCCCCAGAAGTGGCCTTTGCAGCTGCAGACGCAACTTGGCCTTAAAGGAAGACAGTGCCTGTAGAGTAATAGGAGGCAGGGTGGGTGCAGGCACCAAGCTCAGGAAGCCTCGAGCACACAAGAAAAGACCTGGTCTGTGCTCCCTCCACTGAGCCAGGGGCCTCCAGGCAGTTACCTCCAGGCTGCTTCAAGCCAGACTTTTTATAAACTCTTGGTCCCTAAATAACAAAGTCAAACACAAAACTCAAATAGGAGACAAAAATTGCAAACAGCTATATTTTGACATTAGATAAAAAGAGAAAACGTATTGGTTGTGCTGAGAATTTCATGACAAATCCCACTTCACGCCATGGAAACTGTCTCAAGCTGGCATTGCAAATCTCACCCTGAGTTTGCAGGTGACCTGGACAGAGAAGGGTGAACACCTGGATGGAGAGGGTCGAACAAAGCACATCTGAGCACTTGGATCGAGCAGAAAAACAGAAGAACAAATGGACCCAAAGAAAACAAACAAAAACTAGACTCTGCTTGGGGCAGGGGACAATTAAAATAATCATTTAAAATTTTGAGGTAAGATGCAAGTTTCATTTCTATTGTGTAGAAATAAAAAGGAACCTGAGTTGAAGAATTGGCTAGAGTTTGCTTTCTTTGGACAATGAGGAATTCTTTCTAGAACAAGTCACAAATTTCAATGCGTGGCAAAGAGGAGGAAACAAGGAGGCATCTCCTGCACTCACAGGTGCTGTTCTCAGATGGACAAGAAGTTAGGTCATTCACCAGGTGAGGAGGAGGGCGGCTGGGCAACTGGCCCCTTCCTCACTTCACTCTCTTGCCGTCATTCATTCATGCAGCATGTATTCACTTATGATTCCAGAATCTTTCCCTTCCTCAAACTCAGCTCAAGCATCAGGTCTTGGAAGCCCACAGTTGCCTCTCCCTCCCATCCTCATATTTCCTGGCACTCAGCTACAGAATAATTAACAATGCTCCTCCTCAGGCCATAGCCCCTTAAGGGCAGTGATTTGCCTTAGCTTGCAGTGCCGGCTGGGCATGGTGGCTCACACCTGTAATCCTAGCGCTTTGGGAGGCCGAGGTGGGCGGATCACTTGAGGTCAGGAGTTCGAGAACAGCCTGGCCAACATGGTGAAACCCTGTCTCTACTAAAAATACAAAAATTAGCTGGGCATGGTGGCATGTGCTCGTGATTCCAGCTGCTCAGGAGGCTGAGGCAGGAGAATCACTTGAACCCAGGAGGCAGAGGTTGCAGTGAGCTGAGATCACACCACTGCACTCCAGCCTGGGCAACAAGAGTGAAACTCAAAAAAAAAAAAGAAAAAAACGAAAGAAAGAGAAAAGAAAGGAAGGAAGGAAGGAGAAAGAAAAGAAAGAAATGAAAAGAAAAGGAAAGAAAAGAAAGAGAGAGAAAGAAAGTGTGCAGCACCTTGTCTGACCCTGTCCCCAAATCAGTGCCAGGCCCTTGGAGGTTCTCGGTAACGCTTCCTGAAGCTCGTAGAAGAGTGTATAGTAGAATGCTTTGCAAGGCTTGGGTGTTAAATCCATTATTGTGACTATCAGAAGAACATGTCTGTCATTATGCATATGATGGCATCAAGACACCCTTGTGAACAGCCACATGAGGGTACAGATGAAGTAGAATGGGTTCTTGGAGGACCGGGTGAGGATGACTACCTTGGATGAGGGGAAAGGCTCCCTAGGGAAGGTTTCCATCTACCACTTCTTCCTAAAGGGATGTGTGTGGAGCTCTGTCAGCCTGCTAGGTGCCAGTGATGACCCAGCTGTGCAAGGCAGACGTGGCCCCCACCATGTATGTGAAGGTCACCATCCACGTGGGAGTGGCTGACCAGTAAACAGTCAGTGATACTGCAGAATTTTAGGGGATATGACCACAGAGAGAGACATGCCAGGGCATGCGTGTGAGAAACGCCTCAGCCAGGCCTCAGAGGCAGGGCCAGCCTCCAGGATGAACAACATGTCAGTGAGGAGCCAAAGGCTAGGGGTGGCAGACGGGCTATGGAGGGCGGAGCCCACCTATCTAGGGCTGAATGGAAGGAATTTGCAGACAAGGACAGTCCTCAAGACTTAGTGAATACAGCAACGAGGCTGAGACATGGACACGGAATGCAAGGTCAATTAAGGCCAGAGTGAACAGCAACCCATGTTGACCCGTAGACTTGTGTGAGCCGCTGTAAAGGTCTAAGCAGGTAAGCTACATATTCAGGCTGGACACACCTAAAGATGGCATGAAGGCAGGAGGGCCAGCTTCGTGCACCAGGGCCTCTGAAAGATCACATTGCCTTTTGTTGGATGGTGCCAACAGCCCCCTTCTCAGAAGGGGAAACCCCAGGAGATGCCTCAGTGACAGACATCAGGTCACAAACTAGAGACCCAGGCAACAGAGCATGGGCCTGGACTGGCACTGACCTTGGCCATCCCTGGATTCCTGACATGGGGAAAGTTACCCTTTTCTGAGCTTCCATTTCTTTGTCATCAAACTGAAAGGATGAAATGTTCTTGAAGGTCCTTCTCAGCCCCATGCACTGTGATGGAGGTTATTTCTCTGCAGGAAGCAGAGCAACTGGCACACAGAAGAGAAAGTAGAGGCTGCAGCATCTGCAGACGGTCTTGCAGTGTGAGGCACAGGAGCAGTGGGCTTGTCCATGAGAAGGGCCAGCCCCTCGGGGGAAGGCATGACTGCAGGACCTCCCTCTGTGTGGCGTCTGCCAGGGACACATTGCTCATCTCTGCAGCAGGGCTCCACGGCAGGGAGGTGGGGCGGGCTGTGCTGCTGCCATTGCTGCTGCAGAAATGCCTCTGGGTTGCTAATACTAATGATATTGGGAGTGTGCAGTGCAAAATTTAGTTTACGGAGAAAACAACTCTCTGGAGAAGGCTGAAGTCCATAGTGGGTCAGCCAGACCATGATTCCCTGGCAGAGTCTTAGCGACTTCTCAGACGAATGAGGCCCCCCCCGCCCTTAGTGGATGGGGACAACGGCTACTGCATGTGTCGATGGCTTTTCATGTGACTTAACACCATCACTGTACCAGGGATGTCACTTATATTGGCTTAGATGTGGCTCTAAGTTTCTTAGAGTAGGCAGGAAGAGTAGCTCTCCTTGGCCTCCTGAACTGACTCTCTTTGGCTGAGGTGGGTGGGGTGGTGCCCGGGGTGAAGTGGGGGCTGTAGGGGCACGGGGGTGAACTCACCTGCTCCTGTTCTGGTAGTTGACCCTCCGGTTGGCTGACAAGAAAACAAATGGAAGGAGACAGAGGACAGAGGAGAGATGTGTTCAAGTCGGAGAAAGTTCCAGAAAGAACAGTTGCCTGTGTTCTGTAGAGACCAGGGCCTCTCTGGTGTTAGAACCTCTAGACAGAGTGCTGTTCGGTTGCTTTGGTCATTTTCATGAGTATCAAAGGACATGCTTGTGCCATCACTGGGACCTGGAGTCCCTGCGGCAAGCGGCCCTCCTTCCCTGCCTCAGCAGAGGGGAGAGCCCTGCTACGGAGGACCAGCCGCCATTCGGAAAGGTCTGACTCTTCCACACCAGTCCGCAGGTAGGGAAGAAAACAACCGTGACTCACAGCCTCATCTTAAAACACTTTTCCTGATGAAAGAACTATTAACTAAGTAATGAATTTTTTATTTATCACTTAAGTGAAGCCTCACCGAAAGCAATTAGGCAGCGAAATTCCGTGAAAATAAAGCTTGAAATTTGATAGCACGCTTATTTCTTGCATTTTACATAATGGTCAATATTTTGGATTACACCCACACAGACTCTGGATGCCAGACAAAAGCCCACCCTTGCAACTGAGTGTTGCAAGAGCAGCTTGGAACACTCCTTCTCGAATTAAATCTAAACCTGAAACATGCTGGGGGCCCAACAGCAAGACACGGGTGCCCATTTAGTCTGAATCCGTATCGCCAAGGCAAAAGTAGCCTAGGCATAAGCGTTGGGAGCAAACAGCACAGGAGAAGAGTGTTGCAAAGGCTTTGAGAAAAAGACTGAACACAGAGCCTGGAAGGTGGAAATGGAGTCAGAACAGCCCCTCCAACTAGAGGGGTCCTGCCGGCTCACCCCGTCTCCATGCCCTCTGGTTTGTGTCATCTCCAAATATCAAAAGCAGTCATCAGAGGTTATGTGGAGGGGAGGGGGAGCTTTCAGCCTTGTCGACACTTCCCAGGTGGCTCCAGCCACCGCAGTTCTCTCTTGTGACTTTTTCACCAAAATGAAATCTTGTCTGTAGCTGCCTTTGCCTGTGTTTTGTTGTTGTTCATATTTTCCTTGAAGAAGCGTGAGGCGGCTAAAAGCATTCCATTGGAGATGCTATCTAATCAGCCGAGGATTTCCAGAGACCTCACGGAGGGCCGTGTGCGTGAGTGTGTCTGTGTGCACTTGTGCACACACACTCCTGGGTGGGCCTGCTCCTTTCCCCTTCTGAGGGTAAGGTTGTCACGTAGCCACGAAACTCCTCCGTTTGGCAATGTGGATTTTATGGGCATGGGTCCTGAATGCAACAGTGTTGCATTTTTAATGACGATGATGTTAAATGGACTTAATGAGTGACACTCTCTGGATTCACAGAGCATTTTTATAACATTTATTTTAAAAGGCCAAAGTTTATTTTACAATCAGTAATAAACAGGAACACAAACAACGCAGCCATTGCCACAATGGCCCTAACACGTTCCTTTTGCCCGCAAACTGCAAATTATTCTTGCTCGATAAGTGATGGGAAAACCAAAATTGAAGTCCTCTACAACATTTGATCATCTTACTTAAAAACAACAGATGCTCCAAGCGGTGGCATTTTGAAAAGAGCTCTGTCTGCTGCTGGTTATGAAATGGCAGGACATTTGGCATCCTCCTGCATCGCACCATTTGAAAACCGTAGAGTCACATAAACGGCCAGTGAGAGGTAGGAAAATTTAGCTCCTGTCTGCAAAGCACTATTCATTTCATTCCAGTGATGCAAAACTGCAGAGCTGCCTTTCAAAAGAAGAGTCTGCAAAACTTGCCAGACGAGGTAGTCTTTAGCAGCAAAGAGCACACACACACACAGACCACACACGCACACACACACACACAGACACACGCATGTACACACACACACACACACAGACACACGCACGCGCGCGCACACACACAGCACCAGAACACACTGGTGAAAAACAGGCTTAATAAAGCAGTTTTAATAAAGAGATGCTATTTTCTCATCTAGGGTTGTGCCATGACTTGAACGTTATTAAAAGTGAGTAGATATACACCCCTAAGCAGAGTAAAGCTGGACGCCCCCCTGATGAAAGACCCCCACGGCACAACCCAGGAGCAGAGCCTCACTGGGGAAACAGGACAGAGGGTCAGGAGCAGGGGAGACCACAAGGACCACTGTGTTTGTGTCAAAGCCTCCGGATGATGGCATGGCCACCACAGCCCAAGGAATAGCACAGCTTTCACCAAACCTTAGGAAGGGAGCCAAACTCAGCCTAATGGCCGATCTCAATTGGTGGTTTCCTTCTTTAGGATGTGAGATCTTTCTCCAAGGTCAATGCTTAGAGATGCCCAAATCTCCCACAGACGCCTTAGCCTCCTCGCCTACAGCAGGTCTTACACTCCTGTGTAAGAGGATGGAAACGTCCTGATGGAAATGCCCAAACCCCTCAAATCCTTTATATTGCCCCTTCCTGGACGACAGCCCCAGACTCTGGTTGTGGCTTCTCAGCCCCAGACCCCCTCTTGTTTAATTGTTTAATTGTGTCCTGCAGAGGGCAGCTAAGACATTTCATTCATTGTTCAAGGACAAATGGAGACGAGATGCAATTATTTAGAATATCCAAGCTCAACATTGCTTGAATCCAGCTGCTTACATGTTGGAGGCAACAGATTAGAACAAGAGTCCCAAGCCCCTCCATCTGCACCTGTGCATTTCAGGATGGGCCATGGACTTCTTCCTTCCTCTTGCATCTGACCAGACAGAACAAATTGCAAGCTGAGCTTCAAGGCTTTGGGGAGCCAGTGTTCTTCTGGGGCACCCAAGGTGCTTGGAGCAAAACCAAAACCATGAACGAAAGAGTTTCAGCCTTGGAAAAAGGAAGTGGAGGCTTCACAGTGGAGTGAGTGGCTGTCCTGGTTTCCAGTGAGAATCAGAGGCATCGTGGCCATCAGGACCAGTGTAGGAATGGGGCCCAGCAAGCCCAGTGGAGCCCTTTAGAGACATGAGTGCATGAACTCTCACCGCTTGCACAGTTTTGGCCCTGAATGATTGAAAACTACAAATACAATTGTGCTTCTCACTGCCATTTTCTTCTCAGAAACATGTCGGAGAGAAAACTCACAGACTCTTCTCACACTCTGTAATCACCTTGAATGGGGCCCAGGGTCCACTTTGCCAGGCTGAACCCCAATCCGTGAAAACAGTGTCCGTCCTCAGTCATGAACCCTCCCTCAGCCACTGACCTCAGCACGCAGCGGAAATGCAGAGTCTCAACGAGGAGGAATAAAACTGCAAGACCAGATGAGTCTCGCCCTAGAAGGAGAATGTTTTCCTCTCTTCCTAGGTTGAATATTTGTCCTGTCATTCAGCATAAAATTGCACTTAATATTTGATTCAGTGAATCCCAGAGAAAAGAGTGTGCAGCCAAAACTTGGGGCCATTGCCACATGTTTTTGTCGAGTATCATTGAACATAAACCTTGCTGGCTAAGAGCTGATTGGTTGGGTTTTATTTCAGCCCAGAGTGATTTTTTAAATGACTAATTTATAAAATCTTTGAAAATAAGAGTTTCTAATGGAAGTGCTTACACAACCATAACTCTGGTGTTGCAAATGGCACCATTGTCATTAAGGGTGTGTTGTTGTTTGTTTTATGCTAATCTGCCTTCAATGTGACAGACTGTCACCTGCACGGGGGGTACCGTTCAGCACTATATTAGCCCATATGGCACAAGCTAAATTGTATCGAAGCTATGGGCTAATTACGGATGAGTTAATAAAGCCAGGCAGAGTGAGCCTGGCCATCTCCCCCAGCCCTTGGAGGGCCCCTCCCTTCCCCAAAGTGAATTAGCCTGGCCGGAGCTTTCCAATTCTTCACAGTTTGGTTTCTGAGGACAAATCTGCAGCTCTGTTTTAAATAAACTTTTCATCCTTCCCATATTCCCACTGTTTTGATGCTAGACTTAAAAACAACTTCAGCAACCCTGGACACTTTTTTAAATAACTGATTTACTTAAGAACAATTTGGATTTCGGAGCATGAGATAGTCCATGCCCCTGGGACCAAAGGCATCAGTTACTTAAGTTACTCGGGTTTGGTTTCTAGGAATGTACAAATAAATATGTATTACATATTGAGGCTATAGGTACACAGCCAGCATAGACGCCGTGCAGCCATCCATGATGGTTCAGAAGCCGCAAGCATAAACCAATTATGGTAACATTCCATCAGCTTTTTAATCAGAAGAAGCAAACATTTAATTTTGATGGGGTTGATTATCAAGTTTGAAAACGTCTTATTTGGGTTTTCAGCAAGCTCTTTTCAGCTCTTCCTCAAGCACTGCCCAGGCTGTCCCGTCCATGTGGGGACAGTGGCATGTCATTTGCTGCCTCTCCAGCTCCACCTCTGCCACCAACCAGCAAGGGGAGCAGCCTTTCCTCCTAGCCGGGAGGGTAGCCCTGCAGGCCTGTCCTCGGAGACTGCATTGATGCCGCTCTGTTAATCAACTGGCACTGGGAACATGGGACACATTTGCCTTCTCCCTCCCAAAGCCAGCCCAGCCTGCTTGTGCTATGCCAGCCTGGGGAACCAGATTTCTTGGGTGACACCCTCAGCTTCTCCCTACGTAGTCTTTAGACGTCTCAATTAACTGGGACAGTGACTCACAAAACATGACAATCTGCCACTTCCAGAATATTTGCAAATAACTGCACTTTACATCCCCTGGAAAAGTTTACACTATGAGATGCTAAGCTACCAAGCCTCCCACTACCTCATGCCTCTTGCGGTGAATATTTTGAACACCAGCAAATTCCTCTCTCTCCCTGATATTTTTCACAAAGCACACACCCTTATTTTCACCCTTTCTATATTCTCAGCTACGTCATTGGCATCCAAAATTTAAAAAATAATAATACAGCCCCCAAAAAATAAAAGGGCAAGAAGTCAATCAGACTTGCATACAGGGAGGCAGCAGGCCCAGCTCTCCCTATCACTGGCCAGATGATGGCGGGCAGACGAACTGAGTCCTCCTCCTCCTGCCTGCACTGCCCTGTCTCTAAGGAGGGGAAAGGGACACTACCTACTTCACAGGCCTTAGGAAGCTCAGTCCAGTAGTAACTACAGGATGCAGAGAACTCCACAAAGAGTGGAAAAATACATGCATATATGCTACTGGCCAGTGACCCAGTGATATGGTTTGGCTGTGTCCCTACCCAAATCTCATCTTGAATTGTAGTTCCCGTAATCCCCACATGTCACGGGTGGGACCCAGTGGGGGGTAATTGAATCATGGGGACAGCTATCCCCATGCTGCTGTTCTCATGATAGTGAGTGAGTTCTCATGAGATCTGATGGTTTTATAAGGGTCTTTTCCCCCTTTTGCTTGGCACTTCTCCTTGCTGCCTTCATGTGAAGAAGGATGTGTTTGCTTCCCCTTCCACCATGATTGTAAGTTTCCTGAGGCTTCCCCAGCCCTGCGGGACAATGAATCAATTAAACCTCTTTCCTTTATAAATTACCCAGTCTTGGGTATGTCCTTATAAGCAGCATGAAAACAGACTAATACATCCAAGAATGCCAAAACAACAACACAAACCTTGACTTCACTGTATCAGAGGTAAAAGGCTGGGGCTGGAACAGGAACTATAGTGTCCCCCAGACTCTGACCAGCTCACAGGAGAGGTGTCCTATTCTGCTTAGAGCCTGAAACCAAGTCTTTTCTGGCCTAAAGATGATGCTTGAGGCTGATCACCCCTTCCTGTGTGAGTCAGGGTCCCACATGGGGATCTATGTAATAAAGAATTCATAAAGAAGGCATTTGCCCTCACATAGATATAGGCATGAGGCTGGATGCCCTATCTACGGGAGGTTCCTGTTTCCACATCTGGTGCTGGAGCCAATGTTCCACAGAGCTAGCCATTAGGGAGAGAAGATGGTCATGAGGAGAGAGACTAGGACCAGCAGGACTTGGGTGGCTGAGCTGGGGCCCTCAGGAGGAACTGGGATCTGGGTGCTCTCCTACCACCTCTCGGCCTCCATTGTTAGTACCAGGACTTCTCAGGAGAAGTGAGTGTGTCCCCTCCCCAAGGCCCTAACCAGCACAGGACCAGGGTTCAGAGAAGCTGAACAGAGGAGAGGGCTGGAATTGAGGAACCCTAGACCCCTCCACTAAGAAATGACCCCGCATGAGCTGCAAGCACCCCGGCACCCCCAAGGACCTCCAGCCCCTCCCTCATTGGCACCTTCCGTGTCTCAGAAACAATCTTGTGGCCCAGGCTAGCCCAGAACTCTGTGGGGAAGGGAACTCTAAACTGATGTGATACAGCCTCCCGCCAGTGCCACCTGGGGATGAGGTTACCCAGCCATGGTTGAGCTCAATATGAAAATGAAATATCCTAATTGACATAAAAGCAAATGTTAGGAGAGTTGGCCAAACATGTTCATGCCGAGGGTTCCCTCTAAGTCAGATGTGTAGGCGGCCCATGTTATCGGCCTTCAGGGTTTTGTAAATTGCTTGGGAGCAGAAGGAGCTTCTGAGGTCGAGTGTGGTCTGGCGAGAAGTGCATGTGGCAGTCGGTCTTTGCACCTCGATGAACAGCACAGCCAGGCAATTCCAAAGGAAAAAGAAAGAGCCCAGCTTCCTCTGGAGCAGGGGCCTTCCTCAGGATGATGGCACCCACTTGGCTTCCCTCTGAAGATGAAAAGGCCCAGTTCTCAATCTCCTGTGAGGATAGCCCATATTTCACTCACTCCAGCAATGACTGAATCTCTGGCTATGTAAGCTAGCCCTGGTAATGAAATTGGCTTCAGAGTATAGCACCTCCCTGCTTCCAAGTTTACAGGCCCCAAAACGTAGTGTTTGTGACTCACCCACAAACGAAGTGTTTTTCATTCTCTCCCTGGTGAAAAGTGGAGCATTTAGGGGTGAAAGACTGCACTGTTCTTTCCTCCTTTTCTCAGCCCATACAGACACTTACACCTCACAACCCTTCCCCACTGGCAACCAAGCTATGCAAGTCCGTGGGAGCCAGGTCATGCACATGGCTGTGTCAGCCCAGATTTGCAAAGGCAACACAGGTAACCCCTGCTCTTTCCTCCTTCCCAAATGCAGGGAGGCTATTTAGCCTCCCCCCTCCAGATAGCAGAGAAGGCATCATCATTTGGTCATCATGACTGGGAGGGGTGCTCCTGGTAACCAGTGAATAAAGGCCACAGATGCTACAAACATTCCACAAAGTACAGGACAGCCCCACAACAACAAACAACCCAGCCCCCAAATATCAGTAGAGTTGAGGTTGAGAAGCCCTGATTATGGGAAGTCCATATTTTCACCTAATTCCCAGTCTTCAATTTTTCACAAGGGATCTGTCCTTTCCTCTCCAAAAAGACACTGCATGTGCTTGAGGTGGAAGAGATGTTAGTTCTGCAATTTGTTTGTAAGAGTGGAATACTTTGACTGCATTGGCCAAAAAAGAAATTGAAACAAAAAGGTGACAACGCATTCTCCCTCTCGTGAACACCCAGAGCAGTTCAGTAAAGCTCAGTTTTCTGTTGTATAAAATATCTTCACACTCTCCTGCAGAAGGAAGCAGTGGGGGTGTCACTCGCAGCCTCCCCACATGCCAAGCTCTGTGCTGCCTTGCTGCGAGGACCAATATTGTAAAGACAAGGGCTGCCTGCACGGTCACTCTTGGGCTCTGCAGAAGCCACACAAACACAGACACAAAGAGGATGAAAGAGGCAGCACCAGGGAGAGTGCCCTGAAGGAGACCCGCCGCCAGCCGCTGGTATGTCAGGGAAAACAGACCAGTGCACGCCAAGCGGGAGGAAACAGATTTACTGCCCGGCAGGATGAACAGAGGCCTGGTCGCCACGGAAGCTCTGAAAACACACCAGTCACTCCCATAACACATGCCTGGAGGCCTCTGAATCTCCATGTGTTAGGCCACCAGTCACAGACATTCTCCACAAGGATGGTCCTGGTACCTCCAGCAACATGGTCCTGTGGATGGGATCCAAGGCGAGCTCGCACCCGCTCTGGCAGCACCATCATGGGACAAAGACAAGCACTCTGCCTGGTTTGGCTACAGCGAACCTTCCAAAAAAGATTGCTAACACTTGCACTGGACTTCCTATGGAGGTACTTGTGAAGCATTTCACTTACAGGGTTTAGTTGAATCCCTGTTTTACCCATTAGAACACAGGGGCACAGAGAGGTTAGGTGATTTGCCCCAGCCCACACAGCTAGTACCTGGCAAGTCTGGGTTCAAACTGAGGTAGCCCAGGTTCAGAGTCCACAGTCTTACCCCTGATCATAGCCCAGAAGGTCTGCTGTCTGACAAGAGGCAGCTGGGCACCTCGCCTCCTGAAGCTCCCAGAAAGCATTGGCAGAATGGCCTCCATACTCTCATGGCCCCGGCAGTGTTCAGAAGCCACTTAGTAAGTGTAGCTGAGCCCACTGAGTGCCATTACAGTGACCATCCTTCTAAGGCCATGCACCTGTCAGTCCTGTCCGACGGGGAGCCCTGGTCCTAACTGGGGGCACAAGAGGATTTAGTCAGGTGCCTCCTTCTCCCTGCTCACGCCTGACATCCATGATTCTGCGTCATTTGCATTTCTGAGATTGGCTCGACCCAAAGTGCTTGGAGTAGGCAGGCCCTTGGCTGTAGCTGCACATCTCTTTTAAATGAGAGATCCCCGTGCATTTATCTCAGTGGGATGTCAGCCAGGCAGCAAGTGCTTTGTAACTTCCTTCAGAGACCCTTGTTCATACAGACAAGTTGCTTCCACGGGTTACTTCTGGCTACTTATTCCTTCCACTCCGCCTTCTCTTCAAAGACATCTGCGGACTGGACTATTTCACAGCACACTGTGCTTGCTATACAAATTATTGATTGCCTGTTTTTAGACCGTTTTCTCACACAGCCTCCTGTAGTGAGTTGAGAATGGAGTTCCATGAGTAAAGTGCACCTTTTCTCAAGTTCAACCACCAAAACTGTTCTGTGTTACAAGGCTCATAGGATGTTCTTATCTTTACTTCTTCCTAGAGATGTTGTTAGTCGGGTGCAGAAGTGTATGCATGAGTTTGCTTGTTTATACTTTTTAGTGGTGTGCCCAGAAGCCCAAGCTACAGTGGGAATTTAAGGTTTCTTACATACAGAGTGCATTCTTACCTAGTATAAAATAAAAATCTGGGACCAGAGAGGCCATACTTGCTTTTACCTCTTAGAAAAGCAGTTCCTGTGGCCCGACGGTTAGCAATGCACACTGACACATGTGTGCGTCAGTGTGGAAACTTTTCATGACCATCTTTTAGTGTCCTGAGCTGAGACTGAGAATTTCCCAGAGGGCTCATCAGTGACAAGGGATTGATTTATACTTACAACTGTAAAGGTAAGAAGGAGAGTAGACATTAGAGGCTGAGTCAAGCACCAGAACTTTTGGGTGATGGCATGAGCGTGTGTTTGTGGGGGTGGATACAGGCAGTGATGGGTTGGAAGATGCAGGCTGTGGCTGTATTTTGCCTAGCATTTGGAAGTTTACAAATATGTTTTGAATCCTAAAGTTAGCTTAATGCCTCAAAGCCAGACTGAAGTTGACCATTGTCTCTAAAATTTGGGGGATCTATAGCCCCAGCCGGATCTGCAGGTGCCTGGTATAAATGTGTTCACGAGGGACTCCTAGGTAATGCCGGCTAATTTAATTTTATTGTGAATTGTTATCATACCAAAAACATTACAGCTGGTGTTTTGCAAAGGAAAATAATATTTTTTAAATATATTGGCTTTCCTAAGGTGACATGTCCATCAAATCCCTTCAACTGTTTCACAACCTATTAATTAGATTAAGGCAATTTAATGACTCAGGCATATAAAATGCCTTACCTTACCTCTCCCTCCTTCACTAATGCATACATAGACAGAGAATTAGGTGGGAGAATTTTAAGGCCAGACTCATATAAGCTGGGAGATTCAAATTAAGGTTTAATTAACCTGCTTAGTACAAGAATCTCTGAACAGCGGGAGATTTTACACACTGTTACATGTGATCTGTAATAACCAGGCACAACAGGCTTCTTCACAACCATTATGTGTACCAGGATATCTGCCTCAGCCTATGTATTTGATCAAATGTCTGGAACCTGTCGATTCCAGAAGAAAAATGCTTGGAGCTATCCTCAAAGATTATCCTTAGGCTGTGCACATATACTGAAGAGCCTGGGAAAAGGTTTGTATTAATCCGTGTTCACACTGCTGATAAAGACATACCTGAGACTGGGCAATTTACAAAGAAAGAGGTTTAATGGACTTACAGCTCCACGTGGCTGGGGAAGCCTCAGAATCATGGCTGAAGGCAAGGAGGAGCAAATCATGTCTTACATGGATGACAGCAGGCAGAGAGACAGCTTGTGCAGGGAGAGTCCCATTTTTAAAACCATCAGATCTCATGAGACTCATTCACTATCACAAGAACTGCAAAGGAAAGACCCACCCCCATACTTCAGTCACCTCCCACTGGCTTCCTCCCACAACACTAGGGAATTGTGGGAGTTACAATTCAAGATGAGATTTGGGTGAGGACACAGTCAAACCATATCAAGGTTGCATTCAGTCAAGACACCTATCATGTCATAAACAACCAGTTGGATTTGTCAAATGATTGACTAATCAATACACTACTTATTGTCTGCTCAGATCGTGTCTCATGTAACAGCCCATGGTGAGTTGAGAGTAGAGTTGAAACTGTAATTTGCACCCTTTATTCCAGTTTAACCAGTTGAGTACTCACAGGGTAATGCACCCTTTATTCCAGTTTAACCAGTTGAATACTCACAGAGTAAGCCAGATGGTTTGCTTTACCTTTGGGCTAGGAGAAAGGGCCTGATTGGGCTCAGTCATTGGTGGCTATGTGGATGAGCACATTACTGTTTTTTTTTTTTTCCTGCAGCAGAGGGGTTCTATGGTTTAAATGTTTATCCCCTTCAAACCTCATATTAAAACTTGATCCCCAGTGTTGAAGGTGGGGCCAGAGGTGTTTGGTTTATGGAGGCTAATCCCTCATGAATAGATGAATGCCCTCCCTAGGAGTGAGTGAGTTCTCACTCTATTAGTTCCACCAGATGTGGTTGTTATAAAGGGCCTGGCACCACCAGCCTCTCTCTCTTTCCTCCTCTCTCATCCTGGGATCTCTGCATAAGTCAACTCCTTTTGCCTTCCACTGTGAATGGAAGCAGCTTAGAATGAAAGATCTTATCAGATGCTGATCCCAATCTTGAACTTTCCAATCATCAGAATCATGAGCCAAATAAACCTTTCTTCATTGTACATGACACAACCTCAAATATTCCTTGGTAGCAACCCTAAACGAACTAAGGCAAGAGATACATTGGGTGTGACTTTTACTATGAGTTGCTAACCTGTTTCCTTCTTATCTTAGATTAATTCCATATAAGTATGAATCCCAAGAGTTTGGGACCAGTTGATAGTCTGTATATTTTCCTTCTTCGAAACCAACATCTCACTTTTCTCAATTAAATAGTCACTTTTCAGGTGCTATGCTTAATAAGGAAATTATAGGAAGATTGATGTGCCATCTAAATCATGGCTTTGTGTGTGAGTGAGATGACTATGATAAAAAAAGTATCCCTCATATACTTGGATGAATGAAAAAGAGAAGGAAAAAAGACCCTTTCATTGATTGGATGAAAGATACCATCCCTCCTTTCTAGATGCATTGAGAGCTCATGGTAAGAATCTTTACACGTATAGCCCTTCCTTTCCCTATTTATATCCTACCACAACTTCCTCCCTACTCCCTACACTTCAAATCAAACATGGTAGTTGAACATATCTGGCAACTTCTCCTTATTAGACAGACTAAGTCCTCCAACGTAGTTTTCTGTAAGAAAAGAGGTTCACCATGGACAGTGGCCAAGGCTGTGTCCAGATGTACCAGAGTTTCCCAGAACTGTCTGGAGAATGTTCACAAGTTAGAGGGTCTTTGGCATTCCAGCCTCGTGGGAAAGGAGGCAACTCTGTCATAGGTCAGCCAGCTAATCATTGGCTCTTTCATTCTTCCATTCAGCCTTAAAG
Source organism: Homo sapiens (assembly GCF_000001405.40). Taxonomy (NCBI): domain Eukaryota; kingdom Metazoa; phylum Chordata; class Mammalia; order Primates; family Hominidae; genus Homo; species Homo sapiens. The sequence goes on along the minus strand of NC_000010.11, from coordinate 128,507,190 downwards.
ATGCAGCCAGACACATGGTTGTCAGACTCCTGGGGATGACTTATTCCAGGTTTATGTCATGAATAACTATGAAATGAACATATCAGTACTCATATGTGTTCTCTGAGTATGAAAATTTCAAACAACTTAAATTTTATATATATTTGAGACAGGGTCTTGTTCTGTCACCTAGGCTGGAGTGCAACAGTGTGAACACAGCTTACTGCAGCCTCAACCCCCTGGGCACAAGTGATCCTCCCACCTCAGCTTCCCATGTAGCTGGGACCACAGGCACATGCCAATACACCCAGCTAATTTATTTTTATTTTTATTTTTTGTAGAGACAGGATCTTGCCATGTTTCCCAGGCTGGTGTCAAACTTCTGGGCTCAAGTGATCCTTCTGTCTCAGCCTCCCGAAGTGCTGGAATTATAGGCATGGGCCACCTTGCCCAGCCATTAATTATATTTTTGAGAAACTAAGTAAACCTACATCACAAATTCTTCTATATAGAAGAATTCCAGCTGATGAAATGGAAAGAATGATACAATAAACAATCACTATTTTGCAAACTCTCCAAAAGTTGCTGATTCAGGAAATGATCAGCAATAGATGGAACCACTGGGTAAAGGCTTCATGGGGAACTTTGGAGGCATAAGGCTGCCACCATAGGAACTCATTGATCAATTGCACATCACTAAAGGTGGAATAACCAGGTGCTGTGGACCTCCTCATAGGCTACATGTATGCTACACGTAGAGGAAGCCACAATGTTTGCCATTTGAATGATCTTTAGCAAAAACATTCAACCTAAATCTAATCAAGTGTTTAGAATTAACTTCTAGTTTTCAGGAAATATGGGGATAGACTACCATGTTAAATGACACAATGAGGAAACAGACAGACAAGTTCATTTAAAGGACCACTGAGCTGGTTTCCTTAACAAGTCAAAGCCACGGAATAAAACAAAAGGAGGGTGCTTTAAATAGAAAGAGACCTAAAGAGACGTAGCAACCAAATGCAAAGTGTGGAGCTTGTTTGAATCTGGATCTATACAAAGCAGCTCTAATTAGACCTGAGACAACTGAGGACACTGGATTAGAGATTGGGAATTTGATTATTCTAAATGTGTATTTCTCGTTGTTGTAAGATAATGGCATTGTGCTGATGTGAGAAAATGTATTCTTTAGAGATTCACAATGAAATACATAGAAGTAAAATGAAATAATATCTGGAATTTGCTTTTAAATACTTCAGCAAAAAAAAAAAAAACAAGTAGTGCAAAATTCTGATAACTACTGAATCTATCTGATGAGCACTTGAGACTATACCATACAGTTTTCTCCATTTGTTTGTATATTTGAGTTTTTTTTTTTATAAAAGAAACTATACTGTTGTTGTAGAAGGAAGAAAGAGGAAAATTAGGGATAAACGGAAGAAAGGAGGAAGTTGGATTATCCTCTATTTTACGTGCACACTTTGTCCATGAGGGGTTATTGCCTGTATTTGCCTAAATATGGTGTTGGCCATGCTTGTATCACACATAAAAGTCCCTGCTGCCGAGGCACACACTATTTACCAATGTTACTAGTGAGAATTTCACTCTTTCCTGAAAGTTCAAACAGAGCTGGGGAAGGTGGTTGCAGAGCGCTGGAGGGCTCAGCGAGACATCATTGTTCAACTGCCCTCCGCCTGCTCAGCCTTTGTTAATCTGGAGAAAGAAGAAAGCACATAAAAGATTGCCCTTTAATTATTTGTGATCTGCCTTAGAAACATCTTTTGGAGGAAAATAATACTCTTGAAGGTGTTTTTCATCATAAATCTAATTTAAATTAGTACACCAGAACCTTCCTTCCTTCTATAAGCGCTAGTCTTAATTCTGAGCCTAGAGAAATATTTGCAAGAGGGAGAAACTTACCAAAGTGGTGAATGTTAAACAAATGTTTAACACTATATGTGAATGTTACAACAACACTATAGGTGACACTATATGTGAATGTTACAACAACACTATAGGTGAATGTTAACAAATGTTTTCCACTATATGAGCCATGTGGGCTATGAAATCAATTTAATAGGTCATGGCCAGCGTTTTAGAAAACAACAATAGGCAAGAGATAAGAATCAAAACGCATTTCATATAAGTATTGTCTTTTCAGATTTTTATTTCAAGTACGTCAGCACTGAGTGCTGGGTCATGATGTGAAATGTATTTCTTACTCTGATTGCCCTTAAAATGTTTGATAAACATGATTCTAGAAATAAGCATGACTCTGTGGACGTTCCTTTCATACAATTAACTCCTTAACTTCATATGAACATATTATGCTTATTTATTATTAAACGTCATTTCCAAAGACTGTGTAACATTTGAATAAGTTAAGGGAAACTATATAACACAAAACTGGATTTCCTTGAAATTACAGTCACCTGTTCTGATTTGTACATCTGGAATAAATTACTGTCCCTGTCAGATGTAATTGAGAGGAACAAGAAAATTTAGTGCCATACAGAGCAGGAGAGTAGAATTTAAAATATTTACCATTTCTTCAGATAACACTATGCAAAGCAACCCCGTTACAACAGTGCAAGCCCATATGCCCAGTAATGGGCTCAAACCCTATAGTTGAGAAGTGTAACTATGAGAAGGGTTTTCCAGGAGAGGAAGGAGTGTGCTCTGAATGGATGAGAGAGTCCACTTTTGATGAGCACTTAGGTGTGATGTTAACATGCACTTTCCTGGCCTCTGGAATGTTCTGCCACACAGCCAGGCTTCCTTCTGTCTTTCATCTTGCCAGCTGCAGCCATTGTCAGCACCCCATCTCCTAACTGTCCTGGCACAGTTACCTCCACGTATTGTTGACATCTTGGCATCTGAATCTTCTCACTCTTTGCCCATCTAGACTGAAAGGCCATGTTGCTTTTTCCAGGGGCAAAGACACGGCAGTGTCTCAGCCACTGCACATGAGAGCCTGGGAGAACATGGTCTGGTGGGGGCAGAGAAACAGAGCCTAGTCTACACTCTGCCCTGCCTCCCACTCCCAACCTGAGGACAAGGAAGGAGGCTGTCTGCACACAGCTGCTTGGAGCCCCATCCCACCTCCACACATTTTGATGCTTCTACTCTCCACATTTCTCAGTCCTGGCTTTTCATACCGATCTAGCAGTCAGGAGAGGTCTCTTGATTCTCCTGCAATTCAGTTCTGCCTTCAAACAGCATATCACAGCAACTCATTTTTTAAACTTTATTTTTTGCGCATATACTGGGTTGAACAGTTTATCCTCCAAAAATTCATACACAGGGAACCTGTGGATGTGAAGTTATTTGGAAACAGGGTCTTTGCAGATGTAGTCAAGTTAAGATGAGGTTATAGTGGAAAAGGGTGGGCCCGAAATGCAGTATGACTAGTGTCCTCATAAGGAGAGGGAGATTTGAGCACAGAGACACAGATGGGAACAATGCCACATGTAGGTGGAGGCAGAGATTGGAATGATGCACCTGCAAGCCAAGGAGCGCCTCAGAGCTGGCAAGGACAGGAGAGGCAAGGGAGGCTCCTCCTCTAGAGCCTGCAGGGAGGGCATGGCCTGTGGACACTTTTCAGACTTCTGACCTCCGGAACTGTGAGACAGTCATTCTGCGGTGCTTTTTATTTTTTATATTTATTTTTTTGAGACAGAGTCTCGCTTTATCCCCCAGGCTGGCGTGCAGTGGCACCATCTCAGCTCACTGCAAGCTCCGCCTCCTGGGTTCACATCTATGGTGCTTTCTTACAGCAGCTCTAGGAAACCAACGTAGCCCACAGAGTTGTTCCAGATTTAGGAAGCAAGGCCCAGGAAAGCCAGCAGTGAGTGCAAAATCAGCACTTGCACAAAAGAAGCACGGATGCATATTTCCTTGGAACTGGGGACCAGGGTGAGGGAGGGGCACGATGCCATTCCGAGTTCCTTTAAGCAGGAGGCCTGTCCTAGTTGAAAATTGGCCAGGCATGAGTGGATGACCAATGGCTTTTCCAAATTCACCTGCCATATTTACCAGGAGTGGAGTTCCTCCTGAATCATGATCTTGTTGGCTGTCAGTCTTCGGTCTGGATATTGCATTTACTGTGTATGTGTGCGTGTGTGTGTGTGTGTGTCTGTGTTTTCATGTGTGCATGCATGTGTTTACATGTGTGTATGCATGTGTGTGCACTCATGTGTGCATGTATGTGTGTGTCCGTGTGTGTGTATGTGTGGGTATGTCTGTGTGGGAATATGTTTGTATACATGTCTGTGTGTCTGTGCATCTGTATGTGTGAGCACATATCTTTGTCCTCTCAGGTATTTACAGGGAGGCCATGTCAGATACTGGATTTTTGGAGAAATGAGTTGTATAAGAGAAATAAGTAAACAAGGAGACAAAAGGGGGACTTTATGGTTAGGCTGGATCCAGGAATAATCCATGCCGGCTGTCTGGGTGTGGCGTTTTGGGAGCCCACATGCACCCACATAGCTCCTCCACTGGCCATGATATTGGAATTAACAGAGACCTCTTGAAGCCATACTCTTCTGAGCTAGAGGAAAGAAGTCAGAATAGTGAAGGGGTGAGTAAGGCTACTTATTTGGAGGCCCAGAGCCCCAGTTCTACTGGCCAGGAAGACTGGGGGGACACACATTGGCCGGCCCGAGTGTTCTGGGATCAGGGGAAAGATCAGCTCCCTCCAGCTGACCCCAAATGGTGGGGCACTGTGGAGAGCAATAGGGGACCTCATAGAAATCTGAGAACAGCCAGAGACTGCCTGGGGCTGAAGGACAGCAGGGACTCTGTATCTAGTGATCCCAAAGACTCACAGTAGGAGGCTGTGGCATCTCATTTTAGTCCCCACCACTGACATGATGCACAGTCAGTGAGAGGAGACAGTGATTGTAGGACAGAAAGCGCTATCCACGTGGAGAACGTCCAAGTGATGATTGAACAGAAAGCGCTATCCACGTGGAGAACGTCCCTGTAATGATTGGACACAGAACACTATCCATGTGGAGAATGTCCGAGTGATGATTGGACAGAAAGCGCTATCCACGTGGAGAACGTCCCTGTAATGATTGGACAGAGAATGCTATCCATGTGGAGAACGTCCGAGTGATGATTGGACAGAAAGCGCTATCCATGTGGAGAACGTCCGAGTGATTATTGGACAGAAAGCGCTATCCACGCGGAGAACGTCCCAGTAATGATTGGACAAAGAGCGCTATCCACGCGGAGAATGTCCGTGTGATGATTTCCAGGACACGCCCATCCTCTCAGCTCGTGTCTTTGAGCCAGAGGTCACTGCTCAACAGAGAAACTGGTTATCTTTGGTAGTGTGGCGGGGCCCCATGACACAGTCAGGCTGTACAGAGGAGCAGGGCCAGGATACGGTCTGCTCAAGAAGGCCAAGGCTATGCAGGGAGGCAGCTCTTCCCACAGGCCACAGATACGTAACTAATGCAGATGGGAAATTCGTGTGAGCCCACCTCACAAGCTGCTGCTCATGCAGTTGGACCTGTCACACTTCTCTGATTAGCAGGCGCATATAATACACACACACCCATGTTCGCTTAAATATACTCACCAAAGACCAGCAATACACACACACTCTATGTTCACAGGTCCTCATGCACATATGCCCTATGATAATCACCAATACATAGATCAGCATTGTGCACACCTGCATTCCCATACATTCACATGAGTTACTATACACCTTAGTCACACACACACACACAACATGCACAGGCACTCAGATCTATAGATAAGCACGCATCAACCCACACCTAAGACATATATACATATGCACAGCAACATACAAGTGTGCATCTGTACTTGTAGAAACAGGCATATGAACAAATGCAGAAGCTAACATGTACGGACACTCAAGAGGGGATGCACACACACTCACACACAGGCGCACACATGGGCAGGTTGAAACTGCAGGAGGTTTCATTAGTTCATGTATCTTTCACCTCTCCCCACAGGTAGCTCTGCCTGGAAGACAGTCGGCTGAGAAGGCAGCTTCTGGGCCTTGTGGGCACAGGGAGCCCCAAGTTCACTATTGATTTCTGTCTTTCATTCGGCATCAGGACGGGCTCATCAGAGTGAGCTGTGCAGTCTGTAGGCGGTCCTGCACGCAGGAAGCCTGGAGCCGGCAGTTTGCCGAGAGAGCAGAGGTTGCTCAAGACAAGGACTTACTAAGAGGACCAGACCTCCCTCCAGCCAGAATCCTGCCCCTGCCAGAGCAAGGGGGCGAAGGGGTGAGGGGGCAGTGCACAGCCAGGGAGAGGAAGCCTTTGGAAGTGAACCCCGAGCTCAGCGCCCCGGTGTCAGGCTCTTGCCGAGCATGAAGACGTCTGAGGCAGCGTCCTGCGGCGGTCACGAGCTGTCTCTGGACTCCTACTGCCTGGCCTGAATCCCGATCCACTTTCCACCTCATGTCAGCTACGTGCCCTTCCTCAGGCTGTTCGCCCTCTCTCCCCCAACGCCTCCATCTCCAAACGCAGAAATACTAGGGGTACATGAGAATGAGGCGAGCAGAGCACGCCAGGCAGCGGGAGGGGAGCGAGGCAGGCAACAGAAAGGACTGCGGAGCGGGCCGACCCTTCCGGAGCTCCCTCCTGCCCCTCTGCCCCCCAGCCTTCAATCCAAAATCTTGCTTGCACTTCCAAATGGAAGTTTTAAAAGTGAGAATCAATGCACTCCAACAGAAAGCACGAATGTTCAATTACGAGATAAATGGAGCATTCAAGAACACATTACGTAACACGATTGGTTAATTGTGCAGGCGTTAAAGATCTAGAAACGCCGGCGGACCTTCGGCTATGCAATGAGGCATGGCTGCCTCGGACGGAAACAAATTCGCAAGGCAACGAGAGAATCCGGAAAAACAAATGCCTGCCACTTACCCATCCTGTTTGCAGGAAGGGAAATGAATCCCCACACTCCCATACTGAGCAATTCCCACGGGCACCTGCCTCTGATTACTGCTTACCTTATTATCTGCTGCACCACCACGAGCCGGGCCGGGCCTCAGCGGCTCCACTTCCTCATTTACAGGAAAGGTCTGCAGTGCCTCCCCCAACTCCTTCCCAGCAGGGGGCCTCAGATCAGTGAGGCCCCAGCAAAAAAGGGGGTGCTCCTTCGGCCAGAGCACCATGGCGCTCTGCACTGCACTCTGCCCCAGGCCCGCTATGCCCCACAGGCAGCTATACACTTCTTCCTCCTTTGCTCTCAATCAGAAGGAAGTCCTGACACCTGACAAACACTTAATAAGCACCTGTGGTGTGTAAGGCCCATTCAGACAAGGTCTGGGGAAGCAAGGCCAAAGCTTGCTATACTTAGCCACTGCGGCCCGCTAGCTCCAAGGGTCTGCCCGCCCAGTGGTGTTAGGTGCTAGCTGCGGGCTCAGGCGCCCCTTACAAGGGAAAGCATCTGTGCACCTGCTGGGCCCCTCCCCACCTGAAGGAGGCTTTGCTCACTCTGGCTGCAGGAAGATGTACTCAGTGTATACCGTGGGCAATGGGACCTGGATGCCCGTGGCCAACCAGGGTCCAGCTGCCATGGTGGTGGTGGTGGTGGGGCCTGCACCATTGAGAACGTGTGTGCGTGCCTCCCTCCTCACGGCTTACTGGGGTAGGAGCGAGGCCTGCGTGTATGCCCTCGCTCACACAGGCCAGCACCTGGACTGCCTTTGTGGGAAGGAGTAGAACAAAAGGATCAGTTGCCTGGACTCTGGAACCAGCCAGCGGGGTTCAAATCCCAGCTCGGTCACTTTCCTAGCTGGGTGACCCCTCCCAGCCTCAGTCACAGAGACCTCTTTGCTGAAGGTCGTTGGGGGATTCAGTGAGGTCATGCCTTTAGCTCCCTGTTCAGCACACAGGATGGGATGTCCTGGATGAGTGTTCCCAATTACCGCCATCGTTGCTAGTGAGTTTATCTGCTTTGGCCTTAGGGACACCAGAAAGTTGGGCCCCTGCCCCAGGAATGCTGGGTTCAGTGTCCTGCACCAGAAAGGCCACATCACAGTGTCCAGAGCCCTGGAGAATACAGCTGCCCAGGGCCCAGCCTCTCCAGGTCTGAAGCAGGAGCACCCACTGCCATTCAAATGGCCCCCGAGAAATCCCCCAGGAAACCTGGTGCCAGTGAGATCCCAGCCTCCCCTGGGACTCCTTCACCCACCTGCTGTTGCTGCTGGGCCAGCCTCAGCCCTCCAGGTCCTGTGGGTGTGAGGGTGCAGCAGACACCTCTCCACAAGATGCAGCTCACAGCTCACACGTGCCAGGCCCACACGTGCCGGCTGGGGGCCTGAAGACTTCCTGGAAAGAAACAAATGGCTCGGGTTTCATCAACAAGCAGAGATGCTCATTTGAAAGAAATGATTCCCACTTCACACCTTACTGTAATTTTCCAATTAATTGTGATTTAAATATGTTAATGCAGCTAACTAGGTTGAGCATCAGCTTAAAGACTTTCTGAATAATGAAGCAAGACCTCCTGGTACACAGAAAAAGCAGGAAATTTTCCATTGAGCACAGCAGAATGGAGACAGACATATAGTCCTGAGATGGGGCCGGCCTCAGCCAGCGGCCAGGCCCAGGCAGAGAGCACAGGAGGGACCTGGAGTCTTGGGAGGCCCAGGGGCTGTACCCTCCCTTCCACTCCCTTTGCTGGGTCTTTGCAGAGAGCACCTGCACTTCCATTCACGGTGCATAGGAGGAGCCCTGGGGAGGTCCTTGACCCCAAATATCCCCCTTAGTAGCCTGCTACCACTGCCCAACTCATTCACATTACTGTTTCAACTCTTCTTACTGTTGCCTTTAGCTCTCCTGACCCCAGCCCAGTCCCCAGAGACATGTGGGCCTGGCCACTGCCAGGAAGAAGTCCCCTTCCCTCCCTGGAAGGAGCCCAGGCAGACTATCGTGGGTTTGGGGGCCTGAGCTGCTTGGTGCTCCCTCTCCAGGTGGAATAATCCTAGGGGCCTTGGACAGCCGGCAGAGGACACTCCTCCGTGGGAGAAGTCCATGCTGCCGTCTCCACCCATGGCCTCTAGCAGCCTCTAGTCCCTCAGGCCACATCTGAATGATGGGGCTTAACCATGGATTTGCCCTCCCTGGATTCCCCACGACCCAGTATTCACCCTCGGACCTCCCTACCTCCCTGTCTGTTACACAGGGCAGATGGAGATGCTGACCTGGGGAGCTGTCATAAAGATGCAAAAGGATCAGGTTCATGAAAGCCAGCTGCGAGTGCTGAAGCTATGCCTGGGGAGGTGGATGGCGCCCACCTGGAGATGCCTGTGGGGGCACGGAGGTCTCAATTCACACGGGCGCCTCTTTCCATGCGGACAGAAAGCTTATGCCGGGCTGACAGGCGGGTCAAACAGCCCACCCAGTTACAACCTGGTCCACCTAGACCCTGGGCTGTGGGTCCTCCATGAGCTGCCTAAGGGCCCTGATGTCCCGCTGTGCTCTGCTCTCGCCAGGACATTCTGTTAGTGCTGCTCAGGCTACCATGACAGATGCCACCGGCTGGGTGGCTTCAACAGCAGAAGTGTACTCCCCCACAGCTCTGAGGCTGGAAGGCCAAGAGCAAGGTGCTGCTGGCTGGTTTTTGCTGAGGCCTCTCTCGTGGGTTTGCAGATGGACGTCATCTCCCTGTTTCCTCACACGGTCATCCCTCTGTGCACGCACAGGTCTGCCGTCTCTCTCTCTCCTTCTTTGTGTCCTAATCTCTTGTTATAACAACATACTGAATTGAGGCCTACCCTAATGACCTAATTTTAACTTAACTACCTTCTTAAAGGCCGTGTCTCTAAATACAGTCACATTCTGAGGTACTGGGGTTAAGCCTTCAACATACGAATTTGGAGAGAAACAATTCAGTATGTAAGAGACATAGAATGGTTCTCCAGTCCAATGCTACTTTTTAAATTTGTTAATTCATTCAATGTATATCTATGGGATGCATACAACATACCAGATGCTGTTCTGAGTGATGTATTTAAGGGAATACAGTACAGTAGTGGATGAAACAGAAAAAGTCCTGCCCACATGGACCTTGTGTTTCAGTGCAGGGAGATAGTCAAGAAGTAAATAAACAACACATGTATAGAATATGTCAGCTGGCATTAAGTTCTATGGAGAAACTACATTGTAATTAAGGGAATCGGAGGCCCAACTTGCTCCAGAAGGACACAGGGAGCAGACAGGTGGACCAGCAGTCACTCCAAGAAGCAGCCTGCATTTGGGCATTCAGATGGAGCTGGGTGGGGCCCCACCTCTCAGAGCACCGACTCTGCCTGGTGCTGACAGTTCTATAGTGATGGGTTCATGTTCTCTGGCATCAATGGTTCATTTAGCTGAATTCTTTCTTCCAGTTATAAATTGGAGAGTGACTTTAGATTTTACCAGTCACTGTGGATTTACGAAGGCAACGATGATAAATGTACAGATTAGCAGGGATAAGTTTCTGATGTGGTCATTACCCTTAGTGCTTGGCAGTCTTTTAGTGCCCTAATTAAGCAAGGGGAGTCAGAAGAGTCCTGTTTGTTAATACAGAAAAAAGCGTTTAGCTTCAATACGCAAGAGGCAGTTCGGGTGCCATCATGGCTAAGAAAAAGGCAATAGCAATGATAATAAAAGCACCAGAGAAAGTCCTTAACACTTTGCAGCCACAGGTCAGGATTTCCTCTGTGCTAATGGTGGAGGTAAAGAATCAGAGATGTAGAAATACTAGCCCCAAACCCATATTGAGGCAGAAGGTCCCGCCTCCCTGTAACTCCCCCGGGACCAGCATTCCAAGGCAGGAAACCTTAATGTGGTGTTGAAGGCCATGGTGAGGTCACGCATCTCATTCTGTGAACTCTTCGATCCAATCCTGACTTTGCAACTTGCCTCCATGCTCATCCCATGGCCTCACTTGATAACACCAAAGGAAGAGGAAAGCACCAGCAGGGGCAACTGCGCACTCAGGGCTATTTAATCAACCACCTTTGATGGGACAGAGTCAGGACAGAATTATCATTTCCTTTTTAAAGACGAGAAAAAGGCAGAGGCTTAGAAGGCCCAAGAGATTCACCCAAAGTCACATAGCCAAGACACAATGGGAGGCTCTGGCTGGCCACTTTGGGCCACGGAACCCCTGCCTTGCCTCCACCTTGGTGACCTCTTCGTGCACAGACTGGTCCACATGAGGTTGGCTTCTTATGCAGCCGAAAGCAACAGCTGGCCCCCAGGCGGGTCCCAAGAGCCCCAGGTTCACTGAAGATGCAAATCTCTGCTGTGCCCAGAGGCTGACCAAGGAAGAAGCTTGGATTCCATGCTGGGTATGAAGATGAGCTCCTTCCTTGTTGTTCTGAGGATGTCACTGTGCCCAGCCACCGAGGGACAGGAAGCTTCTTTAAAGCCCGATGGATTCCAACGGGTCTCTAGCAGAACATTTGAAGCCTCTCATCAGGCAGAACCCAGTCCAGACCACGCTGGTTGTCAGACAGCCCGTAGGAGGGTCCCTAGGGCATAAGCCATGCAGGCACTGGCCTGGGGGTTCTCATGAAACTCCGTTCCCAGACTGGTCCGGAATATTCAGTTTTGATGATAAACTACTCACACTCCAGCCCCCACGTGGGGTTTACCACGGTCTCTTCCTGCTTGGTGTCCCCTGCCCCCAGGCAGATTTGGGAGTCCTCTTGTGACTGTTCCCCAGAGACTGAAGACTCTGAGTGGGTTGAGACCACGTCTGCTTTCTCTTTCTTTCTTTCTTTCTTTTTCTTTTTCTTTTTTTTTTTTATTTGAGATGGAGTCTTGCTATGTCGCTCAGGCTGGAGTGCAGTGGCGCAATCTCAGCTCACTGCAACCTCCGCCTCCTGCGTTCATGCCATTCTCCTGCCTCAGCCTCCCAAGTAGCTGGGACTATAGGCGCCCGCCACCACGCCCAACTAATTTTTTGTATTTTTAGTAGAGACGGGGTTTCACCGTGTTAGCCAGGGTGGTCTCGATCTCCTGACCTTGTGATCTGCCCATCTCGGCCTCCCAAAGTGTTGGGATTACAGGCGTGAGCCACCGTGTCCGGCCTGCTTTCTCTTTGGGTCTCACCCACTGCTGTTAGAAAAAGAGCTTGACACACCTGGTGCATGGATGATGCATGGAGGAACAGGTGGGAAGGTGGCCCAGTCACAGTCCCCACCCAAGCATGCCAGGGTTACATTCTGGGTAAGCAGAGCAGAGGGGCAGTCACGAAGTGATCGGAGGCCAAATGACCTCTCCAATTAGCATGGTCAGGATAGCACTGTCCAGGGAGAAAGATGGAGCTGCCCCCTAGAGACCAACTACGTGTTTAAGGTGCCTGCAAAACCAGGTCCAGTCAACATGATGAGCTGACTCAGAAGTTTGCAATGAAAAAAAATTTCTAAAATATTTTCCTTCCTGCATATCAGTAATTTTTGTGTCTGAGGTTTAATAGTGCTTGTATTTGAATTACCTATTGGGGCATGGAGTCACTCTTTTCAGTGCTCTAATATTCTAGCCCCCACCTTGCACCCCACAGACAGCTTCTTCGTAGCCCCTGGTGGACAGTGGCAAGAAGGTACCTCTCTGACATTTGTCCTGCCCAAAGCACATCTCAAAGCCCCGATCCCTCTCCAGACCTGTTAGAGAAGGACCCTGGGAACACTCATGACTGCAGGCCTGGGATCTGAGAATTATATCTAGGGCATGTCAAGCCACAGCCTGCCCTGGGCATGCCACATAAGCAGTTTTACCAACATGAACTCATCGCACCTTCATAAGAAGCCCACCCATTTCATAGAAGAGGAAACTTGAGGCTCAGGGAAGTGAATGAGTTTGTTCAAGATATCAGCTAGAAAAGGGTAGGACAGAGAATCAAACCCCAGGTGATGTTAACTCTCATACCTGAGTTTATGCTTGGTACCAGGCCACCTCTCCTGGACGCTAGGTTGCCCTTCTGGGTGGTTTTCCCAACTCCAAGGCCTCCACCTCTCCTCCTCCTTTTCTTCCTCCTTCTTTCTGTCTATCTAAATCCACCTGGCCCATCATAGACAAAATAACCTCTGAAGACATCCAGCTGGCCAATCATAGCCAAAATAGCCTCTGAAGACACTCCCAGGAGTCTGCAGAGATGCTGCCTGCACAAATCCAGGGCTACAGCTGCTCTTCTTACTTTCCAGACTCCTGGAATGTGGCTCAGACTCCCGCTGCACCTGGGCGATCCTCTATTCTAGCCCAGGGCTGTTTCTCTGTGTAGTCAAGTTTTTCCTCCTGAGTCACCCACCTTCAGGCCTGTGCTCACACTGTCATCCTCACTGGAAGGGCCTTTGCCGGGTACCCACACAACTCCATCAGTTTATATCCTTGCCGGGCACCCCTTGGGACTCTCTGTAGTAACTGGCAGGGCTTGAAGCAGAGAGGAGCCCAGCGGCTACTGAGTCACTCGTCTCCTCTTCACATTATGAGTTATTAAATGGCACTAGTCTCTATTTCAATCCAACCACCTATTTCATATTTGTTTGTCTGTCATCTGACCCAGACAACTCTAAGGCTTCTTGTACATCACATGCCATCCATGTCACTGGTGACTTGGTAAGACAGCTTGAAACCAATGGACATTGATAAGAACTGATGGGTGTGTACTTGTTACTATAAAAGGATCAATGGACTCCATTACAGAGAGATGGAGGACATCTCTGATTCTCCCATTTACCAGCTGGTAAACATATCAGGGCCACAAAAGAGGTAGCAACCAAATTTCTTCTCCTGACAACTCACACACATGCCCTGTCTTGGGACAGCTCAATGACTTAGTTTGTTGGAAAGCAGTTGATTTTTTATTTACCAAAATACCGTATTTCCATGTTTGAATTCATCAAATGCGTATGCCACATATCCATCTACTTCTGCAACCTAGTTTGTCCCCATCCTTTGGTTTATTCCATGGTTTATGTAGAACAGGATGTCTTGAGTATGTGGAATAATCCCTGAGCTTTCAGTTCTTTGAAATCTCCCCTCGTCTCTTGCATCAGGATCTGCTGCTTCCTTTGCCTTCAGTGTTTGCTTGGCCAACTCCTGTTCTTCCCTGAAGGACAGATTCACAGGTCTCTTTCTTGATGGGGCCTTAGTTGACCCCCTCTTTACTTAGAACATGTGCAATTACTTGTTCATTTCCTCCCTCATTAGATTTTAAGCTCCCTCAGGGCAGGGCTCCCTCCACCTTTTTCATCTCTTTATTTCCAGTGTGTAACATGATACTGCCACAGAGAAGGCACTCAATAAATATTTCTTCAAAGAATGAATAAATGTTCAAATTAAGGCCATTAATTCAGTGTGATGATGCCAGCAGCCCCACTTAATAATCTGCCCGAAGCCCTTTCCTTTGCTGTTTTCCAAGAGGAGATTGAAGCACCCAGGGCTCCCGCGGAGGCAGCAGCCACATACAAGACTTGTCAAAGAGGCCACATCTTAAAAAACAACCGTTCTGGTGTTAGCCTTTTCCCCCTTCTCCACAGAGCAGAAGTCACATGGAATGAGGTCCCACGGTCTCCTCTATAAACATGTTTGGATGTTTGTCACTTAGGTCAACATTGACAGTCATTGGAAGTGGCACATTTAAACACAAAAAGCATGAGGCATTAACAGATCCAGCCGCTCAGGGCCCTGCACCCTTTACATGAAAAGCCCTTAAATAAACGTAACATGCCTAAATTGTGTAAATGCCAGGGCTTTCGAAGTCACTCGCTCCCGTGTGCCCTTGATGGGCCTTTCTTCGACTTTCCGTCTCTGTGACCACAGAGGACTCGGTGGCCAGGGGAGGGGGAAATGGGCACCCTGGCACTTGCACAGCCTCAGTCTCAAGGAAGCCAGGAGGGAATGGGGCTGCAGTCCCAAACTGCACTTCTGTGAATTCCACCTGCTAAAAGGCTGCACTCGCACACTTGTTGGCCCTGTATCCGACCGGAGGTTATGTCAGCTGTGGCCACTGCACATCTTGGGTGTTTTTCCCAAGAAGTTACTTTGTCACACTGCAGTCCCCTCTGGGCTGTGTGCATAATGCCCTGCAGCCCACTGGCATCTCTGTCATTCCAAAGCTCTTCTGTGCACGCTGTGTCATGGTGACCCTGGATGGACACCTGTGGGGTGGTGGAAAGGTAGAGTCCTCATCTGTTGATGAGGAAACTGAGGCATAGTACAGTTGCCTGATTGGCCAGACCTCCCAGGCCAAGGGCTCCATTGCAGATAGCAAGCACCCTCCATATCCACCTGCACAGGCGCCAAGTGCCAGCCCCTCTGCCAATGATGCCAGAGATGATGTCATTGCCAGGACCCACGGCCGCTCTCCAAGGCTTTCCGCACAGACTGCTGCAGAGGCCCCACTCCCGGGGACCACTCTTGAGGTCCCCATGTCTTTGCATTAAGGTCTCAGGGGAGCATCATTCTTTAAAGGTCCAGCCCATGTCTGAGGGATGAGGGAGGCTGGCCTATGCAGCCATTGGGTTCTTGGCTTGACCTTGTACCTCACTGGCCTTGCACACCCTTCCTGGAGTGCCTGGGCCCACGCACAGCCTATGGGGGGGGGTGGGCACAGTGGGCAAGCCTTGATTGAGCAGGATAGGTTCATGGCCATTTTCAGGACAAAGAACTTGTAGTTTTGGTTTTGCAACCATCATCCCGAAGTTGAGAGTGACATCACTGGCGCAGAAGCCTGGACACCCCCACTGGTACAAATATAAAAGAAGGGAAAGGGCATTTTACAGCCTCAGGTTAAGCCACCTGGGCCTAAAACAGTAGCCATGGGGTGTTGATGGCCTGGGGAGCATGTTCACTGTGTGCGCTGGGTGGGCAGGAGAGGCTGCACCCATCCTCCGGGTCTTTGGAAACCAGGATTCCCTCCTTTCTCCTCACCTTCCCCAGTTCTTTGGCATCTCCCTGCAGTCTGCCTCTTACTAAATGTCTGGGTTTGATTTCTCAGAGTCTCAGCCCAGGGAACTGGAGTGGGAACAACTAGGGCAACAGGGCCATGATGAGAGTGGGTGCCACTCAGTCCACTAGGGCACTAGGAATGGACACAATAGCTCATGGATCGGCAGAAGAAATCCAGCACCATCAGAGTCTGTGCTAGGTCGAACAGCATCCTCAAAATTCTCATCCTCCTGAATCTGTTGTTGAAACCTTATTTGGTCATAAGGTATTTACTGATGGAATCAAGTTTAGATACGGTCATATCTGATTAGGGTACATCCTATATCCAACATGACTAGTGTCCTCATAGGAAGAGGGAAGTTGAGACACAGAGACACAAACACAGAGAGAGAACACAACCTGGGGATGGAGACAGAGATTGGAGCAATGGATCTACAAAGCCAAAGAACGCCAAGAGATCCTGCCACCATCAGAAGCTGGAAGGGAGGCAGAGAAGGACCCTCCCTCCCAGCCCCTGCTAGGAACCAAACTTGCTGACACCTTGGTTTAGGGCTTTTAGTCACCAGAACTGCAAAGGAAGGCATTTGCAGTGTTTCAAGCCACAGGTTGTGATATCTTCTCATGGAAGACACAGGGCATTAACTGGGGCCCTCGGCACCCTGCCCCTATCCAGGACAGAAACAGGGACATTGTCCACGAACTCATTAGGGAGGGTCTTTTGCCTGTGTGTATGCATGTAGAGGCCACAGGGATGACGCAGAGGACCCTGAAGGACAGGAGGCCAGGGCGCATGTCTCGCTTCTGTGTCAAACCATCCCTCTATTGTCCTTGATCTGATGGGTGAGCGGGTAAGGTTGCAGGGACAGGGTGCTCACAGTCTTTGGAGCAGCCCCATCTCACATGGTTGAATTCAGGCAACTGGCTCCAGACCTGTTCTCCAGATGGATCCATGGAGGTGTAGGTCCTCCCAGCTGTCTGTTGCTGGCACACTGGTGTCAGCTCGGGTGATTGCAGAAGAGCTGCAGCCAGGTTTCTGGGGCTGAACATCACTCACAGTTGTTTTGCAGATGCAACCATGGGCTGCCCTGGACCTGTGGCCCTAATTTGCATAATGGTCTTTGTCCAGAATGAGAGAGGGAAGGGGAGAAGGAGAGCAGCTGCCTCTTTCCGCTGGTCCTGCCGGCCAGGGCTGCGAAAGCTGATGCCATCTGTTGTAAGGGATTGACCCCTATTCCAAGGGGGCCAGGTGCTCCAGAAACCAGGAAAGAGACTGACTTCAGGAGGCAAAGTCCCTCTGAGAGCACCCGCTGCCAGGTTGCTGTCTCTGGGAGGCTGAGTCATGCCACCATGTTCACTGAGGCTGGCAGCTTCTGAAGTGTCCTCAGATGCTGGGGTCAGCTGGAAGATCTCGGAAGTGTCCATTCTACTTCTAAGCTGTTTTAGACATGACCACAAAGCCACCTTGCCGGCTACAGAGGGCGCCTTAATCCAGCTAAGGATCTAGCTCAGGGTCAATAGTAGATGTAGTTTCCCTGCTCAACTCAACCCAGGGCAAGAACTCTGGGCCCAGGCCTTGCCAGAGGAGGCTGAGAACCCAGATATGAGCCCCAGTATGGAGCAGAGGAGACCGCCGTTGGGGAGACCACTTCTCCACCAACTCCCCGTCACCCAAGGCACTGGCACTGTCTCCTCTCCACAGCCGAGCCTGAGCAGGTTCTGCAGAAAGCTCCCCAGGGAGGAGGGTGCACTGGGGCAGAACTCAGGACTAGCAAGCCCGCTGGGGCGGGGGCAAGGCTGGTGGCAAGAGACTCCTTGAGTAAAAATGCTGCCACCACCATTCTCACAGTGCCCTGGAGCCTGGGATGGAGCATGTGAGCTATACCTGCCCCCACCCCCTTCCCATCAGGTCATTCCACTGGGTACAATCAATTTCCTGCAAAAGTGGTTCAAGCTCAGTGCCAGGCTGTGCCTCATTCGTCCCTGAGCATTCAAGATCTCCCGGAGGGCAGGACAAAGTCCCCACCCCAGCCTCTCCCACAAAGATGCTGAGCATCATCGGAGCCTGAGATCTCCCTAGCGGTGCTGGAGACAGGCTCTACTGTAGGCCCTGGCTTCTGCAGTTTGCAGAGCAGCTATTACAGTGCAGACTTCTTAAACACATGATGCTTTGAAAAGTATGGCCTTGCTTGTAAAGCAGAGAGAGCACAGGATTTGGAATCAAAAAGAGATGTGAAGGCCAAATTAAGGCATGGCTGCAGAGAGACAGGGCTCCACCTCTCCTTGCTGGGGGACAACTCGATTCACTCTGCTGGACCTCAGTGTCCCCACCTGGAGATGAGGCGAAGCTGCAGAGTCCTCTGGGAAACAAAGTGCTTTGTAAACTCAAAAGGGCCCGGAAATGTGCCCTCCATTCACCCATGCCCCTGGGGACACGCCTCGTCTGGGCAAATGGAAACCCCAATACTTGGCTTCTTTCCTGGGCCTCTTAGGCCTAC
Organism: Homo sapiens; assembly: GCF_000001405.40. Taxonomy (NCBI): domain Eukaryota; kingdom Metazoa; phylum Chordata; class Mammalia; order Primates; family Hominidae; genus Homo; species Homo sapiens. Next base: position 128,488,781 of record NC_000010.11, on the reverse strand, counting down.
TCCTACATTTTGCTCTTCTTGGCACACTTGACTATGGAGAAGAAGGCCTCATTTATGGAAAAGTCTCACCCAGCAGACTCCATGTCCTTTGTTTATCTCCCAAGACTGTCAGTTCCTTGTTTACTTAAACAGAGATTTAATAAAAAGCAATAGAGAGTGGTCTTGCGGCTGCTGGCTCTCCCCTGCTCGCTCCTAAATGCCGGAGCATTCCTGACTCCCAGAGCATGCTCACTTTGGCAAGGCATGCCATAGGAATCTTTCCCTTTATTTTCTTTTGGACTGCAGGCTCTTTTGAGGGACCTAATATGGACTGAATGTTTGTTTTGCCCCAAAAGTCTTCTACTGAAGCCCTAATCCCTAATGTGATGGTATTTGGAGAAGGGACTTTTGAGAGGTGATAAGGATTAGCTGAGGTCATGAGAATGGGGCCCTGATGCAATAGGATTAGTGCCCTTAAAAGAAGAGACACCAGGGAGCTCTCTGTCTCTCTCCCCCTCCCTCTTTCTTTGAATGCCCAAAGAAGAGGTCACAGGAGCACACAGCAAGAAGGCCGCTGCCTACAAGCCAAGAGGAGAGGCCTCAGAATGAATCTACCAGGTCAGCACTTTGATCCTGGACTTCCCAGCCTCCAGAAATGTCAAAATAAATGTCTGTGGTTTAAGCCACTCAGCCTGTGAAATTTTGTTATGGCAGCCCGAGCAGACTAAGACAGGGCCCTTTCCTGGATTCCTGTCACCCAAGAGATTCAGTCCATTGCACCCCATTCCATGTCTGTCCACTTGGTCCTGAGAACACTAGAAACCTGGTCCAACCTGAATTGAATTTTTTGGCATTCTGGGGCTTATTGAGGCCCTGGAAGCTCTCATGGTTCGGAGTTTTTCCACAGCTCACACGGGCATGTCTCAGCACCCCTCTGTGTTCACGGGAGGTGCCAGCCTGTGGGGCGACCGCTCCAAGACTCCTGTCTCCTTGCTGCCAGTTCCTGCACAACGCGGCCTCCTGGGCCCATGGGCACTGCTAGCCAGGCCTGTTCCCTTCCAGTTGCAGCCGCAGCAGCAGCCTCATGGAAGTGAGGCGTGTGCTCCTCAGGGAGGGCAGAGCACATCAACGCAAGCGGTCAGCGCCCCATGCCCCTGGCACGGGCTGATGTACCAGCTGCAGCTCCAACAACTGTCATCTGACATCCTGACACAGATGAGCGCCAGGAGCTTGGAGGCCTGAGCAGCCCGCTGCTCTCTCCCACCACACCCAGACCCCCGGGTCCAGCCTCCAGCCAAACAGGTGTACAACAGCCTGTTGCAGCTCCTCTGAGAAGGCCATAGGGTCCGGAGAGGCCTCTGAGGGAAAAACAGATGAAAAGAACAAAGGCGGTTAGGCCTTGCGTTGACAAGCTCATTGATAACAGTTTAGGGGGAGCAGGCCTGCCTGGTGACAACAAATTGCTCCTAATGGCTTTTGCTGCCTGCAGGCCCCCATCAGAGAGAACAAGCTGTCAGGTTGGTCTAAGGCAGGCACATTCCTCTAAGCAGAGGGACCCCTCTTACTTCCCACTTCCCAGGGCTTGCCCTTGTGGGGACACTATGCGGCAGATGCAAGTAACCAGGAACCCAGCACTGGGGGAAGAGTCACGGTTTGAGTGATGACAGCTGTCAGGTTTCACATTCCAAATGTCAGCCTTGCTCAGGCATGCTAAGTGCATCCAGGTAAGCCCAGGTAAGCCATTACATTTTGCAACTTCATTTTGCAAGTACAGAAACTCCAATTCCGAAGGGTTCATTTTCCCAGGGTTGGATCATGGAGAGGGTGGCAGAGCTCAGCTCGGAAACTGCCTGGGTTCAACTCCAAACTGTGTGCCTTTTGTTGCTGTGCAAATGTGTCCCCATGTTGGAGGGAGGTCCTAGGGAATGTTCTCCCCTGGCAAGTTCAGGAAGTGGGTAGTGGTCCTTGGAGAAGGGTATGTGATATGGTTTGGATCAGTGTTTCTGCCCAAATCTCATGTCAAATTGTAATCCCCAGTGTTGGAGGTGGGGCCTGGTGGGAGGTAATTGAATCATGGGGTGGATCCTTCATGAATGGTTTAGCACCATCCTCTTGTTACTGTATAGTGAGTGAGTTCTCACGAGATCTGGTCATTTAAGTGTGTAATACCCCACATCTGTGTCTCTCTTGCTCCTGCTCCGACCACGTAAGATGTGCCTGCTTCCCTTTCACCTTCCGCCATGATTGTAAGTTTCCTGAGGCCTCCCCAGGAGCAGAAGCCCCTATGATTCCTGCACAGCCTGTAGATCCATGAGCCAATTAAACCTCTTTCCTTTATAAATTACCCAGTCTTGGGTATTTCCTTATAGCAGTGTGAGAACAGACTAATACAGTGTGTAACACAAATCCTGTCTCCTTGAAATGCCAACAGATATCTTCTTTAAGGAAAATGACAAGGCTTATAGAGGCTCAAGGAAAATATCTTATTTTCAAAAAGGAAAGCAACAAGACAAAGTCAAGCAGGGTTAGGGTGAGCCGGGAGACTGGGGCCAGTATCTGCAGGGAACTCCTCTTCTTTTATCCTCATGGCACCAGCTGGGACAATGTGGCCAACCTGTTTCTGGGGATTTGCTCTAGAGGAACATCTGCCTTGTCCCAGAAAAGCATATTCAGAAAAAGGCATGTGCATGCACAAGACTCTCAGCCTACCCCACTGGAAGTGCAGGTGACAGTGCCATTGTCCAGGGGGTAGTCAGCAGTGAGAGCAGCTTCAGCTGTGCCCAGCAAGGGCCTGCCATGGCACCACACCTACATCCCCTACCTCTGTGCCCTCACCTAGCAGGCCCCGGAGGCTGACAGGTGTCATTAGCCCACCCCACCCCATCAGCCAGCCCTTTCTCCCCCGACCCGAGTCAGAGGTGGGGGCTGATCTAAAAGGTCAGTGACTCTCTCACCTCCTGCTCAGACAGGGCTGGAGTTGGTGATGAGGACTTGCCCCAAAGATGCTCACCTCACTGGTCAAGTTTGCCCGTTTGAAGGTAAATAAAGATAGTGAGTACCAACGATGCAATCGCCGTGGGTGACTAATATAGTTAGTTCTGTGTCTCTACGAAATCTCATGTCAAATTGTAATCCCCAGTGGTGGAGGTGGGCCCTGTGGGGAGGTGACTGGATCATAGGGGTGGGATCTTCGAGTAGTTTAGCACCATTCCTCCCGATGCTGTTTCTGTGATAGTGAGGGAGTGAGTTCTCCTGAGATCTGATTGTTAAAAAGTGTGTGGCACCTCTTCCCTCTCCTCCTCCCAGTCCAGCCATGTAAAGTGCTGGCTCCCCCTTTACCTTCCACCACGATTGTGCGTTTCCTGAGGCCTCCCCAGAAGCAGAGGCTGCCGTGCTTCCTGTACGGCCTGCAGAACCATAAACCAATTAAACCTCTTTGCTTTGTAAAGGACCCAGTCTCAGGTATTTCTTTATAGCAATGTGAGAACGGGTTAATACAGTGACTATTTTCGGATAATGTGAATTAGAATAAAAATGCAGCACCTGATTTCCAGCCTAACGGTGGGTGGTGCATTCATCCATTGTTCATTCACTCATCTGTTGCCTCCCATGGTGGCTGCCTAGTAAGTAGCTCCATCCCACCCCTTTGTTTGGGGTGAATTAATAAAAACATTCACCTGCTACATTCACCTGTTGTGCCCTTTGGCTGCTGTAACCGATCAATAGCTACTTACTCTCTCACATCTGGCATCTATAAGTCTGAAATGAGTTTCACTGAGCTGAAATTAAGGCATAGGCAGAGCCACAATCCCTCAAGAGCCTCGAGGGGAGGATCCTTCCTTGCCTTTTCCAGCTGCTGGTGGCTGCCACCAAGTCTTGGCTTGTAGCTGCATCGCCCCAGTCTCCGCCTCTACAGTCACATTGCTGCTCCATCTTCTGGGGCAAATCTCTTTCTGCCTCCCAAGAGAACATTTGTGATTACATTGAGGGGTCACCCAGATAATCCAAGATCATCTCCCCATTTTGAGATTCTTAATTTATTTACATCTGCAAAGTCTTTGCTGGATAAGGGGCTGCTACTTAATCTACAACACCCACTACTACATGATCAGTTAATTGCAGGTACCCACATAATGGGATAAGATGCACTTATCAGATGTGGTGTTTTTCAAGATTTTGTTGTGTTTCCCCCATCCTCATGGTTCTGGAAGCTGCAGCTCCAGTCTGCAACCAGGCGGATTTGCTGCCACCTGGACCAGGAATGCCCTTGAGTGCCAGGACGATGGAGGCACTCATTTTCCTACTTGCTCTGTTCAGTGTTTTCCAAATGTTCACTAGGAAAGGATGTTACATTTTGCTGTCTGTCTTTTGTGGTCTTGTCCCTGTGTATCCTGGCACCCACAACACACATTGACCTGGAGCAGGTGCCCTACACCTGTTGAGTGAGTGGACCTTGAAGATGAGGGAAGACAGAGCATTTTAGATGGTGAGGGGAACCTGTCTGTGTCCCACCTCTGGGCTTCCTTGCTGCGTGCTGACCCATTGCCTAGCGCCCTTTGGCATACCCAGTGGGTGTGGGTGCCGCTGCCTCATTCTGCACCCTCTCTCATATTTCCTGTGCCTCCTTGGGTGGGTGCTAAGGAACTACCACTGGGTCATGCCCAAACCTCAGCCACTGGGTTGCACTGCTGGAATTTGCAGGAATCCTGACAATAAAGTCACACCCAGTGCAGTTGTGCGGCCTGTAGCAAGTGGGCCGTGACTTAGCGCCTGCCACATTTCTAACGCCCACGCAGGTAGGATGAGGGATGTTTTATTCCCCTTTTGCAGCTGAAGAAATTGAGGCTGGGAGAATTCAATCGCTTGCCCCAGGCCACTCAGCTGGGAAGGGCCAGAGATTCCCACCTGGGGCTGTGTAACTTCCCAGCCTGGAGTTTCCTCAGCAAACCAGGGCAAGACGAGTAGCCTAATAAAGCTGACCAAACTGGGTTGTGAAACACCGTATTTAAAGTTATGTTTTGTTTTCATTATTTTTATCTAAAACAATCAAACGTGGAAGGTGGGGTGGGGGAACCCTCTTCTAAAGGGCACCCGCCCACCCACAGGGTGTTTCCTCTGCACAGTGGGACTTTGCATTCACCAGATGTCGAACCAATGACGTGAGTTCCAGCCACGTCCTCAGCACCCTGCCGTGGGGCACGGCTGCCCATCCTGCTACTGTCTTCAAGTGCTCTAGGTTTCCTTTCCAGCGTTTAAAATTTAATTTGGTGCCAGTTTTCGGGGAATTCCTAGTTGGAAGCAGGGCAGCACCGGCGTCCACTTGCCACAGTGGCCGAGGCCTGGCAGCAGGAGCTTTCTTCCCAGGCTCCCGGGGGCATACACTGCTGTCACCCCAGGCCCTGCTCACTGCGGGCTGGTCCACGTGCCAGACCCTGCCATTTGGCACCCTCACTGGTCCTCGAGACAGCAGCAAGCAAAGCGTCGCCCTTGCAGGCCAGTACCAGCCAGGACGGGGCATCTGCCCAATCACTCTGGAGCGGCCCAGACTTCTGGATGGAAGCAGACTGCTTCCCTTTGATGCGCTTTTACTTACACCCTTTAAGAGCACTTAATTCACCCTGAAAGTGAAGTGGTTTATTTATGACCCCAGCTCTCGCGTGATGGTGAGTGGCGCCAACACACAGATGATTGTTTTTGGCTTCATCAGTTTTTGGTGATGTTTGCTCAACAACATTAAGCTGAAATATCGTTTGCCGGGGATCACTGCCCATCAGGCACTTAATTACATACAAAATTAGATTTCCTTGCAGTTTCACCGAAAGCCCAGGGCATTGGGATAATTACTAAGAGAAAAGATAAAAAATCAAGTTTATCCCCCAAACCATTCCACCAAATAGCAGCGAACAAAAGTATACAATGCTACCACTGAAATGTCCATCTCCTGCAAAGTCAAGGCATCGAGAGTTGGCCCCTCACCCTCACCCTGCCTGGCTAAAAAGCTGCACAGATGACAGCTGCTTCCAGGTAAGGCGGTGCGGGGGCCTTGAGGCTCTAGGACTCTTCTCAAAGCCCAACAAGGTCATTCCTTTTGAAAATTTCCAAAGGAGGCCATTGTGCCTTTCCAATTTTTTTTTTTTTAATGAGTAAAAAGACAGGGATTAAACAGAGACTGTATTTCTAGAACTTTGGAAGGAGAAGGGCCTGGTTCTGCTCACTAAGTGACCTTGGGTGACTCCTCGCCTCTCTGAGATACCCTCACCAGGAAGGTGGGGCAGCACGGCTCGCCTCCTAGGACTGCGGCGAAGCTTCCATGAGCTCATGTATGCAAAGCGCTTGGCTCAATCCCTGGCCTACACCAGGTGCACAAAAAGTGGGAACAGTTCTGATGACTGTTTTTGCAGGATTTTCGGAAGCAAAGGATTCCTGTGCCCTTGTTCAGCCTGGTGGTCCAAACACGCAGTTTTCTATTGACAGTGCTGTGCCCATACTCTCCGCTTGCTCTGTGCAAAGGAGGCTGGGCTCTGGCTCACCCCCAAGTGAAATGGGAGGAAGGTGGGGTTTGAGACCCCAGCGCTC